>NC_000011.10:111717879-112020909 GCF_000001405.40 Homo sapiens
GACACATGGAGGGGAACAACACACACTGGGGCCTGTTAGGGGGGCAATGGGAGGGAGAGCATCAGGAAGAATAGCTGATGCATGCAGGGCTTAATACCTAGGTGATAGGTTGACAGGTGCAGCAAACCACCATGACACACGTTTACCTATGTAACAAACCTGCACATCCTGCACACGTACCCTGGAACTTAAAAATTGAAGAAAAAAAAAGAACTTGCTTATATGGCTTATCCTATAAGAAATGTCTGGTAAAATTTTGACGGAGGCCGTAAGTGTAAGGATGCTCAATAGATAATTAATTAATGATCTTCTTTTCTCTGTTGGCTTATTCATTTCTAAACCATTCTTGGCTAGTTTTAGAAAATTGTATTAGTAGAGAGTTAAGGAGCTTAGAGGTATGAATGTAAGTTCTCAAACAGCCATTCTTTCTTGCAAGGAAACTATTAAGTTTAGTCAAAAAGGAAAGTTTATCTGGGGAAGGACCAAGGAGAGAGCAAGAGTTGCTGGCCAGGTTTCAGAGTTTTGCTTTCTGCTGCCATGGGGAAGATTGGCCAGTGTGGAAAGGAAGCATTTACCACTCTTCCTCTTAAATGACCGCTCATCGCTTTAAAACCCTGTAATGCATTAGCCACCTTACCCGAGTGAGGGCTATAGCCCAGAATGGATTTTATGGAATAACCTTCCCCTCCCTGCAGCAAACAAAGATCTGAGTCACCCTAGTCTCCTTCTCCAAATAAAGGGCCTCGCAGCGCCTTCAGATTGGCTGCCATAAGAGGAAAGTTTCCTGTGTGTCTGGTAAAGGGAAACCCCACACCACCTCTCACATACATGAGCTTCTCCTGCTTCCAAAGGAAACAGTAGCTCTACCCAGTGTTTTCCAGGTGAAAGTACTGCTTAGAACTCAGCGTCTTATGACTGGCTGTTCCTGAGCAGCTATTCATAGGAGAAAATGGATTGATTTCCACGGGGGAATAGTTAAGGTAATGAGGTAAATAATTACCTCCTCACAGGGGCCTTTACCAGCCAGAACTTGCAACCACAACCCCCATGCCAGTATGCTGTTCTGCCTGCCATTAGGCAGTGTGCGTGGCAACTGCATGGGAAGGGCCAATGCTTGCGGGGAGCTGTGCTGCGCTCACCCCTGTGGGATAGGAACCATCGATAACGTATATGTTGCTGGAGGAGACAAAATTCAGTGCACTGGGGCTTATTAGCCTCTGCTGGAATTTTGGGCCAGTGAGCCCTTTGTTATTCTACAATGGGAGGCTTTGGCTGTCTGCCATTTGAATTTTTTTCAATCCTTTTTGTGGTATCAGTCTGTCTATATAGAATTCTTACTTTCCATTCCCCAGGCATATAGAACCAATTAAAGACTAAATCAAATGGGCAGGTACTTAAATTTTGAACATAAAAGTCTTTCTAAAACCTTCCATTATGTTTATGGTTGAAAAAATAGAAGAATCTTGGTGACTACCCCTTTTTTTTTTTTTTTTTTTAGCAATGAGCCAAGTAGTTAAAAAAAAAAAAACAACTCATCTTCCCCCTCTTCATTTCCCTTATTTAAAAAAAAATAATAACTGGTAGTCCTCAAACTAATATACCCCTGTTCTTCTGGAAACCACTAAAAAAGTTGTTTATTGTAATAATGATGACTCAGAGAAACCTGGGCAGCAGTGCCAGTTTGGGTCATCATGGGCTTCTGTCTCAGAGTTCTGAGTCCTGCAGTTGACTTGCCTTCACTTCTAATCTATGTGTTGTCATGCATAATAAATATGTGCATGTTTAAATATTTTACTTAATTTCTAGTTCGCCACAAGTCTTGACATGTTTTCCTTTGTGGATTTTTCTGTCTCAGCAGTGCAGAAACTGAGTTTCCTCTCTCCCCTGGCGTTTAGGTCAATGGCTGTCTGCTTGACCCTGTGCCTCCTGTCCTGGTGCGGAAGGGATGCCAGTCACTGCCCAGCAACATGATGGAGACCTCCATTGACGAAGGGCTGGAGACAGAAGGAGAGGCCGAGGAAGACCCCGCTCATGCCTTTGAGGCATTTCAGTCCACACGCAGCGGGCAGAGACGGCACACTCTGTCAGAAGTGACCAATCAACTGGTCGTGATGCCTGGGGCAGGTACGGTAGAGGAGCGACACTAGCTTGAGTCTTCATGGCATCATGTCATACTCCAATTGCCAACAAGTGGTCACGATGCCAGCCAACACCTAAAATTGAGTCGATAGCTTATTCCTTTATGGATTAGATTCAGCAGGTATAGCAGACACAGCCTGGCAGCAGCTATCAAAGGTGAATTGAAATGTCTCTGAGTTGGCTCCCATAGTCCCCAGGATTCATCTGGGTGCCACGTGATTGATCAGGGACTCTGGCTCTTTTGGACTGGCTGAGATCTTACAGATGCCACTTCTGGAGTGTTTTCCCCACTAAACTTGAAGATGACTAAATTGGCCAGTAAAAGGGCTCTGAAAAGATGTTTTGATTGGAAATTAAGGACATGGTAGCTGTCAAAACTCAAGCTGGTTATGCTTTGTACCCTATGTTCCAAGGAGATGCTATTGCTGTTGGTTTTATCTGTTCTGTTTTCTCTTAAAGGGAAAATTTTCTCCATGAATGACAGCCCCTCCCTTGACAGTGTGGACTCTGAGTATGATATGGGGTCTGTTCAGAGGGACCTGAACTTTCTGGAAGACAACCCTTCCCTTAAGGACATCATGTTAGCCAATCAGCCTTCACCCCGCATGACATCTCCCTTCATAAGCCTGAGACCTACCAACCCAGCCATGCAGGCTCTGAGCTCCCAGAAACGAGAGGTCCACAACAGGTCTCCAGTGAGCTTCAGAGAGGGCCGCAGAGCATCAGATACCTCCCTCACCCAGGGTGAGCACTTCCTCCTCTGCTTTTTGAAACTCGCGTCGTAGGAGAGCAGTTTCTTGCCATGTTGGTGTGGTCACCTGTGGTCACTGAAAGGCCTTGTATTTTAGTTAAACTGTTTGGTCTTGGTGCTTTCTTTCAGGAATTGTAGCATTTAGACAACATCTTCAGAATCTGGCTAGAACCAAAGGAATTCTAGAGTTGAACAAAGTGCAGTTGTTGTATGAACAAATAGGACCGGAGGCAGACCCTAACCTGGCGCCGGCGGCTCCTCAGCTCCAGGACCTTGCTAGCAGCTGCCCTCAGGTGGGTACCTTGGGCCCTTCCCTCAATGGCTCTGTGAGGATGAGGTGTGAGTTTGTCCTGAAGATGGTCATTTTCACTTAGAGGATTTCCTCCAGTCCTGGAGCAAACAGGCTGTTTGGGAAAACCCACAGCTTCTTTGCCTTGTTGCTGCCACCTGCCACTGACGGGTTCAACCCATCCACGCTGCTTCCAAGTGATCAATACCAGATGGAGGCCTGGACACTCTCAAGCTGTTTTTGGCTCACAGGGCAGAGTACAGATGAGTGACCTCTTACAGTCGCCCTTGAACTCCCCTTCTCCTGCCACACACACACCCAAATGAAAAATACACAAATGAACTACACCCAAATGAGAAGCTTCTCACCACTACTTTTGATGTGGTATCACTTTAGTAAATACTACAAGTGGATTATTCATACTAAAAATACAATAAATACTGCTACTTACCTGATTTTATTTTGAGCCTATTTTCAGTGCATCCAAGAGGATTATAGTTCGAGGCCCACATGAAGGCCATAGCCTCCTGGTGACACCAAGAGTCTTTGCTCTAGTACTGACTAGGTAATTGTTAACTAGAGATAATACATGCATAAATGTTCTGCAGAGTAATGAGCCCTCAGCCTACTGGCTCTGTAAAAGCTTTGAGTATTAATAAGTCTCAGTGGAGTTGGTATTCCTATTGGACATTGCAAAGGTGCTTCAGCTAAGAACTGAGACGTTTTTCCCCATGGGGAATTGAAAATTGTTTCCACCCCCTTGCTCCTCAGGAAGAAGTTTCTCAGCAGCAGGAAAGCGTCTCCACTCTCCCTGCCAGCGTGCATCCCCAGCTGTCCCCACGGCAGAGCCTGGAGACCCAGTACCTGCAGCACAGACTCCAGGTGGGTCCTTCTCCTTGCGAGTCCACCTCACTCTGCTCATCCAGAATCTGTTCTTCTGCAAAGCAGAAACGTGTTTTGCCTGGCATTTATTTAGGGTAGCTGCTTGATTCCTTATAGGCAAGTAGCTTTGACTCTGTACTTGGAGTTTCTAGAAACGTGTTCAGATCTAGCTTTGTGCTGTGTGTTGGTGGTGGGAAAGGCTTTGTCCTCAAGCCCCACGAAAGGATATGCCACTGAGGGGTGGGAACGGGAGACCTGGCTTCTTTCTTTCTAATTGTATTCCTCTTAATGAGTAACAAATAAAATGAAAACCTTAAGTCTGCAGAATTTCTACATGGGCTTTCTATGTTGGTGCATAAAAATCTTAAAAAGCGATAAAGCATAGATCCCGTAAAGGATGAATCATTCATTCAGCGGGTGCTGGGGCCTTTGCTCTCAAGATCTAACTCCACCTTTCTCATTGCTTTTTAATGTCCATGAGCCTCACAGTCCTAGTGGACTTTTGGAAATGGAGTGGAAAAAGGAAGTAGGTGAGGTCAGAGATGGCCCAGGCCTGCGGGCCCGATGCTCTTTCAGGGTCTCAGGGAGTAAATGTCAGTCCCTTCACCCCGTGTGGATTCTGTAGAATGCAGTTAGATTCATCCTGCAGGCAGAAGCACATCTGATGACTGCATCCTAGGTGACAGCACATTGTCACGCTCATGTTGTTTTTCTGCTCTTCCAGAAGCCCAGCCTTCTGTCAAAGGCCCAGAACACCTGTCAGCTTTATTGCAAAGAACCACCGCGGAGCCTTGAGCAGCAGCTGCAGGAACATAGGTGAGAAGGGGACTTTGGCCAAAGAAGTTGCTTCCTTTTCTGGAAGCCTTGAGAACACTGAATGTGTTGTCCTTTTCCTCTCACATTCGCCACTACTAGGAAAATAGGTTTTCTGCGTGTGTCACAGGCCCTCTGAGCACGATTACTAAGAGGATATCTCAGTATCCATGGAGGATGGTCCTGTCAGGCACTGGCAGCCCCACAGTGTACTTTGTTTTCCTTTTCTTCTAGCGTTTCCTCTTTGGGGTATGACTAGCTCCAAGCTTTCACAGTCAGTGGCCCAAAGTATGGAGGTGGGGTAGGCGGCACAGGAGCCTTCCGTCCTCCCTTACTATCATGTGTGCCCACAGCCTCGCTAGTAGAAGCAGCTTGGCCAAGGTAGACCTACCCTAATCAATCCATCAACTGCAGACACCTGCAGAGGCCAAGGTGTGATTATCTCCCCTTCTAGCCTCTCCAGAAGGGAAATCATCCTCTCATTGTATAAAGGAAAAAACTCGGAGTCAGAGAAAATGCATTCCTGCTCACGTTAGTACTGAAGGATCATCAGAACTGGGGGGCAAAACATGAGATTAGGTTTAAGAGACCCAACACAATTGGTTCCCATTCCCACTTGTTTTTGCTGACATGAGAGAGACTTAAGTAGAAGACTGAAGCTAGTGACTGGTATTGCATTTACATTAAAATTGCCATCACTTGAGAAGATTTAAAATTCTTTCCTTTGATATTACCAATTTAGGCTCCAGCAGAAGCGACTCTTTCTTCAGAAGCAGTCTCAACTGCAGGCCTATTTTAATCAGATGCAGATAGCAGAGAGCTCCTACCCACAGCCAAGTCAGCAGCTGCCCCTTCCCCGCCAGGAGACTCCACCGCCTTCTCAGCAGGCCCCACCGTTCAGCCTGACCCAGCCCCTGAGCCCCGTCCTGGAGCCTTCCTCCGAGCAGATGCAATACAGCCCTTTCCTCAGCCAGTACCAAGAGATGCAGCTTCAGCCCCTGCCCTCCACTTCCGGTCCCCGGGCTGCTCCTCCTCTGCCCACGCAGCTACAGCAGCAGCAGCCGCCACCGCCACCACCCCCTCCACCACCACGACAGCCAGGAGCTGCCCCAGCCCCCTTACAGTTCTCCTATCAGACTTGTGAGCTGCCAAGCGCTGCTTCCCCTGCGCCAGACTATCCCACTCCCTGTCAGTATCCTGTGGATGGAGCCCAGCAGAGCGACCTAACGGGGCCAGACTGTCCCAGAAGCCCAGGACTGCAAGAGGCCCCCTCCAGCTACGACCCACTAGCCCTCTCTGAGCTACCTGGACTCTTTGATTGTGAAATGCTAGACGCTGTGGATCCACAACACAACGGGTATGTCCTGGTGAATTAGTCTCAGCACAGGAATTGAGGTGGGTCAGGTGAAGGAAGAGTGTATGTTCCTATTTTTATTCCAGCCTTTTAAATTTAAAGCTTATTTTCTTGCCCTCTCCCTAACGGGGAGAAATCGAGCCACCCAACTGGAATCAGAGGGTCTGGCTGGGGTGGATGTTGCTTCCTCCTGGTTCTGCCCCACCACAAAGTTTTCTGTGGCAAGTGCTGGAACATAGTTGTAGGCTGAGGCTCCTGCCCTTCGGTCGAGTGGAGCAAGCTCTCGAGGGCAGCACTGACAAATGTGTTCCTAAGAAGACATTCAGACCCAGGTGTTATGCAGGATTACATCCGTTTATTATCAAGGGCAACCTTGGTGAAAGCAGAAAGGGTGTGTGCTATTGCATATATATGGGGGAAAAGGCAATATATTTTTCACTGAAGCTGAGCAACCACATATTGCTACAAGGCAAATCAAGAAGACATCAGGAAATCAGATGCACAGGAAATAAAGGAAAGCTGTGCTTTGTCATTGAATCCTAAGTTCTTAGCTGCTGATGCAAGTTGTCCCCCAAGGCCATCACAAAGCAGTGGGGCATGAGCTGTGTTTCAGGGGCCACTAAATAACAGCTGGTACTGACCCCAGAAACCGCCTTCATCTCCATTCGGAAGCAGGTGACACACCCCTTCAGAAGGTGCCCTGGGTTGCCGAGTGTCAGAATATACTCAGGACTCCAGAGGTGTCACACGTGGAACTGACAGGAGACCCGCCACCGTGGAGGCAGGGGGCAAGAAACTCAAGAACGCATCAAGAGCACCAGCCCTGGGCCAGGGAAGACAGGCTCTTCCTGCAGTTTCTCGTGGACACTGCTGGCTTGCGGGCAGTCGGTCTCCAGGGTACCTGTTGTCTCTTTTCCGATGTAATAACTACTTTGACCTTACACTATATGTTGCTAGTAGTTTATTGAGCTTTGTATATTTGGACAGTTTCATATAGGGCTTAGAGATTTTAAGGACATGATAAATGAACTTTTCTGTCCCATGTGAAGTGGTAGTGCGGTGCCTTTCCCCCAGATCATGCTTTAATTCTTTCTTTTCTGTAGAAACCAACAGTTTCCATTTATGTCAATGCTAAATCCAAAGTCACTTCAGAGTTTGTTTTCCACCATGTGGGAATCAGCATTCTTAATTTCGTTAAAGTTTTGACTTGTAATGAAATGTTCAAGTATTACAGCAATATTCAAAGAAAGAACCACAGATGTGTTAACCATTTAAGCAGATCATCTGCCAAACATTATATTACTAATAAAACTTAACCAACACTTACAATTCAGTCATCAAAGTAAGTAAAAATTAGATGCTACAGCTAGCTAACTGTATCCCTAGAAATGATGAATAATTTGCCATTTGGACAGTTAACATCCAGGTGTTACAAAGTCAGTGTTAATTCTAAAGATGATCATTTCTGCCCTTTAGAATGGCTTGTCCCATCAGCAGATGAATGTGTTAAGCACAAAGCATCTTCCTTAAAGCACAAAGAGAGGGACTAACTGATGCTGCATCTAGAAAACACCTTTAAGTTGCCTTTCCTCTTTGTAGTTAGCGTTCAGGCAGGTGACGTGTGGAAAGTCTAGGGGGTTCCATTCTGGCCATGCGAGCCCAGCTCCTACCAACGTCGGTAACTTGAGCAGTCCCTGTTGCTGGCCAGAGACTGCCTGGTCGCCAGCGCTCACCATGGGTGCCAGGATGCTTCGCAGAGGCACTGTGCTCACGGTTGGACTTGGTGTCAGTGGGAAAGGGCAGTGTGGGGACTGTCATTTTTGTGATTTAATAACACACAGTGAAAATCCAGGAAGAATGAATTAAGCTTCTTCTGGGAGTTGTTTATTCCTGCTCGTGCTTAAGATTGATGATTTCGTGAAATAAAGAACATCATTTCATTTAAGAGATCATTTCATTAAGATCTCTAATCTGTTTTGAGTCTTTACAAAATAGCCAGTTATAAAATGGGGCTTGATTTGTTTAGACTGAAGGAAGACGTTTTCCCAAAATATACTACAGAAGTGCTACAATATTTGCGATATTAAAATGCCTGCAGATTGAAAATGGGGGCCACTCATTTCAGAACTGCAGGAATGGTGTAGTTACAGATCGACATAAACTCCTGCCCCCCAACAATGCCATGAGCTGCTTAGCCCAGGAGACCTGGGAGCTATGGCAGGACGGTTAGGCCAGCCGATGAGGGACTGCAGAGAGGCTACTGGAAGGTTAAGGACCCAGAGAGAAATCGAGAGGTGCCCTACAGCAGCCAGGCCTATCAGGATCCGTCACACACGGCAGCGGCGTGGACACCGGCCTGATGCAGAGCGTGACCCCTCCTGCTGGGACCTGTGTTGTAAGCTCCTATTTGCTTATCTTGTTTATTTCAAGCAGAAATCAATAAATTCCATAACCCTCTGTATTGACTGCAATGTAAGCTGCTGAGGAGACTGGTTCTGTTGGTCAGTCAGGTGTTTGCTCAGCCCTGTCTGATCACCTGTGCTGCTCTGTCCCTAACTAGTGACCCATGGAAGCTTCCAAGCAGTTTTCTCTTCATCACTACTAACAAACAAAACACTAAGAAGGCTTAGTATCGCTCTTTTTCTGCGGGGCTACTCTGAAGTACTGACTTGCTTTCCAGTCTGATTCACGTTAGCAGTGTGTACACTACTGTATCATCATCAGCTTCATCACCCTGTAAACCAGGCTCCTCTGAAGAGACTTTGGTGAGATGAACGTGAGGTAAAAATTTCGTTCGGCAAAAAGTGCAATATGTGTGGTACTTTATTTTTTATGTTCTTTTTTTAAATCTGGGGTATTAGTCTGTGCTTTGGGAGAAATGCACTAGCTCTGCAATTCCCAGCTGGGCAAGTGTGTCTCTAGTATCTCCACGCAACTGATACACTGGTCCCTGTAAGGCAAACAGCATGTTAGCCCGACAGGAAGAGGGGGCCCACTTTCACATTCCCGGTGACACTGACCGTCCCCAGCTGCCCCCTCGCCACCTCTGCCTGCACTGCCTTCTGTCACCGTGGGAAAAGGAGGCTGATGGTTCTCTACACCATCCACCTTGAGAATCCCTGCGTGGGAGAGCATCAGGGCCCACCAGGGGAGTGGGGATGGGGCTCAGGGGCTGTTCATGCCCATCTGAGCAAACCCCTTCTCTCTTCCATCCACTTTTGCCTCCTAGGAAAGAAAAAGTCAGTGGCCCTTTCTTCCTCAGATATCAAGAACTCCCAAGTGTTTAAACCGTATGCTGGAGTCAGTGGTTGGGACAGACAGGAGCCCAAGACTGAAGCCAGCCCTTGCCTCTTGTGTCCCTTCCCAACTCTGGTGCTGGAGTAATGGGGTGCTCTGCATTTTGATGGGGAGCAAGGGGGGACCCCCCCTGTAGGAGTATCGGCCTCTCCCCTGCCCCCTACCCTCTCTCGTGGACCAAAGTCTCCAGCAGAAGAGACTCATCATAAGACTGACGACTCCCCCACCTCCACCCACACACCGAGTGTCATCAGTCCTAAAGGCAGGGAAACGCTCACAGAATTCTGCCCACGGGTTAGATGTGGGGAGAAGGATATTCTCAGCTCCAGAGTGATTAGGTGATCAGCCAGAAACTAAGGCAAGGTGACAAGCAGCAGCCTGGAGTCACAGTTGGTCCCAGGCGTGTGGGCACTAAGCAGCCTCTGGAGACATGCGGGCAGTTGAGGATGCAAGGACACAGTGAGTGAGTGGCGCTCCTTTTTGGGGTCCTCCAGCCTCTAGTCAAGCCCCAGGTTCGTAAATATGTTTGTATTACATTTTAAAACCTGTATCAACAGTCACATTTAAGCTCCCTATTGGTTTAAAGAAAATTCATACTCCAGGTAACTTTTTCCCATTCGACCTCCTATAGAGACAATATGCAGTGTGTCATTTCACAGTCTCAGTCCCTGTGAACAGTGGCTGACACCGGTGCCAGGGCTGACCTGCTACACTCAAACTCCTAAACTGGGCTGCCTCTAACTGCCTCCTGGGAAGCCACCCGAGCCACTCGGTCTCTTTGTGCCTAAACATGAAAGGTGAAAATTGGAGAACAGGGAAGCTCGTAAGTTGGAGTCATTGTACAGGCAGGGATCTTTGATCATTTTGTTGCTTCTGGAATTTATTTAATTTTTTTTTTTTTTGAGACAGAGTCTCGCTCTGTCACCCAGGCTGGAATGCAGTGGCGTGATTTCAGCTCACTGCAACCTCCACCTCCTGGGTTCAAGCCATTCTCCTGCCTCAGCCTCCCAAGTAGCTGGGACTACAGGTGTGTGCTACCGCATCCAGCTAGTTTGTATATTTTTAGTAGAGATGGGGTTTCACCATGTTGTCCAGGCTGATCTTGAACTCCTGACCTCAGGTGACCCACCCACCTTGGCCTCCCAAAGTACTGGGATTACAGGTGTGAGCCACCACACCCGACCTGGAATTTTTTTATAGAACTTATCTTCAGAGCAATGTATGAAAGACAAGAGCAGTATCAGCCGGGCGCGGTGGCTCACGCCTGTAATCCCAACACTTTGGGAGGCCAAGGCAGGCGGATCACGAGGTCAGGAGATTGAGACCATCCTAACACAGTGAAACGCCGTCTCTACTAAAAATACAAAAAATTAGCCGGGCGTGGTGGTGGGCGCCTGTAGTTCCAGCTACTCGGGAGGCTGAGGCAGGAGAATGGCGTGAACCCGGGAGGTGGAGCTTGCAGTGAGCCAAGATCGTGCCACTGCACTCCAGCCTGGGCGACAGAGCAAGACTCCACCTCAAAAAAAAAAAAAAAGACAAGAGCAGTATCATCTGCCTCTGTTTCTAAACTGGACAAAGAGATTTTCTTAAAGTTTCTATCATCTCCCTTCTGACAGGTTCTACAGTGTGGTCTGAAGCACCTGTAATGTCAGAGCCCTTGTCTGGCCCTTGGTGGCAGGTGAACGAAAGCAGTGGAGCCTCTCACCTTCCAGTAGCCTCTCACATTCTTATTTTACCATTTTTGTCCTAATTAAGGTAGCCTAGCTGATTCTAGAAGACAGCCATCCTACGTGCACCCCCACCTTGTGTCCACATCTTCTCCAGGCAGGTTTCAACCTATCAGCAGACTCAGGCACACACTGGGGCACAGATAGAGAACCAGGCGGCAGCAGTGCTCGCAGACCCACCCAGGGAGAGCTGTGATGGGTTCTGCCCAGATACTCTGCTCGCCCACCCACAAGGGAGCAATAGCTTATATTTGTACATTAGTTTTACCAAGCACTTTCTCTTCTAACCCTCACAACAATTCTATGAAATTAGCTGGGGAGATACTGTCCTTATTTTTCACAGCTGAAGAAACCAAAGCTTTGGGAAGTTTGTGACTTCTCTGAGATCACAGCTGGTGATAGAAGGAGCTGGGACACGCGCTTGGGTTGACTGGCTTCTGGTTTTGGTTCTCTGGCTTCTAGTGCTGGAAGAAGCCCTCTCTTTCCCTTCTCTTTCCTCAGTAGCATCTGACTCTTTTCATAAGCAAACAGCTGTATAAACAAAGCCCCCATTTTGGTCAAGCACAGGGTGAATGTGATATTGTTCCCACAACCTTATTCTCCACTCAACAGCCGCCTGGCTTTGGGGAAGAGGCCGCCTTCAGGTGACAGTGCAGCTGTCCAGGTGGCCGTGCACTGAACCAGGCTGAGGGAGACAAAAACCCCGCAGACCCGCCTGCCTTTCAGCGTCCAGTTAACTGCAGAAGTTTAGGCTCACCTCAAAGATGTCTAGTTTTTCCAAGTTACAATACAGCAGTTTCCTACAGAACACCCCCTTCCTCAATTGCCAAGGGGCCGCATCGCACGGCATCAGGCCACCACTGCAGGCCAGCAGATTCCACCCCAGGAACGGTCATG
This sequence comes from Homo sapiens, assembly GCF_000001405.40. Lineage (NCBI taxonomy): Eukaryota > Metazoa > Chordata > Mammalia > Primates > Hominidae > Homo > Homo sapiens. The sequence goes on from NC_000011.10 coordinate 111,730,029, forward strand.
AACTCAGCCTTTGTCTCAACGAGGGGCGTAACATTTCCTTACAGTCAAGCCCCATCAACTAGAAGTGCTTATTACTTTTAGGATTAAAAAAGTAATAACAGACTTTGACTTAATACTCTGTCTTTTCAGAGGCAAAGTGGGTGGGTAGAGGGGAGCTTTAAAAATAGAAGTACAAAACAACATCCTGGAAACATATGACCCCAGATGGAATAATGTCACATTCCCCAGTGCAGATAATGGGCTGCTGCTGGCTCTGTGGTGTCTGTCTGCAGAAGATTTGCTCAGTCAAGGAAATTCAAGTGGTGAGACCTTTCCACCATGGGTGGTAAGAGAAACCTGCCTTCACCAAAATCTCTGAAGGGGAAAGAAGTGGAGAGAAAGGTTTGCTTCACTTCGGGGACTGCAGTTTGAGAAATAAAAGGGATACAGAGATATCTGCACTTTGTAGAAAGGGCAAGATTATTTGCTTATATCTGAAGGGAGGTGGGTGGTTTTGCTGGATGTTTGGTCTGAAAGAGTTACTTTTGATAAAGTTAATCTAACTGTAGTTATATTTTCTGTGTGCTTTTTTTTAATTACTAAGAAAAAAATTGGTGAGTTCAGTAGCTTTGGTATTATGAGTGCAAATCATAATAGCTCCAATGTGAAAAAAAAAATCAAAAGTATAACTTGTCACTTAATGTTAGAAAATTGCCTAAAATGCAGTGTAATAAATAATCTCTGTACCAAATAGTAATTTAAATGGGGTAATTTTCTGCAAGGAAAATGTACTGTTTTTATGTTTCCAACCCTCTTGAATTAAAATAAAAACAACTTCTTTTCTAAGAGCCCGGGTGATGTGAATGTCAGGTTAATGCGATAGGGTTTTTGCCTCATCGGGCCTTGGGTGGAATTTTTAGAGTATGGAAGGTGGCTGTGTTCTCTGAGTTCTGGTGCTCATTTCAGGCTGCAGAAAAGGACAGTGGATAATATGTTCTCATTGACGTCAGCAGGGTAAATAATACCTTGCTCTGAATCGCCCGAGTACACGTTAGCCGCTGCAGATCGCTGACGGAAGCACTGCTAACCGCAGCCTGCACAAGGACAGGGCCCTGCTGGGCACTGCTTAATTACTGCTCCTTGATTCTCAGAGTCCCAGGGCAAAGCGCATCAGCCCAGGTAGCCTGGGCAAGGGCCTCATGCCGCGGTAGGAGGAGGGGAGGCAGATGCAGGGGTCCCCGAGGACAGGCAGCTACAGGGCAGGGGCTGGAAATGGGAGGGGAGGTGCTGCGAGCTGCCAGGCAAAAGACACTGCTACTTAGTCACGATGTCACATCTTCTCTGGGGTCTGCCAAAGGCCTCGACACTGCACGTGCGCTCACACAGTGCATTCCCTCACATGGGCGGGGCACCCTTTTGAGGCCCAGCTCCACGCCCTCAGGGTGCTGGAGGCACCATGTGCCAAGCTGCTCTCCTGCATCCTGGACCTGTTTCAGTGCCAGGCCCTGAGTGAAAGGCCACTGTTATATCCAGCTTGCTGGCAGCAGGATCTCGACTGAAATTTGGTTTCACTCAAACCATTCCAATTAAGCCCATGCTATAGAACATTGACAGTTCCCTCCCTGCGGGGTGAGCCGCTGGTCTCTGGGTAGCGGTGGGAAGGTGCAGTCGGCAGGGCCCACACTGGCAGAGGCTGGAAGGAGCGGAGCCCTCTCCACCAACGTCCACTGCTGCCTGACTCTGCTGACAATAGCTCAGTTCTGCCTTAAACTGGTGGTTACCCCTTGGCTACCCAAAATTTCAGTATTGCTGAGTTTCATTTCTTTTTTAAGGAAAGCACTAAATTTCAGTAACAATGTTTTCCCTTTCCCACCAGATTTCTCCATCATTCTTATTCTGTGTTGCCAAAAACAACTCCAATGCCCCAGGACGCAGGCAAAATAACAGACCAGTGGCCAGCTAGGCCCCAACCCCGCACTCCCCAGGACACTCTTCAGTTCTGCAGCCTTTGTGAGTCGAAGGCTCCAGCAGGGTGGGGAAGGAGAGCAGCAGGGAGGCCTGCACCCCAAACCCAGGGCCTCTGCCCAGTGGATGGAACCAGACAGCAGTGCCTGCACTTCCCAAGTTCTCCATCAAGACGCAGGACAGGTGGGAACAGGGCCCAAGGTTCTGTTCCTGGCGAGCAGCTGCTTTCTGCCCCACTAGATCTTAAATCGAGGACTCAGAGATCCCCTTGACATGCAAGCTATGGACTATTCCCAAAGAGCATGTACACAGACCCAGAACTTCGGACACAGAATTTCAGGACAGGAGTTGGTTCCTGGGCCCCCGAGGCCCCCCTCCCCACCAGGGACCAAAGTTAGGAACCCCTGACTCAGCCTCTGCTCTCTCAAAAGTTCTTGGCCAGGTGCTGTGGCTGACACCTGTAATCCCAACACCTTGGGAGGCAGAGGCAGGTGGATCATCTGAGGTCAGGAGTTCAAGACCAGCCTGGCCAACATGGTGAAACCCCATCTCCACTAAAAATACAAAAATTAGCCAGGTGTGGTGGCGGGCGCCTGTAATCCTAGCTACTCTGGAGACTGAGGCAGGAGAATCACTTGAACCTGGTAGGCAGAGGTTGCAGTGAGCTGAGATCGCACCACTGCACTCCAGCCTGAGCGACACAGCAAGACTTCATCTCAAAAAACAAATAAACAAACAAACAAAGCTCAGAGGGACCCTCCCTGCTGATGGGTTCTCATCCCTCCCTGGGTGGATCCAGGTGACAGGGAGCCTCCTGCTTGCCAGCAGCCCGTGGGCACCATGGGAGGAAGTTCTGGGCTTTGTGCACTAAATCCTGGGTGCTATGTGGCTACAAAGGAAATGTCACCTGCACAGAACATGGCTGCTCTGCCCTTCTCATTTCAGCCCCACCAGTGACTTCAAAAGCTGAGCAGCCCTTGAGCGATGGATTATCGCACAGGAATCATCCTGGACAACGTCCCTTAGGAGGCAGATGTGGGTCCTGACTGAGGCGAAGGGGCTGGGCCCTCCCTCAGACACAGGGGCCACTGGCACACCTGCCTCCCCCCAGGTATGAAGCTGTGCCCACAAATCACTCAGGCCAAACCCAAGGTCAGGCAGGGCAGAGAGCTTGCCAGGCGCCTCGGCCACTGTTCTTTCCAGCAAGCCTTCCTGCTGCTGCCTCCCTTTGTCCGTGTTTCTGGGGGGATTTCCTAGGGCAGACTGACTCAGAGCTGCTCTGAAATTGGCAAAGAGAGATTCCAAGCCCAGGGAAAGCATGAGCTGGGCTGAGCCCCCGAGCCAGCACAGTGTCTGGGAGGGTGGAGACAGGAGGGAGCCACAGCATGGGAAGCGGACTTCCCCTGGAGCCGAGCCCCCAAAAGCTGGATAAGCAGAAAAGCTCAGAAAATGTGGGCCCAGAGGAAAATGAGGCATTAGGGATTGAGCTTCTCAAAGGGAGAACTGAGTCACTCTCTCCTCAGGTCGGCTGGGACAGTTCTGGCTCCAGCTCCTCACTCCCCAAAAGTGAAATGCCCCGAGTGGGGCTGACTGACAAATCAGACCCTGAGGAGACTGTTCATTGTCACCCCAGGGCCACCCACATAGTTGGGGGTGGGACACAATGGAATGGAGGAAAAGCCCACCAAGCCCTTTCCTCCAAGCACGCCACACATAGCTCCCGGAGCGCACAGCCTTGCCTGTCTCTTCTGTCTGGGATCCGCCAGAACTGCCTTCCAGTCGCTACAGAGCCCAAATGCTTAGCAGTGCCCCTGTGCCAGCAAAGTGAGGGCTGAAGGGCAGGCAGGCAGTGGAAGGGAACCAGGGATGAGAGGGCCAGGCAAGGAGGGCTAGGCACAGAGCAAGCCTGGGAGAGCAAGGCCCGGCTCCCACCCAGCCCGGGAGCCACCACCTGGCCACCCTCCAGGCAGGGACATTCTGGGAGGCAGCAAAGAACCTCTGACAGAGGCCTCGGCCCCTGGCGCCCTCTCAGCCCTGCCACTAACCCAGGCAAATCATTGTAAAGGCTGGTGTCTCCAGTGGTAACTTGGAGCACAGGCTGGCTGGTTTCACCCCAGGGTTTACTGCGAGGGGCAAATGCAGCCTGGCCTGGCACTCCTGGAAGACCCCCACTCCCCTGGAGGGCTGTCACAGAGTCCCACTCTGCCTATCTTACTTTAACTCTTGCCTGCCCCAACACTAGGTACAGAAAATGGCTGCTTCTTGCCTGTGAGCTCTGTCTTCACTGACTTAAGGGTGGTTGTGCTGTTCTGAGCATCTGCTTCAGGCTAAGAACTGGGAACTCTGCCCCAGGATTTCTGAATTTTCGGAAATGAGTTCTAGGCATCAGACATGGGTACCACAAACATAAGAACATCCCTGAGAATCTATGTCACAGGTAGGAGGACTTTTTTATCTCCAACTGTTAGGTCAAGCTCCAGTGTGGAAAAGACTTGGAAGGCCTGGGGGAGTCTTTTTGTGCGGACAGCTCGGCCCCTAGGCCCCACAGTGGAGAGGGCACTGACAGGAGGTCAGCCTAAGGACCTGCTCCCGTGTGCCCTGTCACCAGCCTACGTCTGACTTCCCCATGGACTTCAAGGTCCAATTGCCTTAGCTGGAAGCCACTGGGGATGGGACTGAACATCCCTGGGCTTTGGTCTTTGTCATCAGTCCTCAGTTTGACTGGACTCACATCTCCTGTAGTCTTTCTGGGTTCAAGAGAACAAAATCCGCTGGCCAAGAGGTTGGCCCTTAAGGAGCTCCTCCCCTTCACACACTCCCAGCAGAGCTCCTCAGAGCTGCCCTTGAGACCCCCCAGGGCAGCGCGAAGGCCCTGCCAGCCTAACTCTGTGGGAGGAACAGGACATGCAGCTAGATGCTAGAGGCTGGCTCTAGGACAAGTGAGGTTCCTGAGCTGCAGAATGGCTCCAGCCTCAGGCCCAGAACAGCCTGGTTCACCAGCAGGTGCTGATTAAATCCAGAGAAGAGACCCGCATCGAAAGGCACAAGTCAGAGACCCTCAGGGCCCAAGGGACTCTCTGAGTTTGGGGAAAATAAGGCAGGCAGGAAAAAACCAGAAACAAGAGTAGAAGGGGCATGGAAGGCAGAAGATGGTCTTAGCTGGGACGTGGCGCAGGGGCTGGTCTCGGGTCAGTGTGTGTACAGGACAGACTGTGTGCAGAGAAAAGGAAGAGGAGGAGGGTGGGCGCAGTCAGGCAGTGTCTGTAGCCATTATTTATGGATGCTTCACTTGATTTTAGTCTCCAAACCTGGGCTCGGCATGGAGACTGAATGTCCCTCACAGCTGCTCCTTCCTGCAATAACAAGACTGACATCACTGTTGTCAGGGAAATGGTGTTTTGATTAAAATCATGTGACAGCTACTTGGTGATTCAATAAACAAATCCCCTGTTAACCCCTGCCTGACAAGGCCCGTCAGCAGCTTCAGCGGGGGCACCCTGTGTCCCGTCCAGGAGTGAGCCGCTGCCGGACCCGCGGCAGCAAGGTGTGGGAGGTGACCCTCGCTGCTCCCTGGCAGATCCTGCCTGGGTGGACACATGTGACATCCAACACAGAGGCACCTCCACAGACTTCAAGGGTGCCAAGGAGGCGCTCTTCACCAAGGGAGACTGGCTCTCGCCCTTTCCCTTTTCTCTTCAAGTGGCGGGCCCAGCCCCAGGGATGTCCAATGGCTCCCTGAGGGCCCTGAGGCTGGCTGAGAACTGACAGTTCCCAGGGCTCTCAACAGCAGCGCGCTCACGCTCACCCCATTCGGACAGATTGGCAAGTCCACTACGCACCCTAGACAGTGAGGGGTTAAGAACAATTTCTGGTTGCAATTGGATGACTTCCTGGATCACTCACTTGGCTGCTGGCCCCTGACACACAGGGCTCTGCCTGGCAACAGCCAATTCCCTTTCCATCTCACCCTCGGGTCATTTTCCTTAAGTGAAACAAATGCATGGAAGGCTCCCTGAGTCATGGGGCGGGGGATTTTTCTGAGTTAAATGAACTGAAGCCTCAGAGGCCTAGCACCACTGGGCCTCCTTTCCTGGAAAAAAGATTCCCAAATAGACATGCCAGGGGTTGGAGGAGATTCATGAGGGACCAAAAAACAATGATAGCACCTACCACCTAGGGTGGGTGAGGATGACATGAGATTTGAAGTGCCTGACAAGGTGCTGCAGTGACCAAGGCTCGAGTAACGGCAACTTATTCTCAGTAACTCCTCGGCTAGCAGAGGCAGCCCGGGCCCTGTCAGAGCTGAGCAGGTCAGCCATGGGAGGGCCGCCTCAATGATCCACACTCAGATCGGGTCATACCACGCATTCATGGCATGAGCAGCTGGCTCTGAATTTGTAGGAAGACGTAACCCCTTTCTTCCCAAAGAAGTCTGTGGTTTAGGCCTAAAAAATGTGTAACTGTCACTCCCACTCCTTCAGCCAAGCTCTCCTCCCTGAGGCCCAGTTCTGTGAAGACGACATGGACTCCAAGGGCTGGCCACCCCTGGAATCCAACTGGACAGTGGTCACCCAGCCCTTCCTCTCACTGTGCGGCCACTGCAGGAACGGCTGGAGCTGCCCACGGACAAGTGTGCAGCCCCTCAGGAAGGCAAGAATGTTCTAAGATGAGTGACTGCGATTCTGGACCTCAACAAAAGGCAAAAAACGTTTTCATGGTTTCGGTTCACATAAAATGAAAAGCCATGTGACTTAAAAGGCAGCCTTTTTGATGTTACTTCATTGAATTTTCACTAAGCGAACCTACTAGAATGGGTGTGAGAATGTCAGATTTTTCCCCATGAACTAAACGCAGTCTGGCATCCGCACGAGGCAGCCAAGCCCTGCTGCTCTCCTTTTCTGAATGTATCTGTAAGCCACAAATCGCCCTCCTAATGAATGGCCCTGGGGCAGTGGCTGGCACCCACTGACTGCTGAACTGGGGCTTTTCACACCATTTCCACACAGAGTGGCATCCAATGGGGCTTGTAGAACATCTGAGCTGTTACAGAGAAACTTGCAACTATTTTTATCTTGAATGGAAATAACTGAGAGGAATTATGGCAAGTCACTTCTATATTATGTGAGGAAAGTGGGAACAGCCCCTTTTTACAAGCAATTCTTCACCAAACCCCACTGGTGTCCTCTGTATGGGCCTCGCTGTTGGACTGGGAGGTGATAGGAGATGGGCCTCAAGCTACAAGAGTGACAGCTCTGGCCGGCGACCCACCTCTCAGAAAGCATTCCCAGAATGAAGTAAGCCAGCAACAGGCTTTAACCATCTACTCCCGGCCCTTAAAATTGGACTCTTCCCCTGGGGACAAAGTGAGAGGTGCTGCTTCTCCGCCTACCCTGTGGCAGCTCCCTGCACACCATGCCACCCTGGCTGCCCGCAGCCCTGAGGGCAGGACTTGACCCCAGGCTTCCGGGCACTTACCTTCCCCATGTCCTCTCCAGGCACTGTGGGTCTTGGGAAGTGGTTCTTGTCAGCCCGAGGGACACTGGGTTCTCCACTGTCCTTCACAGGAAATTCTAGCTTCCTCAGCCTTTGTGCCACCACTAGAGACACAGACAGTGGCGCTGTAACTGTCCCTGACCAGGGCACATCCCTCCCAAGCCCACCTGTGCTTCCCAGCCAGGATGCCCTCAGTTGTGCCAGCAGAGTTGGGTGTCCAGCAGCAGCCTACAAGTATATGGGGCACTGGGCAGAGAAAGCTGGGGCAGCCCAGGGTCGTGCTGAGGTGCCTTTCCCTCGGGGCCCTGGAAAGCGCCACCCCATCGGGCCTTTTGGTGTCCACCTGGCTGTTCCCCACATCCTGGTCACTGATGGTCTCCAGAGCCCCAACCACAGGAAAGACCTGGCTCCTTTCAGAACTCATATCAGTTTAAGAGAACAACTCTGGAGACAGAAATGGCTTGGCTTTCCGACGCAATGAGTAATTAAACTCTATTCGTCCTCCGGAAGATTTCCATCCCAACTGAACGTTATGTAATTTCCTGGAAACAGCAGGCTCGTGGAGGCAAACGGGGGACAGTGAGACTATTCTAGGTACAGAGGACTGGAGGGAGACATGCGAGGGAAGAGGAAAGAGGAGAGTAAGGAACTGGATGGAAACAGGAATACTGGAGAATCAAAGGGAAACAGTTACATCACATCAGACTGCAGTCACCTCAGCTGCTAAACCAGGAGAACACTGGGCAACAGGGCCTCTCCCTCTACAGTTTCATATCCAAGCAGTGGAGAAAAATAAGAAGCTTTACGATAAGAGTGTCACCATTTTTAAAAGTCAGAGGAATTTAAGTAAAAGGCAAGAGGACAGAACAAGCACCTGACCTGTTTGGCCACCCTGCCCTGCCATCGCCACAGGGACAGAGCCAATGTGACGTCTAAGGGCAAGCCCCAGCCTTTCAGTTTAGTGACAACACAACAGTTAACAAAGGAACAAAAGTGCACCAGGTTAACCGCCGGGTCAGGAAGGACAGGCTTGCTTCCCTGGAAGTCTACGCAAGCAACCTGAATGCCTGGACAAGCCAGCTCAAAGGTCAGGCTGCCGTCTCTGTTGAGTCAGGACAAGTTGTCTGGCAAAGACCCCTGGGGCTCTGCATCACAGTGGCTGAGCTGTGGTATTTCTGTGAGCTGAGGGCAGCCCGTTATTTCAACAAGACCTCGTTAGAAACCACATATTCACCTGCCTTCCTTCTTATGAAACAAGATGCATCCTCAGGTTCACATCTTCTTGGTAGCACAGAGAGAGAAACAAGACCTGGTCTCTTAAACCTGTGAGGGGTAAACCCCACACAAATTACAGAGAGAAACACCAAGGTGAATTCCACTGTTGCTGAGACATTTTTATTGGCATAGGTTATATGTTTGTGTGTGTGTGTGTGTGTGTGTGTGTGTGTGTGTGTGTGTGTCTGCTTCATTTTTCTAATCAAACAAACAACTGATGTAAGCTGCCAAGGATGAAAAACAACATTACATGTCTGAAGCAATCAGACAAATCCACACAGAACTGTAGTCTAAGCCAGGGGACCAGAAAAGGGCCACATAAAGCTTGTTTCCTGAAAGCAGGAAAATCTTTCTGTCAGTGGGAGAATAAGACACAGTCTGGTTCTTTTGATTATTTGTTCCATGCACACATTGGAGGATATTTTAGAAATTCATCCATTGAACACATTTTTATTGAGCACCTATTATGTGCACCAGACACTGTTCCAGGCACTGGCGATACAGTAGAAGATAAAACAGACAAAAATACCAGCCTTACAGAGCTCCTAAAGCCTATATTCCAGTGAAATCAAGATAGGAGAACTTTTCCCTTAAGTTTAAGGTAGTTAAAAAAAAAAATAGGAGAACTAATTCATGGAGAACATGGCCAAGTTATGAGCCAAAGCACAATTCCTCTGAAGAGTACCAAAACAAATTCTCTCTCTATTGCTTAAGTCAGAAGGAAACAATGAAACCCCTGAGGGGTCACCACAAAAGACAGAGGCCCCGCTGAACCCCCGACCCATGCTTGAGAAAGCCAGGGCCCACTCTCCCTCTCTCAAACAGTTTTAGGGTAGAGAAGTCAATGCTTAGGGCTCCTCACTGGGAGACACAAGGGCATTTTAAAAGTCTGTCCCCAAAACAATGGCATTTCCAACCAGAGTAAAGCAATGGTTCCAGTGCAAATCTGCTTCATGAAGACAAATGTCTCTCAAATATGAAATTCAATGAAGAAGAACATAACTTGCAGGTAACAAAAAATAAAGACTCATGAAACTAAAATTAAAATGTTTACAGAATAATAGCATAAGATATTAAAATGAGAATATAGAAAAAGATTTGTGCTTAGGAAAATACTTAATTCTTGGCCCAAAGTCATAAAATAGAAACTTACTATAAGGTAATTTGGCAGTTTAAAATGCAGACAGATAACCTCTGATTTACAATTTCTATTTTTCGAATGTAGGACAAATTTTAAAGTATTTAGTAAAACTTGGTTTTATGTAACAAATATACAAAGTCTTAGAGGAGTCTTTGGGCCTTCACTAAACAGAACAGGACTTGTTAGATTTAAAAGAGGTTGTGAACAAAATCAACAATTCAAAAACCAAAAGGGTAACAAGCAAACCTCATAGCAAGATGCACTGAGAGAAAAATAAACTATGGGAAAACCCCCTTAACCAAAAGTCATGAGACAAGGTGAGTTTGATTATGTGAAAAATAGTTGTTTTTTTTTGAGATGGACTCTCGCTCTATGGCCCAGGCTAGAGTGCAGTGGCGCGATCTCGGCTCAGTGCAACCTCTACCTCCCAGGTTCAAGCAATTCTCCTGCCTCAGCCTCCTGAGTAGCTGGGACTACAGGTGTGTGCCACCACGCCCAGCTAACTTTTTTGTATTTTTAGTAGAGATGGGGTTTCACCATGTTGGTCAGGCTGATCTCGAATTCTTGACCTCAAATGATCCCAAATAGGTGCTTTTTAAAAAGGGCTTTAATACTGTTTAAGTAGTTCAAATAGGCTTCCTCACTATTAATTTGCTTCAGTAAACTCTTCAGCTTAACTCATTATCTTAAATTTCAGAATTAATGAGGTTTTACTGTAAAAGTAGAAAAGCAAACACTTCAAATGATAAGACTCCAGTATCACCCATACTAAAAACTTAGCAATAAAACTGCAGTTTGAAAAGCTACTGTACAATGCAGCAAGGACTAGGTGTCAATACTGCTGGAAGCAGAGCCAGGTAAAGAACAGGAAATCTGCACAGTATTATCCCTGTGGTTCTTAGACTCATTCGAAATACAGAACTGCAATCTCACAATGAAACAAACATACTGCTTATTAGGAGGCACTACAGTTAAAGCTTTTTAGAAAAGAGAGAGAAGTATTTTTAAATGTAGGCACAGTGGTGAGCTGTTCAAATTCAGTTAGGCGTCAACATCACACATTAGCAGCAAGATGCAGCCACACTTCAGGTTTCTGAATGACATGAGTACAGACAAAATTGAGCAAATAAAAACCAAAACAACCACTACATTAACCCTGAGCTTCCACATTCCCCTTTCACATGAGACTAATGCAGACCATCATAATTCAGGAAAATGTGGCTTTCATTACGGTCAAATCTCAACATGTCTCCCGAAGAGTTTATAAAATAAGTTATTCTAAACATGTACATTTAGCTTTGGAATGATGGAGAGACACAGAGATATATGTAAACGTCAAGAGAATCACTCCACTCCACGTCTGGGTCCACACCCTTCCAGGCTTTGTCTGGAACATTATGTGGCTGGTGCCTGATTCCACAGTGAGGATGCAGGAGCCCAGGTGGTGATGGATAAAGCATTAGGAGACAATCAAGTGTCAGGAATTGGTCAATAAGAACGGCTTAAATAATGATTTAACAAGGAAGACGAGTAAAAAACAATCCCATTTCATCTTTAGAAAGAATTAAGTCACTAAATGATTTCTTCTAAGTTGTTGCCATTTGCTTGGATGAGATCTTGAAGGTTTTCCATTCTTTCTCCACCCAGTTAAGAACACATTGACTAGAAATTTGTGACAAGAATCTAGTAAAGGCCTTTTCCCTCCTGCTCCTCATTATGCCAATGCAAGAACTGGAAAATTCCAAACAAAATCAGGTTAGTGGTACAGAAAGTTCACGAACGATCTATGTGAATATTAAGCACAATAACAATGATCCAAACGTATCAAACTAACAACTTCTCACTGTGGTTACTGTCTTTACTCAGCCAGGCTAATCAGAAGTGAAACTTTAAAAACTGGTTAAATTCCAAACGAAAAACTATTCTTACCAGTGAGAATCGTATTTCCTACCCAGTCCTACATGTAACTAAGAAAAATAGCCTGCTCACTTATGAGAAAATGGTGGGCCAAGAGGGTTCTAATCAGAGAGACACCAGCATTCCAGGAACTTACTACCCTCCCTGTTTCCCATAATACTTATCATCCTACCCACTTAACACCTCTCACATAATAGAGATAAATCCCAGTTAACCAAGGCATAAGCTGCAAGGCAAAAGAAGGAAATACATACCACTTATAGCTTCCTGTGCAAAGTATTTGACATCCATGTCTTCATCTTGACCTAACTTCTGTAGTACTGGCTTCACTTCTCCCTGTAAAGCACTGACATTCAAAAGTATTATCTGTGAAAGACAGTCTAATGGGCCATAGAAATCCTTTTTGGTGTATATGGTTAATGGTAATTGTTAAAATTTAAAGTAAAAAAATAAAGACATTTATAAACTTGACAAATACACAAAATAATGTCTAAAGAAATTCTCAGCAAAATCAGCTTCAGACAAGGATCTACACATTTACAGAGCTTAAATATAAAAGTCATAGTGGACATCCTCAAAAATAGTTGCTAAATTATTTTCTTTAAGCAAACCCAGATCTTAAGTAAAGTGAAAATCCCTGAACTTAATTTTAGCTAATTACTCCCCACTATAAGGTAAAATTTAAAGTACACTTTTAAAACAAGACTAAACACTAAAATCTTACTTGGTATCTAGAATTGGTCCAATCTTTTGTAGAGATTTGGCCACATTGAAGCGAACATTTGCTACTTGGTCTCCTGCCATTTTTAATACGATGGGCAGCATTTGCTTAGTAGTTATTTCCTGACCACAGGCCTCAGACAGTGCCTAGAAAAATAAGTAAGATGGCACATTTAAAATACTTTAAAAAATTCCAAAATCTAATGAAACAAATTAATATTTAATAAGAAAATAATTGACCAATAGGAAAATATTTCTAGTTTGAGCAGCTGAGTGGGGGACACAAGAATCATTCAAATGATCAGAGAATTAGACCAGAATTCACAAATAAGTTGAACTTTTAAAATACTGTAGTTTTGTTCTTTGTTTTTTTTTTTTTCAGGCGGAGTTTTGCCTTGTCGCCCAAGCTGGAGTGTAGTGGCGCGATCTCAGCTCACTGCAACCTCTGCACCCTCTGCCCCCTGCCCAAGGTTCAAGGGAGTCTCCTGCCTCAGCCTCCCAAGTAGCTGGGACTACAGGCATGCACCACCATGCCCGGCTAATTTTTGTATTTTTAGTAGAGACAAGGTCTTGCCATGTTGACCAGGCTAGTCTCAAACTCCTGACCTCAGGTGATCTGCCCGCCTCAGCCTCCCAAAGTGCTGGGATTACAGGCATGAGCCACTGTGCCCAGCCAATACTGTAGATTTTAACATGAATTTTAAAATTGACATTTTCTCTCATCTCCTGTCTATTCCAATTAATCAATACAAGACATATATTCCAAATAGAAGACAGTATACTGATAATTCAGAAATAGTCATGAATAATTTTGCTTTAATGATTAAGCTTAGCAATAACAGTTATGTTATACTTACATTAATGCAGAATAAAGTGGTCATTCTATGCAAGTAATTAGGATCATTTGCCATTACTAACACTTTGGGAACAATAGTATTTTGGGCCCACTCTGTACCAAACTTCTGAACTAGTTTCATGAGGTTGTTGGTGGCAGCTTCTCGGATGGCGTATACTGCAGAAGAGGTCAAAAACATGTTCTCATATCGCTTATTGTTTTTTAAGCATAACCTAGTTTACTTACATGAAAATCAAATGTGGACCAAAAGCAAAACCCCTCTGCAATCAGACTCCACATGTAATCATGCTGCAATGACAAGCATGCTCAGCTCCAACTCAGTTTCCAAGTGTGCATATCCACAGAAAAGGGATGCAAGGAGCTCACCATATGCATCATCAATTATTTAACAAATACAAGTGCCTACTATGTGCTACAAAAAGAACACAGAAGATACTTTCCCTCACAAGAAATATGCTCTTATCAGAGAAATGAAAGCTAACACACTCCATGAAGTCACATGGTGTAAGAGCAATTAGAATGAAGTGTGGCATTGTGTAGTAAAGGCTGTGAGGGTTGTAGCAGTGCAGAGAAGAGTGAACAGGGAAGGTCTAGGAAGGCTTCGGCACAGAAAGAAGCCTTGACTGGGCAGTGAAGATTTGGGAGGATCTGTGTAAGTGGAGAGAAGCGGGGAGGAATTCCTAGAAAGGGTAAAGACATGTATCCAGGACACAAACAGAAAAAACTGAAACCTGTGAGACTTCTAAGTTAGACAATTAGGGTGGACCCAGACTGCAGAGCATTATGAAAGACTTAGATTTGATTAGGAAAAACAGTGATGGGTTTTTAAAGCAAACTTGTGACCTGATGACCAATGTGGAATTTTAGCAAGATTATTCCAGCAACATCACGGAGAAGCGACGTTGACTGAGAAAGACAACAAGGAAATGGTGTAGAGGCCACTGTGGTCATCTATACAACAGCAAATACAAACATCAGACTGACTTGCTTCCTCTCCATGAAAATGCTTAGGTTGAAACAAGATGTCAAATGTCTTTGAATCAATGTGCCTGCCTTAACATCTAATAATTCCCTATATCCTTTGATCATTTATCAAAGACATAAAGCTAGATAATAAAGGTCTCAGCTACAATCCTCTCACAATTAGTTGCTATATACAGCACTGAACAAAAACAAGCCTGGTGTCACTTCACTTTACAGATCCAGTAAGACTCAAAATTTGGGCTCAGATTAACAAATCGAGGGTGGTAGGTACTAATTCCTTATTCTACTTCTCTCCCCAGGTGGGCCCAACCTTCCTGGGATGATAGGAAGGGCAGGAATAGCTATCCAAGCCACAGTCCCAGTCCTAGGCAATTTATACAAGCCTCCAACCAAGAAATAGGCAACTTCTTCTATTCATAGATCCTTCTGGGCAATGATGTTGAGAACAAGCAAGACAGCATAGACAAGTGACCCATACAACTGATTATCAACACTTAAACTGACAGTCTACAGGAGAAGCAACCTTTCGGTAAGACTCAGATGCACTAAGGAGCAAACTCAAGTCAACTGTTTTACTGTAATACAGATTCCTTCCCTTCATATCCATAGTCTTTGTCTTTGGCCCAAACCCTTCCCTGTCCTCCCCACTAAAGAGGAGCTAGCTAGAGTATTTGTGTCTTCTCCTCTAATTTTTTTTTTTTTTTTTTTTTTGAGACAGAGCCTCACTCTGTCTCTCAGGCTGGAGTGCAGTGGCGAGATCTCGGCTCACTGCAACCTCCGCCTCCTGGGTTCAAGCAACTCTCCTGCCTCAGCCTCCTGAGTAGCTGGGATTACAGGCGCCCGCCAACACATCCAGCTAATTTTTGTGTTTTTAGTAGAGACAGGGTTTCACCATGTTGGCCAGGCTGGTCTCGAACTCCTAACTTCAAGTCATCCACCCGCCTCAGCCTCCCAAAGTGCTGGGATTACAGGCATGAGCCACCATGCTCAGCAAATTACTATTTTTTTTAACACGCTTTAGATTTTTATCATAATGCCATTACCATAGGAAGGGATCTCTACTGCCAGAAAAACCAGAGACTGGGGAACACACATGCATAGCCTTGACCAAGACCTTAACTGCACTGAACTCTACTTGGCCAGATGCCTACTATGTTCTTGGTTCCTCTGACTGTTTTCAGAAGAATGCAAACCATTCCAGAGTTCTGCCTGTTTTCTTTTGTCTATTTCTGTCTCTTTCTCTCTCCCCATCTCCTCTCAAGGCCTGGCTGACCTGCAAGGTTTCTTTGAATGTCTATCTATGCTCAATAACTGATACCTTCTCCTTTCTCCTATAATAAATAAATAAATTTCCCTTCTACATTCCTCCCTCTGATCAAAACTGTCTACTCAACCACAGGAATATAGGTGAGTGATACTTTCTTCCTTATACTTCTCTGGAATTTTCACAATGTTCTTTTAGTAGTTACCTAACTAGGGGAAAAGTTTCAAAAACTCTAACTGATCCAGTGATCATTATATAACACTTATCTGAAATGCAAAAGCAAAAAAGCTCCTGTGATTAAGTACAAAACAATTTCAGAGCTGTTATTTCATTGGTTCATGGAACTCTTGCAGTCCCCACTTCAGCATGCTGCTGCAGTGAAATAAACAAGGGTTTCTCCTGCTCCCAAACTGAAAGAGAAAATCCGAAAAGAGGAAGGAGTAATCAAGTTGCATAGAGAAGACAATCTTACAGAGAAAGGGTGCCAGGAATTTAATTCTTTGTGGAATATTAGAACTTTAAAAATTCCTCAAAATAAAACACCATCTTAATCTAAAATGCCAACTTTTAAAGAAAGCATAGAATGACTTGAGGCCAACCCAAATGCCCATCAATGACAGACTGGATAAAGAAAATGTGGCACATATACACCACGGAATACTATGCGGCCATAAAAAAGGAATGAGTTCATGTCCTTTGCAGGGACATGGATGAAGCTAGAAGCCATCATTCTCAGCAAATTAACGCGGGAACAGAAAACCAAACAGTACATGTTCTCACTAATAAGTGGGAGTTGAACAATCAGAACACATGAATACAGGGAAGGGAACATCACACACTGAGGCCTATCAGGGGGTGAGGGGCGAGGGGAGGGAGAGCATTAGAACAAATACCTAATGCATGTGGGGCTTAAAACCTAGACGACAGGTTGATAGATGCGGCAAACCACCATGGCACATGTATATCTATGTAACATAACAAACTTGCATGTTCTATGCATGTATCCTAGAACTTAAAGTAAAATAAAATTTAAAAAAGCACAGAATGATTTGCTAGGATGCACCATTCCCAGTAACGTCAAATATTTATCAGATATAACATAAACATTTTTTTTAAAAGTGGTATTTCTTTCCTATGATTTGCCAAATTTTAATTTTATTTAAAAAGAAATAAATAGGCCACAATAAGATAACTTTAGAGAAGAAAAAGAGAAAGAAGTCTACAATCCAGTTTGAAAACACTGGAAATACCCACATATATAAGCCCTTATACATTTTCACATATTTTTTCACATCCTTCCTCTTCACACTCTTAACCATATGATCCTCCATATGATGCAAACATGCCTTTAACAAAACCACCCACACGTATAAGCAGACACAAATATCCTCATTCCTCCCAAATTTCCAGGCATAAGCACCCATAGATGAACAAAGAGATACACTAAATACATATATCAAGTATATAAAAGATACTGTGGAACTGACTCAGGTTATCTATTATATCCACCAAAACATGGAAACAAAGCTCAAGGACAATGTCACATGACCCCATAGGGGCACTCACACTCATCGAAACAGGTCTAAGACAACACTGAAGCTGTCAAGTCTGGACCTGGGATCTGGCAGAGACGGTACATCTGTCACCCACTGCTGCCTGGCACACAAGGGGATACACACATATACCTCTACCTGAAGCCTCACCAGGAAGTCACTTGCTCATTCCTGCTGTCCTATCTGACCTGCCCTGAGCTCACCCTCTCCTAGCACTGTAGCAGCAGCAGTGAGAGTACAAGCAGTAAGCCTTCCTTTCACCCAAACCAGAAATCCAGGCCCTCTCTCTCCCTATGGCAAAGCTAGTGTTTCCCACACCTAAGAATCCTCTACTGTCTCACTGTAGATCTCCTCTTCTATGTCACCTCAAAAAGCCAAGTAGCCATTTCTCCCACCCAGGCCTTTCATCTGATTCCAATCTCCATACAACCTAGTGTATAGCTGCTGAAGACACCAATTACAGGATGGTCAAAAAGAGGATCTTCAGATAAGGGAGGAGTAAGTAGATATATAAAAGAGATGGTCTGAAGATAATGTAATAGATTGAGTAAGAAAATAATGCAAATAAATTGTTTAATGGAGAAAATAAAATCGAAGATACAAAAAATTGGTAGAAACGTCAAATTTATATTCAGAAGATTAAACTTTAATTAGAGCCTTTCTTCATTCCTACAATATTAAGGCAAAATATCTGGTCAGACTGAGATTCCTTTCTAAAAGGAAATGTATGAAAATCATGGATATATGGGCTTTCAATAATCTGTTTTTATCTACTCACCATGGTCCACGAGCCAAGCCATACATAAAGAATTCAGCTTTTCATCAAAGAATTCCACACCCTACAGATACAGAAGATTCCATTAACATACATTGCCAAAATTCAGAAATAAAGATGGTCTATTTACATTACACCAAGGTTACCTGAAGGCTAAAAAAACTTGTTTCCAAATAAACAAATAAGAGATAGAAACACCACAGGAATTACAAACAAACCATAAATCTATTTATTGGACGGAAATCATAAACAAAAAAAAAGCATACGTGAGCTGGCATAGGCCCTGCTAGGTAAAAGAGAACAGGGTGGCCAGAAGTCAGCCACAACACTGCAAAAGAGCAGGAAGAATGCACTGTGTATGGTCTGCCAAGCAAATCTGGATTACCTGTAAAAATGAATTACCCAGGAAAACACCTGTCAGTAATATTACTAATTCTCAATCGTCTTCCCTTTTTGGTTACTATTATGACAAATCCTTAAGGATAAAGCAACTGACCTCAAGACATAGAGATATCCCCAGTTAAAGAGAGTATTTTCGAGACAACAGGAGAAAGCCCTGGAGGGAGAATAAAGCAGGCCCAGGACTACAGGGCATATGGCCCAGGCATGGCTTGCTCTCCCAGCCCTGTTCCTCCCGACTGTCAACAGGTGGCCACTTCAGTGCAGGCTGGGGATGGGCTCCGGGAGCAGATTTACACAGTCCTCTAACCCCGGGGCTTCCACACCACATGGAGAATGCTGTGACACACTTTCCTAGTGCCTCCCTTCTGGGGTCTACACATTTACAGTCTTGCTTCTTTGAACTCTAAGAAGTTCCTGACTGGTGATTCTATATTTTAAAAAAAGAGAGGTAATATAATGTGTCAGTGCTTTGAAAATAGTGATTGAATAAGACAAAATAGCTTTTTTTTTTTGAGATGGAGTCTCACTCTATTGCCCAGGCTGGAGTACAGTGGCACAATCTCAGCTCACTGCAACCTCCACCTCCCGGGTTCAAGTGATTCTCCTGCCTCAGCCTCTCAAGTAGCTGGGATTACAGATATGCAGCACATGCCCAGCTAATTTTGTATTTTTAGTAGAGACAGGGTTTCACCATGTTGGCCAGGCTGGTCTCTTAACTCCTGACTCAGATGATCCGTCCGCCTCAGCCTCCCAAAGTGCTGGGATTACAGGCATGAGCCACCGCACCTGGCCCAAAATTGCTTTGTACTAAAAGATCATAATGAACAAATTTTGGCATACACTTAGATTACGTCAGCCAAGATTTCTTTTTCATTTCAGGTTGAGAATTTTCCTTCAGTTTTAATTAACTTTTATTTTCCAGTTTGTTGTTGTTGTTGTTGTTGTTGTCGAGACGGAATCTCTCTCTGTCGCCCAGGCTGGAGTACAGTGGTGCAATGTCAGCTCACTACAACCTCCGCCTCCTGGGTTCAAGCAATTCTCCTGCCTCAGCCTCCCAAGAAGCCTCCCAAGTAACAGGCACCCACCACCACACCCGGCTAAATTTTTTGTATAGTAGAGATGGGGTTTCACCATGTTGGTCAGGCTGGGCTCAAACTCCTGACCTCAGGTGATCCACCCACCTAGGCCTCCCAAAGTGCTGGGATTACAAGCGTGAGCCACTACGCCTGGCCTATTTTCCGGTTTTTGTAGTTTAACTTTACACTTACTTAACATCGTCCACAAGCCAGGTCATACATAAAGTCTTGAGAGAATTTTATAAAATGACTATCTGATATAAAAATATTTAGATATGAAGAGAAATTAAGGAGAATATATATACTAACAAGAAGTTAAAATTGTAAAGCAAAATGTTCATGACTGAGGCATGTCACCCCTGCCAGACAGGTGTAAGTCAGCCAAAGACACCATCTGCCTTGCTTTCACACTGCTCTCTATAGAGCTAGCAACCCTGGGAAACTTTCCAGGTCTAGAAGGAGCAGAGGTTAAAAGAAATGGTACTAAAATGCACCCTCCCTTCCAGATAGTTTTGGTCTTCAGCAAATCAGTTAATCACTGCTCCTCTCCACTCTGAAAAGTAGATCCATGACAATCACCAGTGAAGAGAAGATGACCCATAGCACTTGGGAGTGACAGACAAAAAGGATGACAAAATAACTTCACCTGATCCCATTTGCCATGCACTAATACCTCTGGTATACTTTTCAAAGAATCGGACACTTTCAATTTTATAAAACATATAATGCCACAGACATCCACAAATTGCATGTTCATAAACTAAATGTACTAAAATTAAAAATACAAATTCAGGGGTTCAAGACAAGAAAAAATAAATTCCATATGTTGTGACCTGAAAGGAATGGAAGTGGGAGTGAGGAAGGGGAAACAAACTGTAGCGATGTCAATAGTAAACTGACACATCTTTCTCAAAAAATACTCAACAATCAACAAATGTTGGCTATACACAGTGGCTCATGCCTATTATCAGCTACTCAGGAGGCCGAGGCAGGAGGATCATTTGAGGCCATGAGTTCAAGACCAGCCTGGGCAACAGCAAGACCCTGCCCCCAAAATAAAAAATGTTAAGTGCCTAATTAATGACGGGCACTATGGTAGGGACTGGAAATAAAATACAGTCCCTGCCCTAAAAGAGATCACCCATCTCTCCAACTAGACTGTAACAGACAATTACAATACTCTGTAATAAGTGCTACCAACAGAGATGAAGGTACATCAAACTTAGAACTGTCTAGGCCACCTACTCAAAAAAAGGAAAGGATGTGGCTATAAAACCCAGCTTTGAAATTTTAACTAACATGGTATTAGTTAGGGTAACACTGATCACGAAACTCAAACAGTAACAGATAATGTGATAATGTGGACTTTGACCAAAATACTAACATTACAAGCTTCAGTTTTTGTTTTTGTTTTGTTTTTTTTTTTTTGACACAAAGTTTTACTCTGTTGCCCAGGCTGCAGTGCAGTAGTGCAATCTTGGCTCACTGCAGCCTTCGCCTCCTGGGTTCAAGCGATTCTCCTGCCTCAGCCTCCCGAGTAGCTGGTATTACAGGTGTGCACCTCCGTGCCCAGCTAATTTTTGTATTTTTAGTAGAGATGGGGTTTCACCATGTTGGCCAGGCTGGTCTGGAACTCCTAGCCTCAAGTGATTCGCCTGCCTCTGGCTCCCAAAGTGCTGGGTTTACAGGTGTCAGCCACTGTGCCCGGCCTTTCAATACTTCTTTTCTATATGGTGATTCCTCAACTCCCTTTAATCAGAATGTAGGGCAAGTGGTACCTAGGGACATTTTGCTTAGAATACAAGGCAAACAGGGAAGTTTCCTTGAGCAAAAATCACAGCAGACTTACCCTAAAACCATAATCCCTTTTCTTCTCAGTTAAACATTTCTTAAGTCACAAAGGCATTAAATATTATAAAATTTACATTATATATACCAAGAAACTGATTATTCTATGGCTTTGTTTTTCGGTGGTGATGAGGTGAAATATGTTTCTGTAATACAGATTAAGCATCCCAAATCCAAAAATCCAAAATGTGAAATGCTCCAAAATCCAAAACTTTTTGAGCACTGATATGATGCTCAAAGGAAATGCTCATTGGAGCATTCTGGACTTTGCATTTTTGAATTTGGGCTGCTCAACCAGTAAATATTTATAATGCAAATATTCCAAAATCCACTTCTGGTCCCAAACATGCTGGTCCCAAGCGTATTTAGATGAGGGATACTCAACCTATACCTTTTTGTTAGAAATGTATGCACTAATAGGCCAGATGCAGTGGCTCACGCCTGGAATCCCAGCACTTTGGGAGGCTGAGGCGGGTGAATCACCTGAGGTCAGGAATTCAAGACCAGCCTGACCAACATGGTAAAACCCCATCTCTATTAAAAATACAAAATTAGCTGGGTGTGGTGGCATATTCCTGTAATCCCAGCTACTTGGGAGGCTGAGACAGGAGAATCGCTTAAACCCAGGAGGTGGAGGTTGCAGTGAGCCAAGATTGCATCATTGCACTCCAGCCTGGGCAACAACAGTGAAACTCCATCTTAAAAGAAAAGAAACGTATGCACTAACAAACATAAAAACCATCCTATAGGTAACAAGAACAAGGCCATACTTTCATGCATCTAAACAAACATAAGCATACAGGCTACTAGGCCTCCTACTTGCCATGGTAAATTGTCACTATCTGACACTACCCTGCAGTTCATGGAGCAACACATACTCACCAGCTGGCCTGCCAGCAGCGGCATATACTCAATGATGGCCAGGCGGACCCTCCATTTGGCATCTTCTGCCAGCTCCACTATGGCAGGAAGGAGAGACTGAGAGAGCTGACGGATTCCAATCACTTCATTTACACAATCCAAATTGGAGATGATATTCAAACGAACGTCAGGACACTGCAAGTACACAAGCCCCAAAAGACCACATTTAAAAATCAAGTACTCTGCCCAACAGTCTCCTGTCAGGGTAAGATAAAAGGTGAGGTAAGACTCAGGTGAAAAAAAAATGGATAATCTTGAAGAAATAATAGTGAATACATAAATAACTCAAGGAACATAAATGATCTTAATCAGAAATTTCAATTAAAAGTCCGTAATACTAAAGACTACAAGAAAAGTCCGTAAGATGGTAAAGAGCATAATCTCTGGAACTAAATCAGATGCACTCAAATTTCAGATCTGTCATTGTTGAAAGACCTTGCTCAAGTTACTTTAACCCTCTATGCCTCAGCTTTCTCATCTGTAAAATGGGATAATTGGCCGGGTGCGGTGGCTCACACCTGTAATCCCAGCACTTTGGGAGGCCGAGACGGGCAGATCACGAGGTCAGGAGATCGAGACCACAGTGAAACCCCGTCTCTACTAAAAATACAAAAAATTAGCTGGGTGCTGTGGCAGGCGCCTGTAGTCCCAGCTACTCAGGAGGCTGAGGCAAGAGAATGGCATCAACTCAGGAGGCGGAGCTTGCAGTGAGCAGAGATTGCGCCACTGCACTCCAGCCTGGGCGACAGAGCAAGACTCCGTCTCAAAAAACAAAACAAACAAACAAACAAACAAAAAGGGATAATAATAAGACCTACCTCACAGGATTGTTGTGAGAATTGCATGTAAAAATACATGCAAAGCACTAAGGCTCATGCTTGCCATGTAGTAATTACTCAGTAAATATTAGGTATCATTATAATTTTTGATACTATATTTAAACTTAAATAAATGAAACTTTTTAAACAAAGACACATTAGCTTTAAAGAAACCAGGGAGTATAAAGCAAAAATCAGGTAAAGATGATAAACAGATATTTCTAGGTTTACTCTAATGGGTACTTTTGCCCACTTTCTGAGGAACCTATAACCCCATACCCAAAATCACAGGTGTCATTGGTTTAAAATAAGTTATGATTTTTTTATCCATTTTCTTTTTGGGGGTTCTATTTTAATGAAACCCTAAACCAAAATCAAATAAAATCAAATTACTATCAAAGGCAACAGAACATAAAGCAAGACCCACCTCATCCTTTAACTGAGCTAAGAAAAGAGGTAGAAGATGTTCAATGGTATTTTCTTTGCCCAAAATAGTAGACAATCCCATAATTACAGAAGCTAGAGCCGATTTGACATGTTGATTGGTATCGGATACTAATTCCTAAAATAAAATCGAAATTAAAAGCCTTTATTACAAGACAACAGAAACTTCCATACCATTATTCTGGGAAACAGAGTCTTGCTCTGTTGCCCAGGCTGGAGTGCAGTGGCATGACCTTGGCTCACTGCAGCCTCACCCTCCCAGGCTCAAGCACTTCAGCCTCCAGAGTAGCTGGGTCTACAGACATGCACCACCAGGCCTGGCTAATTTTTTTCATTTTTTGCAGAGACAGGTTCTTACTACATTGCCAGGGCTGGTCTTGAACTCCTGGGTTCATGCAATCCTCTTACCTTGGCCTCTCAAAGCGCTGGGATTACAGGTGTGAGCCACCACGCCTGGCCTAATTTTTTTTTTTTTGAGACAGTGTCTCACCCTGTCACCTAGGCTGGAGTACAGTGGCATGATCATAGCTCACTGCCATCTCAACCTCCTGGGCTCAAGCAATCCTCCCACCTCAGACTCCCAAGTAGCTGGTACTACAGGTGCATGCCACCAGGCTCAACTAATTTTTGTATTTTTTGTAGCAATGGGGTCTCACTATGTTGCCCAGGCTGGTCTCAAACTCCTGGGCTCAAGAAATCCTCCCACCTCAGCGTCCCAAAGTGCTTGGATTACAGGCATGTACCACCATGCCTGACCCCAAGGAATTTAAAGACAGCACTATTTCAATACTGATTAGTTGATAATGTTTCCTCAGACTACTTGTTAGGTAACATAAACCTATGCACCAAAGAGCAGTTTACAATTACAATGGGCTAATAAGTGATGAATAACAATGTTGCACATTAACACATCTTCCCCATTCATTCCCTGTCAACCTTTAAACTCAAAGAGCTTTAAGGTAAACAAACAAACAAAAATAATGAGATTAAGGTTTACCTTCATATAAAAGAGAGTGAAACAAAATAAAGTCAGGTTTACCTTTATATAAGGCAGAATTTGATTCATAATTATGGTCTCTCTATCTTCAATGGGCAAGTTCTCACCAAGTTCTAAAAGATAAATAGAAAAAAAGAATGCTTTCACAGGGCCATTTACAAAGAGCCAAATGAGGACATTTAACCAGGTTTATCAATAATTTCAATTAAATTATATGTTTAAGCAAATAAGGAAAACAGCTCTTGTTCTAAATAAACTTTTTCGTGAACTCTCTATGCCATTGCATATCACACCAATCCAACCTGAAAGGCATTTTTTTTTTTACAAAAACAAGACAAAATGATTTCTTGGTTTTAAATATAAAGAGACTATCTTTAAGTGACAATGTAACATTTCCACACACTAAAAACATCCCTATGTATTTTAAAAACATATTCTAGAACAAAAAACATGCAAAATTGACTAACAAAAAAATGCACCAAAATGAATGACACATGTTCCAACATAAATTGAACTCCTTAACCTTTTACTTTGTGGGCAGCAGCTGCCCGGACTTCAGCTTCACAGTCTTTAAGTAGGTTCTGAAAGGCGGGGATGAGGTCATTTAGGGTGATTTTAGGACCCATGGCTTTCTGGAGCTATAAAAGAATTTGAACGGGTTTTAATGTATACTAACAAAAGAATTAACAAGAACAAAACAAAATTGTGCAATCTGTAAATACATATTTTTGCCACAGCACTTCCCATTGAAAAGAATTAATTCAGAAACTTTGGGTACAACAGCAAATCTATGTGTTTTCAGGTTTATTTCCTTAGTACTTAAAAATGATCACTTTACCTCTGAAAATCTGTCAGCCACCATATAGCGAACGCGCCAAGATTTATCTTCTGCTGCTTGTCGAAGTGTAGGCATCACCAAAGTCTCAAGGTCATCCTGAGACAATAACTGGGCAATACTGACACAAGCTTCCACAGCAAGGAGGCGCACTGAATCCTAAAGGAACAAAATTTCTGTAATTCAGACATTTACTGAGACCCATGGGGAACTGCTGTGGGGTGGTGCAGGTGTTTAAAAAAATTAACACCACCAAGACTGCCACACCTTATATAGTTTCACGTCTTGACATCTTTTTCTTTTTTTTTTTTTTTTTGAGGCAGGGTCTCACTCTGTCACCCAGATTGGAGTGCAGTGGCACAATCTCCGCTCATTCCAACATCCGCCTCCCAGGCTCAAGTGATTCTCCTGCCTCAGCCTCCCGAGTAGCTGGGATTACAGGCAGGAGCCACCACGCCCAGCTAATTTTTGTATTTTTAGTAGAGACAGAGTTTCACCACGTTGGCCAGCCTGGTTTCAAACTCCTGACCTCAAATGATCCACCTGCCTCGGCCTCCCAAAGTGCTGGGTGCTGGGATTACAAGCGCGAGCCACTGCGCCTGGCCGTGTATTTATATCTTGAAAGAGCTGCTCCCGGCCGGGCCCAGTGGCTCACGTCTGTAATACCAGCACTCTGGGAGGCTGAGGCAGGCGGATCACGAGGTCAGGAGAGGGAAACCATCCTAGCTAACACGGTGAAACCCCATCTCTACTAAAAATACAAAAAAAATTAGCCAGGCGTGGTGGCGGGTGCCTGTAGTCCCAGCTACTCGGGAGGCTGAGGCAGGCGAATGGCGTGAACCCAGCAGGCGGAGCTTGCAGTGAGCCGAGACTGCACCACTGCACTCCAGTCTGGGCGACAGAGTGACACTCTGTCTCAAAAAACAAAAAGGAAAAAAAAAAAAAGAAAGAGCTGCTCCCTTTGCCTGGAATGGCATGTCAAAGTCATAAAGATAGAAATGACTTTGTACTATGAGTAAACAGCAAAGTAATTACCTTGGCTAGAATGCAGAGTTTCTATAAAGGAAATGAAAATTTTAAAATTAAGTAAAAAAGAAAAAAAAAACATTTTAATGATGCCTTCAAAGCCTTACTATAACAGAAAGTTGAGGGATAAAAATGAAAACAATATTTGTACAAGTTATTTATAACAGATTAGGACAAAGGTAAGAGTAAGAGTAAAGGAAATCACTTAGAAAGCTTAGTTTTCAAAAAACTCAGATCAGGGTCGCAGTAACAGGAGTGTAGGCAGCATAAGATAATGACTTGGAAAGAAATACACAGAACAATTAAAAGTTAGAAATCAAAAACAAAAATCAGTTGGATTTAAATGTCGAAGATCAAGGACAGAATAACTTTGAGGAAGCTGTGGCTAGAAAAACACAGAAATTAGAAAAGTATGGGATTAATGAACTCAACTTTCCAAATGTAAACAGCCAATGTCAACGTGACACCTACGTCCTTTGAACAAGTGGAAAATATACAAGACAAATCAGTGAGGGGCCAGGCACAGTGGCTCATGCCTGTAATCCCAGCACTTTGGGAGGCCGAGGCAGGCGGATCACCTGAGGTCAAGAGTTCAACACCAGCCTGGCCAACATGGTGAAACCCCATCTCTACTAACAATACAAAAATTAGCCAGGCATGGTGGCACGTGCCTGTAATCCCAGCTACTCAGGTGGCTGAGGCAGCAGAATTGCTTGAACCCAGGAGGCAGAGGCTGCAGTGAGCCGAGATCGCGCCACTGCACTCCAGCCTGGGTGACAGAGCAAAACTCCAACTCAAAAAAAAAAAAACACCGAAAAAAAAGAAACATCAATGAGAAATTAGAAATTGAGACTGTAGATTTGTGTATTATACATATATAAGGTAGAATCTTAATACATGTAAACATTAGCACCCAGGAGAAATAGGTAAAAAATTTTAAGTGTGTACAATAACAGTTATGTATATACGTATACACATACTTGAGAGACATAACAGTGACTCCAACTTCCAAAATATTACAAATCTTAGAAACTGTGTATCAACAATAACTGACTATATGCCAAAGACACACACATTCCTCTGTATGCAGGTGCACAGGCTAAAAAAGACAGGACTAAGTTCTTGGTAGTGACTACACAGATATTTTTGAATTTCGAAAATGATGCTAAATCATGGGACTGCTAATCAACTACTGAAATATAAGCTAATACATATTTGTTAAAAAATTACTTCTCTGGTCTGGTGCAGTGGCTCACACCTGTAATCCCAGCACTTTGGGAGGCCAAGGCGGACAGATCACAAGGTCAGGAGTTCGAGACCAGCCTACCCAACACAGTGAAACCCCATCTGTACTGAAAATACAAAAAATTAGCCAGTCATGGTGGCAGGCGCCTGTAATTCCAGCTACTCAGGAAGCTGAGGCAGGAGAATCACTTGAACCCGGGAGGCAGGGGTTGCAGTGAGCTGGGATCATGCCATTGTACTCCAGCCTGGGCGACAGGAGTGAAACTCCATCTCAAAAAAAAAAAAAAAAAAATTACTTCTCTTCCAGAACTTCGTTTTCTCTCCTACACCTGTTCCTCTTCCCAGAATTTTCTCTATCTTAACGATGACACCATCATCCACCCAGTTGCTCAAGCAAAAAATCTAGGAGATCTTGATTCCTCTCCCACTGATCCAATCCAATAATACTAACCTATTGATCCCACTTCCAAACTGACATCCAAATCCTTTCCATCTTCACTACCACCCTATTAACAACATCATCTCATGCTGAGACTTGAAATGTGGCTGGTACACGTTATTTACACTCAAATAATAAGATTTTGGAAAATTTTGGTCGAATACAAATATTGTTAATTTCACCTATTTCTTTTTTCTTATAAAAACATGGCCAGTAGAAAACTTAAAATCAACAGGTAGCTTACATTATATTTCTGTTGTAAAGCACTGTTTTAAACTATAACATTTAGGTAATAAAAGTGCAAAGAAGGCCGGGCACGGTGGCTCACGCCTGTAATCCCAGCACTTTGGGAGGCCAAGGTGGGCGGATCACAAGGTCAAGAGATGGAGACCATCCTGGTCAACATGGTGAAACCCCGTCTCTACTAAAAATACAAAAGTTAGCTTGGCGTGGTGGCATGCGCCTGTAGTCCTAGCTTCTTGGGAGGCTGAGGCAGGAGAATTGCTTGAACCCGGGAGGCAGAGGTTGCAGAAAGCCGAGATTGCACCACTGCACTCCAGCCTGGTGACAGAGTGAGACTCCTTTTAAAAAAAGAAAAGAAAAGAAAAGAAAAAGTGCAAAGAAAACAAAGGCTGCGCTTACCATAAAAGTCAGGATAATGTTACTCTTAAGGAAATGGAGTGGCAAGTGGAGGAGGAAAGAGAGATTGTGTTTGAAAGGGAATCCATGGAGGGATTCTGGGATAGTGGCTGTCAAAGTGATGTCTCCTATCATAGGTGATCGTTAACAAGTTGGTATTACCTTCTAATAGTTCATTAAGTTATACATTCATTTTGTACATTTATTATTAGAATAAAAATTCTAATAATTTTTAAAATTATTTTCAAAGTAGGATTTAGATCTTTAGATTTAGGATCTGAAAATGAGACTCATTAATATGTGTCCTGGGGCTTGTGGTCCTGTACACATGAAGCGATCTTAGGGCAGGCAACATGCAAATTAAAAGCCCAAAAGGACTAT
Organism: Homo sapiens; assembly: GCF_000001405.40. NCBI lineage: Eukaryota > Metazoa > Chordata > Mammalia > Primates > Hominidae > Homo > Homo sapiens. The sequence continues at coordinate 111,759,022 of NC_000011.10, forward strand.
TCTAGAGTCCAGGAACTCTGGGAGCTGATCCTATTAAGCACCATTACAGAGAAGCGGGACAGCCTAGCTGTGAAGGGCACAAATTCTGGAGCCAAACCACCTAGATTCAAATTCTGACTCCACTACTGCTAACTATGCAAACTTCAGCAAGTTACTTAAACTTTCTGTGCCTTTGTTTTCTAATGTGTAAAATGGGCTATCTCATGGGGCTGTTGTAAGGACTGAATTACTTAATACACATAACTACTTAAAGGCAGAGAAAAATTAAGTACTTCATTTGGATGTTTGCTAGTTTTATTGTTATTTCTACACCAAAGAGATCTAGATCTTCAGAATTGAATACGATTATGTGAAGTAATCCCATACACTACTATAGAAGAAGCAGAGAGTCAAATAGCTTTCCTAACACATTCTAAGCTTATTTATCTGAAAAGTCAAAAATTCCAGGAAACATTACTCCCTCATATTACAATACAGCCAGCAATTCCCAAAGGTATGTTACCCTCCATGCAGCTTTGGTCTTCCTTTCTAATTATGGCTCCCATTTCCTCTCTGACTCCCCACTCTTTTAACAGCTGCTAATGTAAGAGAGAAATCATGGTCTGGTTAAGAAAGAAACATAAGAACATTGAGATAAGCATGTTACACTTTAACCAGGCCAGAATCAGCACTAATTCTGTAAAAAGAATCCTAACAAGAAAACTAAAACTCCCCAAAGAAATTCTGAAAATTTAGAGGAAAGGAGCATATCTGTGTCCCTTAAATACTAAGAGTTAGTTTACCTGTTCATCTGAAGCTAGACTAGTGAACAGTGGAACAATTTCACTTTTCACACTGTCTAATTCCAAAACTTTTGCAAATTCACCCAATTTGGAAGCAGCAGCACGTCGTACCATTGGTGTGTCATCTGAGCACAAGGAACGGAATTGCCTGCAACATAAAACAATGAAGGTATTTCCCATCAAATAACACTGAATAAACCTGCCCCCCATACACACAGACAGACTTTTAGAGGTTTTATCTTACAATAATCAGTGACTAAGCTTCTACTTATAGAAGTAACAAAAATAAAACATATTCAACTGGATAATAAAAAATGACATCATAGGCCAGGCATGGTGCCTCACACCTGTAATCAAAGCACTTTGGGAGGCCCAGGTAGGAGGACTGCTTGAGGCCAGGAATTGAAAGCAGACTGGGCAACATAGCAAGACCCTATCTATATGCCAAAAATATTTTTGTTGTTGTTTGTCGGGGGCTCAAGTGAACTCCCACCTCAGCCTTCTGAGTAGCTAGAAATACAGGCGGGTCCCACCATGCCCAGCTAATTTTTTTCTTTTTAGTAGAGACAAGGTCTCACTATGTTGCTCAAGCTGGTCTTGAACTCCTGAGTTCAAGCAATCCTCCCACCTCAGCCTCTCAAAGTGCTGGGATTACAAGCATGAGCCACTGCATCCAGCCAGAAATTTTTTTTAAAAATTAGCCAGGCGCAGTAGTGTATGTCGGTAGTCCTAGCTACTTGGAGGCTGAGGCTGGAGGATCACTTAAGCACAAGAGTTCAAGGTTGCAGTGAGCTATGATTGTGCCACCGCACTCCAGCCTAGACAACAGAGCAAGACCTTATCTCTTAAAAAAAAAAAAGAAAGATGTCATAAATCCTACTATCCTAGTATCAGCCACTCATTGGTAACAAGGTACTATGTAAATTGTCAGCTACAAGTCCCCAGTAATCCCAAATAACTCATAGCTTACTACCTGATTTCTGCTTTAACAAGGCAAAAAAATACCATGGCTTACTGTCTGATTTCTGCTTTAACAGCATTTGATGCCCTGGGATAGCAAACGCTGAACAAACCACATGCAGATGTGCGAGAGGTGAACCAATCCCCACTTGCTAAGCGTTTCACCAGAGGTACAAAATAAGCTTCCAGAGCAACAGGAGTATGCTCCTGGGAGATCTGTCTCAGGGACTCCACAGCCTTGTCACGAACAACAGTCTCTTCCACAGTTGCCAGATTTTCCAAAGGAGGCTGAATGGATTAAAAAGGAAAACCAGAGAAGAAAACTTATTGAATCAGGTTAGAAACAGATAATCACCTTTTAAAGTGACTGAAGGGAGGTGGTACACGTAACCAGAATGTTAGCTGCATCATACCAAATGGTTACTTTCAGCTCACACAGTGATAACATATGGTGCGGCCAACCCAAAGACACGACTTCTGTAGAAAAGCCAAGATCTCGTGTCCCAGATGGCAATTCCCAGATGGTGTCTACAAATGACACAGTGTAAAAGACTTGACACAATATTAATATTACTGTGAGTTGAATCACTAGGTTTAAAAGATACATAGCCAAATTCAGACAGGATCATGTATATTTCCTCAAGAGTAAGTACAAAACTATGACCAATGTTAGGCACCACAAATACAGGATAACAGCTTGTCAGGTCACTGAGTCCACAGCCTTTTCAGTATCTTTCCACCATTCCCAGAGGTGCAAGCAACCCTTATCCACCATCTCCATCCCATCCTTTTATCCAACCTATAAAATGCTGAATGCAAAATTGCTTTTTTCAGAACACATTCAGCAACTTTCCATTAGCCATAGGGCAGAAAGGAGTTTCTGACAGAACAATCAAGTGAAAACTACAGAGACTGGCCAGGCACGGTGGCTCACACCTGTAATCCCAGCCGTCGGGAGGCCGAGGTGGGCAGATCACTTGAGGTCAGGAGCTCGAGACCAGCCTGGCCAACATGGTGGAACCCTGTCTCTACAAAAAATACAAAAATTAGCCAGACATGGTGGCACACGCCTGTAAACCCAGCTTACTCAGGAGGCTGAGGCATGAGAATCACTTGAACCCGGGAGGCAGAGGTTGCAGTGAGCCGAGATTGTGCCACTGTACTTGAGCCTGGGTGACAGAGTGAGGCTCTTGTCTCAAAAAAAAAAGGTAAAGTACAGAGATGGTAGGACACCTTGCTTACAGCTTTAGAAATAAAAGAAGCCAAATGGGGTGGATGGTCTGGATTAAGAGCAGTAACTGAATATGGCATGGCCTAGTAAAAAGTGTAAACAGGCTGGCTCTCTGAACCTCTGCCTTACTGAGTTTGCATGTAGTCCAGGTAGATTCTACACATGCCATGAGCTACAGATTTTAAAGCATAAAACCCACATATAGAACTAACCAAGAGTGAAACAGAAGCATAATGAGTTAAAGAAAAGAAGTGTGTCTAATAATATATTTTAAAAATTGTTTGATACACACAGGTAGACAGTATTCAGCTTTCCTAGAAGGTATTTCAGAAACTCATTGAAAAGATACTGTTTCTCACTTGCCAATGCATTTCATGATCTGTCCCCTGCCTACTGTAACCCCCTCTCGTGCAGTACCACTGGATAATAGCTATCATTACTACAGGATGAGGCCATGCTCCTGAGAATTGCTTATGAGTGGTCTCTTGATTTGAACTCTGCCTGGCCCTTGATGACCACTCTGCCTACCCAGCCTCAACACTTCACACTCCAGCAGTTCTTTTTTTTTTTTTTTTTTAAGAGACAGGGTCTTGCTCTGTTGCCCAGGCTGAAGTGCAGTGGCACAATCATGGCTCAGTGCGGCCTCAGACTCCTCGTCCTTCTGCCTCAGCGTCCCGAATAGCTAGGACTCAGACACATGACATCATGCCCAGCTATTTTTTTTTAAGTGTTGGGGTCTCACTATGTTGCCCAGGCTGATCTTGAACTCCTGGCCTCAAGCAATCCTCCTGCTGCTTTGGCCTCCCAAGGCAAGGATTACAGGTGTGAGCCACCACACCCAGCCACACTCCGGCAGTTTTGAACCCAGCCTGTTTCATGCTTCCAAGCCTCTGAAACTCATTTTTTCAATACATTATTATTGGTATATTCTAGCATTGAGGACACAGAAGAAACAAGGCAGACAAGGTTCCTCACTCTAGTGGCATTTACATTCTAATGGAGTAAGACAACAATCAATCAAGAAAATAAGTAGATGGTGATGAGTACTCTATAGAAAAAAGGAGTAGGATGATGTAGTAAGGGATGACTGTGAGGCTATTTTAAGTTGAGTGGTTGGGGAAAACCTCCCTGAGGAGATGCATTGAAGTTGATCCCTGAATGACAAGGAGCCAGCCACAGAAAGCTTGAAAGAGCTTTTCATTAGAGGGAAGACCTAGGGCAAAGGTCCTAAGGGAATAATGAGCTTGGTTAGTTCAAAAAACAGAAAGATGACCAATGTGAATGGAAGAGGTTATCAAGGCCTTTTGCAGTCTGTTCCCTGCCTACTGTCACCTCTTCTCATGCAGTACCACTGGGCATATGATAATCCTACAGAGGCGGGTCATAAAAAGCCTTGTAAGCTAAGGTACAGAATTTGGATTTTCTAAGAGCTATAGCAGAGAGTGAGCCATCTGCTGGGTGATGTGAACTGTAAGAGTCGGGTGAGAGGCAAGAGTGGAAAGCATTGCTAGGAAGCTACTACAGCAATCTAGAGGAAAGATGACAGTCTGGACTAGGCTGGTAATAGGAGGGATGGAAGAAAGTGGACTTATTTGAAATATACGTAGACTCTATAGGAATTACTAATGGATTAGATGTGTGGAACAAGGCACAGAGGATTCAAGAATACATTCTAGGTTTTGGCTTGTGCAAGTGGGAAGATAGTGATACCATTTACTGAAGTGGAACAACTAAATGAGAGGTGTATTTGGGGGATAAAGCTAAGTTTTGTTTTGGGTATGTTAAGTTTGAAATACCTGTTTGACATACAAGTAGAAAAAAGCATAGGCCTATATACATAGACAGAAAAAAAACTCTCTCTCTCTCTCTCTCTCTATATATATATATTCATACTTATCTATTAATCAATCTACCTCAGGAGTTCCATGGAAAAGTCAGAACTAGAGACAGAAATCACAAGAATCAGTATTACATACCCAGTATTCAAAGCTCTGACACATACACCCCTACCTTGTCCAACTGTTGAATTCCTGGTCATCCTTTAAAACCTAGTTCAGACATCATCTCCCAAGGTCTTCCCTGATCACCCGGAGTGAATCCCTTTCTCCCTTCTATTACGTGGGTATTTTGTGGGTACTTATATCTTTCCATTTACGACTGCACGGTAATTATTTGCTGACACATAAAGGCAGTGACCTCATTAGATTCATTTTGGTGGTCTTTTTTTTTTTTTAAGAGATGGGGGTCTCACTATGTTGCCCAGGCTGGATTCAAACTCCTGGGCTCAAGTGATCCTCCAGTCTCAGCCTCCTGAGTAGCTGGTACTACAGGCTTGTGCCACCAAGCCCCCTCACATTGGTCTTCTTCAACATTAACATTGTAAACTATGATGTGTCTGATAAAGTAGACTCTCAATAAATGTCAATTAAATTGAACTAAATTCATCAAACTCACAAAGTCAGAAGCAAAAGTTAAACTGACAAAGACAAAATGCTGCTAGGTGAGAATTAAAACTTCCACCATCGCGCGGGGGAACCATAAAAACAATCAAACCCTTTTTCTCCCTACATCTAAACTAATAAGTCTACAGACGCAGAAAAGGAGGACGAAGTTCTCTTATTTACAGAAAAAAAAAAAAGGAGTTGAGTGCAAAGTGCCTACAGTACTTATTCTCTCAATGACTAACATTATGACTATCTGCCCATAAAAAGATCTGCATAAAAAATGCTGCAGTGTGTCTATCACCAAACAATGTATCATTTATACTGCAAAAGTTGTAGAAGGAGGGTAGGCAGCTTATAAATACTCACCAGCAGACAGTGGGCAAAGTCAGGACCTCCCACTAGGCCAGTGAAATTTCCCAGCTGCTCAGCAAGAGCTAATAGTACCTCATCTTCATCATAAATTGTATCTGGAAGTGACAACAACAGGACTCATCAACATGGATAGCTCTCCCACAGCTGGACACTGACACAAAACTAGGAACAGATTCACTATGCGACCAGGAAGGTGACCCAGTCAAAATCCTAACAGCATTTTCTTTCTTCTCAACCGTCTTCCTGTATCTGCTTTGCACAACGAATTAGAAATTCATACTCCCGTATCAATTACTTTCAATAGCTAAATGGTTGATGTTTGAATATATCTAGCCACAACTAACAATATACTCTGTTCTGTTTCTTTTGCACAAAAAACACCTGGCTCATTTTAATGTGGGTAATAAACTCTAAAAAAGTCAGTGTTGAAAGCTACTGGAAAATGGAATGTCCCTACCTTTCTTTAAACAAAGATTCACATACCTGTAAGAAATGGCAACAATTCACTTCGGGTCCTTTCTACTCCAAGTGCTAGGGCAATTGTTGATAACTTCTTAATACTGTTGAGTCGGAGCTTCAGAAAAGAAAGTAGAAAGAAGAACAATGTAAAGAAACGGCTGAATTTAGATCAAAAGACAAAAGGTGCTAACAGGTGAAATTATGACACAGGGGTAAGAATGAAGATAACCTTTCATTTAGATTTTACTGTTAAGGAAGCTCATAAGGACTTCCAAAAAGAAGTGTAACTCGGCCTCACTAGCCGGCGGAGGATTTCCCAGGAGAAACACTCAGAAGGGACCGGAAGAGAAATGAAGGAAAGACAATACAACACCTAGGAAGTAAGATAATTTTAAAAAGAGAGCACTTTGGCAGTGGTGAAGCAGGTGAAACGGTTGAATACAACACCTGTGGTTTCAAAGAAAAGTTCCCACAGAGCGGATACACTACTCGTCCAGATTAATCGGCCATCCCACCCCCGCTTTCTACCCAACAAGCCGAGCCAGTTCCAAGCCGAGATGAAGGGATCCAGGGGCACTTCAAAGGGCTTCTGGGCATCCTGCGCCCCTCAGCCGCTCCAGCCCCGTCTCGGCCTGGCACCGCGCTTCTCCTGCTCCCTCGCCCAAGAGACGCGGCCACCTCACGGCCCGGATGGGGCGCCCAGGCGGGAAGCGGGTTCCCCGACAACCGCCCGGGAAGGGCAAGGCTCCGGGCGGACGCCTCAGGGGGTCCGAAGCAAGGTTACTAGAGAGGTACCCGGGAGGGTCGGGGCGTGTCACCACAGCCCCTCGCGGAGCATTCCCCGCCTCCCCTTCAAGTTTCTGCTACGAGTCCGACTCATTCAGTACCTCGGCCACCCCCACCGCGACGCAGGCCTTCCCCCTTCTCTACCACGCGACCAGCCGGTCTCGCCTCGGGTCCCCGGCCTCAGTCCAGTACCTGCACGTCTTCATTGCGGAGCTCGTCGATTAAAACCGCGATCGGGTATAGCGAATCATCTCCATCTCCACCCGCTGCTCCTGGGCCGGTCCCGAGCTCTGATGCGCCCGCCATGTTCTTTCTCCTCCTGCTGCTGGTCACCGCCTCCCGCCCCGCGCCCAGGCCCCGCCCCGCGCCCAGGCAGTAGGGACGAAGGCCGCCACGCTGGTTTAGCCGAAGTTGGGGAGCCGCGTTTCTGTCCCGATGATTAAGGCTCCCTTCTGACCCCCACTGCAGGAGTTGTAGGTCTGAACTCAAGAAGACGGGTGGGCTAAGAAAGCGAATGGAACCCCTGCGTCCTTTCCCCAGCCGAAAGAAACAGGGACAGGGATTCATCCAGCTCGTTGTAGTCTGAAGGAGCCAGGAACCTACCTGAATGATCTGCGCTGTGCCCTCTTAAGACTCAGGCGGACCAAAGAGAGTGCCCGAGGCCAGGAGGAAAAAGGCTTTAGCACCTCCCCTGACTTCTTCCTGGCCCTGAGCCACTGGATCTCCAGCCCTAATTTCTCCGCTCAGACTCAAACTTCCACAGAACCCCTCCACCTCTTCCCGCGGCTCTTTCTCCAGAATGGTATCTGGCTCCTGCTCCGTAAGACAAATAACGCGGGCGGTGAGAGAAAATGAACAGTGCTGTCCAAACTCCCCAGTCAATATTTTTTCCACGCAAGCTGTTAAAAACATGCTGCTCTCTTGTTTTTGTGTTTCTTTTCAGTTTGGTACTGGAATGGTGCCTTCTGTTGTATTTTCTTCCTCCCATTTTTTAGCTCTTTAGCATGCTAGAAGTACAACAATGAAGCAAAACTAGGACAAGCTTTAATCCTTCCAAATTGGGTGGGGTGGCTACTTTCTTGAGCAAGAAAACCCAAACTGGCCTCCCTAGACCTCCAAGAGTCCTCAGAGGCAGCAAGGGGAAGAGGTGGAGGTCTGGGAGCTCGTTCTTACAAACCTGAATGGAAAGTTTTCACTTACCCCTGTCAGGGTAGCACAGAATAATTAGAATGTTTTGTTTGTTTTAGACTGGAATTTAAGCAGCTTGGAGTGATAACTACATATGGTGATCACAAGCTCCGAAATGGTAATTCTATGTGCCTGATTAATAAAACTATAAATGCAGTGTAGGAGACAAACTTTTTTAAAACATGGGATTCTGAGGCCGAGGCGGGCGGATCACTTGAGGCCAGGAGTTCGAGACCAGCCTGGCCAACTTGGTGAAACCCTGTCTCCACTAAAAAATACAAAAATTAGCTGGGCTGGTGACGGGAGCCTGTAGTCCCAGCTACTCGGGAGGCTGACATGAGAATCGCTTGAGCCCGGGAGGCAGAGGTTGCAGTGAGCCAGGATCGCACCACTGTACTCCAATCTGGGCGGCAGAGTGAGACCCCGTCTCTAAAATAAATAAATAAATAAATAGCGTTCTTGGAAGTAAGCACAATAGAGCCTTTGAATGAATGAATGAAATAATGAATAAATAAATAAATAAATAAATAAATAAATAAATAAATAAATGGGGTTCTTGGAAGTAAGCACAATAGCTAGAGCCTTTGATAGTAATGAAAGTTTGGGAACCAGCAGACCTGAACAGTTTTTCTCAAATTATGTCTGCGAATGTATTCTCTAGGGTTTTAATTTTATTTTCATTTTCATATTTTTTAGATTTGTATAAGCATATTCTGAATTATTTGGGTGACCACCTTACAACCAAGTATTGCCACACAATTTCAGCACCCACATTTACATGTGTGTTTTAGTGCTGCTTTTATTGTTCTGGGATAATGAGAAAAGAACAGAGGTGGTTTTAAAATGACAATGATACTTTCATGCACAAAATGAAAGCCAAATGCATCATGAGATTGCACTATTTGGTAGTTGTAACAGAAAAATGGTGAGAAAATTAAGATATCAGGAGTCACTTGGTGGCATAGGCATGTTGAACACAAAAGAAGCTGAGCTATAGCAGGCAACACCATAGTAACAATACGACGGATGACAGTTTTAGCAAAATACATCATTTGTCACGTTAAATTACTATAATATTTTTAATTGAATAGTATTCATTTTGTGGTTTCATTTGTATTTAATTTGTAAATTTGTTGTGGTTTTTTTTTAGCTGTGTAAGAACTAGAAATAAAAGCACATTTTTCCTACTTTATATTCGTAAATTTAAATAACCACAGCATAATAAAAACAATTTAGCTAAACATGGTAACGCGTGCCTGTCTTCCCAGTTACTTGGGAGGCTGAGGTGGGAGGATCACTTGAGCCTAGGGGTTCATGACCATCCTAGACAACACAGCAAGACCCCCATCTCTAAAATAATAATAATAATGACTTAACTGAGAGTTTTCAGGATTTTAAAAAATTATTGTGTTGTGTGTGTGTGTGTGTGTGTTTAACAAACAGGGTCTTGCTGCGTTTCCCAGGCTGGAGTGCAGTGGCACAATCATAGCTCACTGTAACCTTAAACTCCTGGACTCAAGCAATCCTCCAGCCTCAGCCTCCTGAGTAGCTAGGACTATAGGCATGTGCCACCACATCCAGCTTCGTGTGTGTGTGTGCGTGTGTGTGTGTGTGTGTGTGTGTGTATGGAGACAGAGTCTCACCATGCTGCCCAGGCTAAAAATGGATTCATATATTTAATACTACCCAACTTGGAGAGACAGAGGGCTAAGAGGTTTTTTTAACTTAGTACTTTACCAGTTAGAAGATCAGAGGGGATTCCTGTAGGCATTGAGAGGAGGAATCTGTTTTCTTATACTTTATGTAAAAAGTCACCTGGGGCAGTGGTGCACATGATGGATCACTTGAGCTCACGGGTTCAAGACCAGCCATGGGCAGCATAGCAAAACCCCATCTCTAAAAAAAAAAAAAAAAAAACTTAGCAGGACGTGGTGGTGTGCACCTATAGTCCCAGCTACTCAGGAGGCTGAGGTGGGAGGATCACTTGAGCACATGAGGTTGAGGCTGCAGTGAGCTGAGGTCACACCACTGCGCTCCACCCTGGGTGAGAAAGCAAGACCCTGTCTCAAAAAAAAAAAAAAAAAAAGAGTCTTGGACAGGTGCAGTGGCTCACACCTGTAATCCCAGCACTTTGGGAGGCCGAGATAGGAGGATTGCTTAAGTCCAGGAGTTCAAGACCAGTCCTAGCAACATAGTGAGATCCCCATTCCTACAAATAAAACACAAAAATTAGCTGGGCCTGTAGTGCACGCCTAGTTTCAGCTACTCAGGAGGCTGAGGTGGGAGGATCACTTGAGCCTGGGAGGTTGAGGCTGCAGTGAGCTGTGACTGCCACTGCACTCCAGCCTAGGTGACAGAGTGAGACCCTGTCTCAAAAAAAAAAAAAATTAAAGTCTTCAGAAATAATAAAGGAAGCATGCACAGAGAGAAGCAGATTAAGTCAGTTCCACAGTACTGTTTTCGATATTAACTCAAGCTTAAGAGAGCCTTAATATGCTAACAAAAACTGGCACCTTGATGCTAAACTACTTTGTTTAAAATACAAATATGCTTTGCTTACCCAAGTACAATGAACTGGCGATTCAAGGAATAACTATGATTAAATATAAAATCACAAGCTGAGAAAATAGGCCCCAGAAAATTGCCTGGTTTGAGAGTCATCAATTTTGGACTTCAGTTCCCATCTCTGTCTCTGACTCATCATGACCTACCTCTCCCAGTGCCTCAATCCCACCTTCCACCCCCTAACACCCCATAAAATGGAGCTAACCACCTCTTGTTCCTGCTTGAGTTGCTGTGATGCTATGAGAATGAAACAGGTAATAAACATGGAGATGCTAATAAATCCTTCAATGAAGGTGATTAAAACAGACTGCAGCAGAAAAAAAGGCTAGTTCAAAACCTGAGCCAAATTCTGAGGCTGACCGTCTGAATCACTTAAGATGCCTGTTAAAAATGCAGATTTCTGGCCTCCAACCCAGACCTACTGAATTAGAGTCCTTAAGAATGGGGCCAGATGGTTTACAGTGTCCACTGGGTGATTCTAGTGTGCATTGATACTTGAAAACCATTGATTTTAAAAGTTCATCTGGAAAAGTAATTTCCATGTCAATAAACAAGCATCTGCTCAGGTAGAGTCTGAAAGTCTTTGGAGGCCACCCGTGTCCAGAAGAAATCAAATGACTTATCAATAAGCAATTCTGAATCTATAGGCTGTGGGTTTTGCCAGATTCAAAAGATGGTCCCACAGCCTGAGCAACAAAGCAAGACCCTGTCTCTACCAGAAAAAAAAAAGAAAAAGAAAGAAAATAGCAGAGTCCGCTGGCACACCTGTAGGCCCAGCTGCTTAGGAGGCTGAGGTGAGATGATCACTTGAGCCCAGGTGTTCGAGGCTACAGTGAGCTATGATCACATCACTACATTCCAGCCTGGGAATAGAGCCAGACCCTGTCTCTAAAAAATAAATAAATAAAATAAAAAGGATTGTCCCTCTTTTGCTGGACTTCTGGAATTTAGCCAAGCACTACCAATACAGTACTGTGGCACTGAGGTATTTCCATATCCTGTCTCTATTCCTCCCTCAGGTCTCCTCTCCACTTCCCACACACACCCCACAAGAAACTAATAACCAGGGAATGCCAGAGGCAACAGCTGAGATTAGGTTGAGGATTTAAGGCAGCCCTCAGGTAACAAGGTGACAGCCTCAGTACAAAAGCACTGAGTTCTGACACCCACATGCAGTTCACTCATCCAGTGTGGATCAAAGGAAGACTGAGTTAGATTTGCCCGGTTCCTATAAGACAAAGCATCAAGAATATAGGAAGTACAGGCAGATGGGATCGACGGCCATCAACTCTTGCTCACATTAACAGCTCTCAAAGTCACATCAGAAAACCATCAGTCATTGGCCGGGCGTGGTGGCTCATGCCTGTAATCCCAGCACTGTGGGAGGCCGAGGAGGGTGGATCACCTGAGGTCAGGAGTTTGAGGCCAGCCTGGCCAACATAGTGAAACCCTGTCTCTACTAAAAATGCAAAAATTAGCCAGGTGTGGTGGTGCATGCCTGTAATCCCAGATACTCAGGAGGCTGAGGCAGGAGAATCGCTTGAACCCAGGAGGCAGATGTTGTGGTGAGCCGAGATAGCGCCACTGGGAAAAAGAAAAGCATCAGTCATGAGGATCGAAGTGACATCACTGTCATCTTCTCTGGCCCCTTGCCTCAAGTTTACTAAACTTGCGTCTCCCTTACAGCCAAAGAGCTTTACAAATAGGTTCTCATTCAAATGCTGATCTGCTCCACAGTCACCCCACTGTGTGAGAAGGCCAAGTGTAGGAGACCTGTAAGTGTCTCAGGGCAGATTCAGACTGTTGTCCCCCTGAAAGGGACATCAAGGGAGTGGTGGATGACAGGGGCGGGAAACCTGAGGCACACGGAAGCATTTTCCAACTGTCTTCATTTGGCAAGATGACCCTGGTAAACTGATTCCGAGGGCTGTACTTAATTCATCGCAAAGTAGTGATTATCACCATAGCATTAATGATATTTTAAATTTGTATTTATGCAAAGTATGTCACCATTCTGTGGAACTCAAATATTTTCCCTTCAATTTCAGCTCAATATTTTAGCCTTCTTTTTCTTCTGTGTTTTCTTCATGGCAAATTTTTAATCTCATTTTTATGGGTGGGAATACCCCAACAAAGAGAAAGGGACTTTACCTGATGTCCCAATAAATCAGAAGCAGGTGCAGAACTCATAATCAGGGATTATTGCTACTCCCTCCTCCATCTCCTACCTCTGTTCTACAGCTCATCACCACATATAACAAAGGTATTGGATTTCCAAGGCAAACTTTGCTTGAATTCTTGGGAAGAGCAAATCAAAGAAATAGGACAGCCGGGCAAGGTGGTGAGGTGGCTCATGCCTGTAATCCCAGCACTTTGGGAAGTCCAGGTGGGCAGATCTCTGGAGCTCAGGAGTTTGAGACCAGCCTAGGCAACATGGTAAAACCTCATCTCTACAAAAAATACAAAAATTAGCCGGGCACAGAGGTGCCTGACTGTAGTACCAGTTATTTGGGAGGGTGAGGTGGGAGAATCGCTTGAGCCTGGGAGGCAGAGGCTGCAGTTAGCCATGATTGCACCACTGCACTCCAGCCTGGGCAATATAGCAAGAAAAAAGAAAAAGAAAGAGGACACTCAGTTACCTTTCACAATAGTACATACAATGGTTAGGAGAGTATACTCTGGAGTCAGGAAGATGTAGATTGAAATCCCACCTCTACCAATTACTAGCTGTGTGACTTTGGGCAAATAACCTATCCTCTCTGAATCTTGGTTTCTACATTTATACGGTGGGGCTGTTGAGCTTACCTCATGTGGTTGTTAAAAAGATTAAATAATTCATATAAAGTGCATAGGTAGTGCCTGGCAAGAGAAAGCACTCAAATACTATCCATTAACAGTTTTTATCTACTGAGGAAGTGGGAGCAAATAGGAAAATATTGCAATCAATTGAACTTTGGCAACAGAAAGGACCCACATGAAAGAATGAAAGAGGTACATGACTTACAGAGTCAGAATACCTGTTCCAGAAGATTTTTTTCATCGGTAAAATAGAGCTTTTACCTCTCAGACTTGTGAGGAGTGAGAGTCATGATGAAAGGTGCTTTGTTAGTGGAAAGCACCATGCAGATGTTAGAAGTTGTGTTATTTAGGCCGGGTGCGGTGGCTCACGCCTGTAATCTCAGCACTCTGGGAGGCCGAGGCAGGCGGATCACGAGGTCAGGAGATCGAGACCATCCTGGCTAACATAGTGAAACTCCCTCTCTACTTAAAAAAAAAAAAATACAGAAGTTGTATTATTTATTACAAAGGGCTCACTGAATCTGATGCCCATGCCAAACACAAGAGAGTACATCTGGAGACTATGTTCAAGGTGTACAGGCCCCAGTTCTCTAAGAACAGCAGTCAGGATTAGTATCTCCTTTAGCCACAATGGTAGATTTTTTTTTTGTTTCCTGAGACTGAGTCTTGCTTTGTTGCCCAGGCTGTAGTACAATGGGGCAATCTCAGCTCACTGCAACTTCCACCTCCCGGGTCCAAGTGATTCTTCTGCCTCAGCCTCCCAAGTAGCTGGGACTACAGGCATGTGCCACCATGCCTGGCTAATTTTTGTATTTTTAGTAGAGACGGGGTTTCACCATGTTCGCCAGGCTGCTCTCAAACTCCTGAACTCAGGTGATTCGCCTGCCTTCGCCTCCCAAAGTGCTGGGATTATGGGCGTCACAAGGGTAGATTTAAGCTACGGAAAACCTGAAGATAAACAGGCACAGTGACCTTTCTCAAAAGCCTTAGGCCTTTGAGTCCTATTAAAGGGCTCCAGTGTTCTCAGGCCAGAACCCCCATTATCTTGCCAGGGGCCTATATACCACTCGGAAAAAAATGTTTTGTTATGGTGTTAAGTGAAAAAGCATAGCTCCTAAATGGCTAATACGAAAATCATCTTTTGTTTTTGCTTTTTTTTTTTTTTGAGACAGGGTCTCATTCTGTTACCCAGTCTGGAGTGCAGTAGCATGATCACGGCTCGCTGCAGCCTCGATCTCCTGGGCTCAGGTGATCCTCCCACCTTAGCCTCCCAAGTAGTTGGGATGACAAGTGTATGTCACCATGCCTGGCTAATTTTTGTATTTTTTTTGTAGAGACAGGGTTTGGCCACATTGCCCAGGCTGGTCTTAAACTCCTGGGCTTGTCAAGCAATCAGCCCATCTCGGCCTCCCAAAGTGCTGGGATTACAGGCATGAGCCACCATACCAAGCCATATCTTATTAAAAAAAAAAAAAAAAAAAAAAAAGCAGCACGGAGGCCGGGCGCCATGGCTCATTCCAGCACTCTAGGAGGCCGAGGCAGGCAGATCACCTAAGGTCGGGAGTTTGAGACCAGCCTGACCAACATGAAGAAACCCCATCTCTACTAAAAATATGAAATTAGCCAGGCGTGGTGGCGCATGCCTGTAATCCCAGCTACTTGGGAGGCTGAGGCAGGAGAATTGCTTGAACCCAGGAGGCACAGATTGCGGTGAGCCGAGATTGCACCATTGCACTCCAGCCTGGGCAACAAGAGTGAAACTCCGTCTCCAAAAAACAAAACAAAACAAACAAAAAGGCAAGGGCCAGAATAGTGTACATAGTATCTTACCATTTGTGTAAAATAGAATGCACACACGTGCTTGTATATGTACCAAAAAACTCTAGAAGGACACATGTGATGAATAACGTTTGGTTGTTTATGGCAAGGTAACAGGGTGCCTGGGGAACAGAGATGGAAGGGAATTTTTTCAGTGTGCAGCATATCCATTTGTACTTTGTCTAAACTCCAGATTTTACTTAAATTTCACCCATTTTTCCACTAATATCCTTTTTCTATTGCAGGACTCACTCCAGAATACCACAATGCATTTAGGCTTTTTGAATTTTGAACCATGAAGATTATTACCTATTGAAACAAGCAAACCTTTTAGTTCTTGGTTTACCATACTACAGACTGTGCTCTCTGCCTGGCCCTGGCTGTCTTTCCTGTGGCATCCATAGATGTGTATGATAAGTAACTCCTGCCCAGCTATTCCCTGTGTATCTCTGCTATATCCACAGGGTAGAGTCCAGATTTCTTTATTGTCTCTCATTTTTGTAGGCCTCTTATCACCATGTCGTTTTTTAAAAGAAAAAAAATAAAGAGACAGGGTCTCACCATGTTGCCCAGGTTGGTCTTGAACTCCTGGGCTCAGGCAGTCCTCTCCACTCAGCCTCTCAAAGTGCTGGGATTACAGGCATGAGCCACCACGCCCGGCCACTTATCATCATGTCTTGTACTAGACCTGGCCAACATAAATAGTAGATTTCAGCAGCTAGGCACACTGCCCCCAGGATCCAACTAGACAGAGGTTTGATTTAGCAACAGCAGGGCCAACTTAAAATATTCCTGTTCCCCTGAAAGCTTTTGCCCTTGGTCTCCCCTGAAGATGGTATTCTTCCCCACTTCCTTTTCTGATCTACTCAGCAGAACTGGTAGGAGAAAAGTCACAGGAGTAAGAAGGGACCAGTGCCAAGATCCCCTGGACACGAAAGTCACATTTCGGCAGAAATCCAGCTGGGACTGTAATCAGAAACTGGAATTTCCACTAACTTCTAGGATTTCAGGAAATCAACTCCCTCTCTGATTTAGCTATGTGGTTAAAATTAGCTGGAGGCCCCCAGTGTTCTAGAAAAGCCCCTACAAACACTTCATGTACCAGCTGCATACTGTTCTACTAGGACACTCTCCAGGCTGTGGTTACTGGAAGTGGACTAAGAAGGTGATAAAAAACTGAAACAAGTGCCTGTAGTCCCAGCTACTCAGGAGGCTGAGGCGGGAGGATCACTTAAGCCCGGGAGTTTGAGGCCAGCCTGGGCAACATAGTGAGACCCCATCTCTAAATAAATAAATAACTTATTTTTCATAAAGTGAAACAACTTTGACTACATCCTGTTCTCATCTCTGCCTACTGACTCCGTCTAGGTTCCCCCAACATATCATCCAAAAAAGACTGTAGACTTCAAAGAGGTTATGAAATAGGGACTATAAGTCACGGTTAAAAGAGCGGCTCAGGCGTCAGACTGCTTGGGTTTGAATTGCAGGTCTACCATTTTCTACCTAGGTGATCTTGGGCAAGACACTTAATAATATCTCCAAGCATCAGTTTCCCCATCTATAAAAGGAGGTTAATAATAGTTATTGACTTCATAAGGTTGTTGTGACGACTATGTGAGAAAAAAGCAACTTAAAGCATTCCTGACGTAAGTGGGGCGTGGTGCAGACACCTGCATTTCCCAGCCATCCAGGAGCCTAGGTGGGAGGATCACTTGGCCCAGAAGTTTGAGGCTCACTGCAAAATAAATAAATAAATAACAAAAAATAAATAAAAATAAAAATCTTGACATATAGTAAAGTTTAATATGTTAGCTATTATTCATGATTCCTCCACAGAGCAAATCTGACAATCTAGAGGGTGTATTAAAAAAACAAAAACCAAGGCTGGACATAGTGGTTCACGCCTATAATCCCAGCACTTTGGGAGGCTGAGGCGGGCAGATCACCAGAGGTCAGGAGTTTGAGACCAGCCTGGCCAACATGGTGAAACACCATCTCCACTAAAAATACAAAAGTTAGCCAGGCGTGGTGGCGTACCTGTAATCCCAGCTACTCAGGAGGCTGAGGCAGGAGAATCGCTTGAACCCAGGAGGTGGAGCTTGCAGTGAGACCAGATCATGCTACCGCACTCCAACCTGGGCAACAGAGCGAGACTCTATCTCAAAAAACAAAAACAAAACAAAACAAAAACCAAACCAACAAACAAAATACCCTCCTAAACCTAAAACCAGTACAGTCCCACATATTTCTAAGATTGAGCTCAAAGGAGGGTATCAGGAGTTAACAATCATGAAGAATAGAATCCCCTTCTATATCTGGCAGAGCTGACCTTGTTCGTTCCTCAAGGCCCAAATCTGGTCTAGGTGGTTACCCTACACTTTCAAAATGCAAATTCTACTTCCTTCTGTAAATGTGTGCTTTTCAACCCATGGCCTAGGCATGGGGAGTAAAGGTATTCTAAGGCCTTTCACTTTACTGGGCTCAGGCCCTGCTAAATGCTTCTACTTTCCCTTGAGTTACTGTGCCATGGATAATGAATTAGCATCTGAAGGACAGAACCTTGGACTTTGAAAAATCTTTTGAGTTGCTTTTGGCACTATCAATAAATTACCAGAGGTAAAGTTAGGACTTTGTATGTGATGTGGTTTGCTCATATTTGGAACCCTGAAAATGGGCAGATGGCTGGTAATTGCCACTAAGAGTAGCTGCTTCCTCCTCCCAACTAAACACATTTTATGTTACCTATGAACACCATCATAGTCATGCCAAACAGAACTGAAATTAGCTGAGAATTGACTTAAGAATCCTCGACCAGTAGGGAGTCACTGCTGTGATGGACAATTCACCCCTTGGTTAGTTACGGACATAATTTTCTCCAGGAAATTTTTGCAATTATAGCAATACAAGAGTGCAATGCAGAAATACAGATTCTAAAGAAATGCAATGAAGATATTTCAACTTACACTGGAATTACATCAAAAACTGACATGAACTAAATTGCTGGAGGGAAAGGAGGGCTGAGATTTTAGTGAGAATAGGATGCCCTCTGCTGGACATTAGGGAAGACTTATGACAGCATGGCAGACAAGGTTGCCTTAAGCTGTCAGAGACAGTGATACTTGGGAGTAAAACAAAAACAAAACAAGAAAACTTTGGCAATAAATTTACACTTTGGTGCTGTTTTCTAGAATATTCCCAGTAATCACAGACTATGAGAACACAAATATAAAAAAAAAATGCAAGGAAAGGGGTGAGTTTTAAAGAATCCATAACATTCTTTCATACATGTAGCACTGAAAAAACAGCCTTCTTTTCTACATACCTCCACAAATATTTCACTGGCAAGGAAAAAATGGGAGCACATTATAGGAAATACCAGGGAGGCTTAGAGACACAGTAACAGGGAGACAAGAAAGAGGTGAGACCAACTCCTGAATGGTACATGGTATCTTGTTGTTGGTTGAGTGAACACATTTCACGTCATTTCTCCCCAAATGAGATTAACCTTTGCTCTCGTGTCTGAGGGCAGTGGCAGCAGCTCAAGAGAAGCTCTCTCTGCAAAGACCAGAAGCAGACTAACAAAGGTAAAATAGGGTCTTTACTGTGCTTCTGTCAAATAAACAGAGCTACTTATATTTTAAAGCCAAACAAAGCAGGCTTCCCCAGTGCGTTGAGTAGAAGGGCTTAATATTCACACCTTCTTTTTTTTTTACACCCATTGTTCTACTCAAGGCAGCCATAGGTCCTTACCTGAGCAGGCCAAGTAGTGTCAAGCAATAAGGTTGAATCTGAAGGCCAGGCAGTATTCCTGAAGGGCAAGTCGGCCTGCTCAAGCCTCTTCTACCACCTGATCAATCATTCAATCAAATGACACTGAATAGGTCTGCAATTGCCAAAATTATAGTCATTCATTCTTTTTTTCCAGATGAGTTGTCATTCAGTGTACTGAGATGAGAGGATCAATGGGAAGAGAACTACAGTTAATTATTAACATCCATTAGCGTACTTCAGTATCATATTAGTTAATTGTTTCCCAGAAAGCAGGGCCCAGAGGGAATGGGAGAGAGGGCAGGTAAGGTTTGATGGGCTGGAGTAGACAGAGAAATAGGTCTGTGGTGGGGAAGAGGCCTAGATGAAGGCCTGGGTAACCAGGAGTCACAATTAGAAAAGGACACCAAATATGTTGCCTGTTTAATTACCTTTGATTTTTTGGTGTGATTGTTAGTCTCTCAGTCTTTATCCAGAGCAGTGGTGTTCAACTCTAGCTACCTGTTAGCTAGATCACCTGGAGAGTTTAAAAAAAAACATAATGGATGCCTGGGCCCACCCTCGACCACAAACTCAGAATTCCTGGGTGGTCAACCAGATAGTGGCAATTTTCTTTTCTTTTCTTTTTTTTTTTTTTTGAGACAGAGTTTCGCTCTTGTTGCCCAGGCTGGAGTGCAAGGATGCTACCTTGGTTCGCCGCAACCTCCGCCTCCCAGATTCAAGCGATTCTCCTGCCTCAGCCTACTGAGTAGCTGGGATTACAGGCATGCGCCACCACGCCCGACTAATTTTGTATTTTTAGTAGAGACAGGGTTTCTCCATGTTGGTCAGGCTGGTCTCGAACTCCCGACCTCAGGTGATCCGCCCACCACAGCCTCCCAAAGTGTTGGGATTACAGGTGTGAGCCACCGCGGCCGGCCAATAGTGGCAAATTTTTTAATGATCCCCAGATTCTGTCTCGTGTAGCTCCATTGGAGAACTGCTGCTTTACAGGTCACAGCTTCTTCAGCAGTGGGTACCAGGCTGTTGAAGCAGCTAACCAATCAACCAAAAACGCACGCCCTTCTCATTTGGCAACTTGCAATTCCCGAGTTAAGATGATCAGTCAAAGGCCAAGGGCACCACTTGTCAAATACAGTTTGTGCGAGAGTGAAGGTCAAGAGAGCTCTTGTAAGGCGAGTATGCCTGAAATCCATGGCTGAAGGTCTGCAAAAAACCCTTGTCAGAGGAAGTTTGTCACAAATCACCCAATCTTTTGGCTGTTGGGACCACCAAGAAGTTGCCTCATTTATATACTTTTCTTTCTTTTAATTATATATGTATATTTTTACATATAGAGGCGGGGTGGGGTCAAGCTTTATTGCCCAGGCTGATTTCAAACTCCTGGACTCAAACGATCCTCCCACCTCAGCCTCCCAAAGTGTTGGGATTACAGGTGTGAGCCCCCTCATCCAGCCAACTTACATACTTTCATCTCTAGGCATGTAATGACAGAACAAGCCCAGAAACCAGAGGCAAAACCAAAAACAAACAAAAAGCCCTACCACCTAAAGTATTTTATGAGAATTCACTGAAAAAAAGGGAAAAAAAAGCTCATACTCAGGTAAAATGTTATTTAAACCCAATTGTTAATTTTAACAGACTATTTATTCTACCAACCTACAACTGGAAATTCCCAGTCTTTCCTTGTCACTACAATTCCATAATCTCACATCCCTAATCTAAATTTCCTACATTATATTTCTCACGTGTTGGTTATCATTTGTTTAAATGTCAGGTCTATGCTGAATCCACAGCTGAAGAGAGCCAAAACAGCTTTCAGTTTTAAAATATCCCTTGCTACTTAATATTATTCAATCTGATGTATGGCTACGGTCATCTTGCAGCCAGACTTCCTTTTCCTAGCAGGACATGTAGCTGGTAGGGCCCGATCACCTCCTCACACCTGGAGGAGAGGCTTTCTGACCCAAACTTGTTCAGAAGGCCTCCTGGGCTAGGTCCGACCCTCTAAAAGCAAGTCACAATAGGAATATTCAATAAAGGTACCCTTTCTCTCTTTTTAGAAGCTACCCTTCTAAAATGCTTTTGTAAAGAAGCACTTGTATTTCAGGAGAATTGGCGAAATATAAACATTCATATCTTCCAAATTGCCCTTTTTGAGTACTACAGGCAGGATTTATAATTTGCCGTTTTTTTTTTTGTTTTGTTTTTTGTTTTTTTTGAGACAGAGTCTTGCTCCGTCACCCAGGTTAGAGTGCAGTGGCGTGATCTTGGCTCACTGCAACCTCCACCTCCTGGGTTCAAGCGATTCTCATGTCTCAGCCTCCCAAGTAGCTGGGATTACAGGCACCCACCATCATGCCCAGCTAATTTTTGTATTTTTGTAGAGATGGGGGTTTCACCGTGTAGGCCAGGCTGGTCTCGAACTCTTGACCTCAAGTGATCTGCCCGCCTCAGCCTCCCAAAGTGTTGGAATTACAAGCATGAGCCACCATGTCCGGCCAACTTGCCATATTTTCTATGGTCTAATCCATGCCAAGTTGAGAGCAACAGTTTGTACATTAGTCCCAGGTCTCTTTTTGCTTTTCTTTCTTCATTGTCAATAAAAATATACAGTACCAAAATGTTCAGGGAACCACGCTGAGCACCGGGAATACATAGCAGTGTGATGTGGTCTTTGCCCCTCATATGCCAACAATGGCCTTGCGAGACAGGGTCGCATGGTTTATATGTTACGGTTCTATGCCATTATTAAGGACACTGGGTAATCAAGAAGGCTCAGAAAAGAATGTAATCAAAGAGTCTGAAGTCTAGAAAGCCTTCTTAGAAAAAGGAGACTCAGCCCTAAAAGTAACAGTAACAAATAGGGAGAAAGATGACATTCTAGACAAGGGAAAATAAATTAAAGTTGTGGACTTCTCCTTCCTGGAATTACACTAATAAAAGCATCCTTTCTTCAAACAATTTGGGAGAAATAAATCAAACCAAGTTAAGGGCATCTGGGGTCCTATAGGAAGAATAATAATAACCAACGGCACAACACCAGATGGCTGCTAGAAGTTATAGGGTATAAAGTCCATGGCATAACAAGGACATTAGGAATTCATTTACAAAAAAAAATTTATTCCAGCTGGGTGCAGTGGTGCATGCCTGTAGTCCTAGCTACTTAAGAGGTTGAGGCAGGAGGACTGTTTGTTGTTTAAGGCCAGCCTGAACAATGTAACACATGCCATTTCTAAAATATAAAAATTAAAAAAAATTTATTCCTTCTGACAACCCCAACAAAGGGGGAAATTACCTAAGTGTTAGATATAACTGGATTAGGATTTCTAAGAAAATTAGACTCTCACAGTCCAGTGATTCTCATTCCAAAAACTTAAGATGGATCCAGGACTTCATCTCTTTTAGGTACAATGTTCATGTATTGAGTAATTCCTTTTAATTTTTATTCATTTTTTATTATTTTTTTTTTAGATGGAGTCTCACTCTTGTTGCCCAGGCTGGAGTGGAATGGTGCAATCTTGGCTCACTGCAACCTCCACCTCCCAGGTTCAAGTGATTCTCCTGCCTCAGCCTCCCAAGTAGCTGGGATTACAGGCATGCGCCACTACGCCCAGCTATTTTGTATTTTTAGTAGAGACGTGGTTTCACCATGTTGGTCAGGCTGGTCTCGAACTCCTGACCTCAAATGATCCACCCGTCTCGGCATCCCACAGTGCTGTGATAACAGGCGTGAGCCACTACGCCTGGCCCATATATTAATTCCTACTGTGCGTGGTTTTAACATAGTTAAAATAAAACTAATCCTCACTGGGTTTCCCAAAGTCTTCTTCTAAAGTTTTCAGAATAAACATTCTGGGATATTTGGCCTGTAGAAGGCAGGTCTCCACACTGAGGAATAGGGCTGGAGTCAGGGAGAAAGGACTTGAGCTCCTTCAGTTTCCAATTTCCAAGAAAGATTTAAAAGCAAAAGAGAAAATGTCACATTAAGAAAAAGAAAATCAAACTGCTACAATTTATTTAACTCTTTCTTTCACAGGAAATATAAGTATGTAATGTAAACACCGACACGTGAAATAAAGTACAAGGATCAGGAAGACAAGTGAATTGGACAATACTCTTGCTTTAACACTTTACTGCTTCCTGATTTCATTTGCAGCATGAATCACCTGGTTATACAGACTGGCAGAAGGCAACATTCAGATTTACAGATACACCAGAAAGCCTCTGAAATCCAACGATGCCATACGGAAGTCTGATCTTTCTGTTGCAAAAAAAATTAAAGCTGGGCACATGTCCATTTATCCATTTACCCAAGGCATTTAATGTAGGAGCATAAGAATGCACTGATTAACACGTGAGCTTTAATATGCTTGTGGAGGCCAAGATTAAATTGTACCTCTTCTCCCTCTTCAGAGAAAATAAAATTAACCAAATTAAAAGCAGAGCTGCCTGATACTAGCCAGAAGACTACATAATCACAGTGAATTCTTATTTCAATAAATCCCAGGAAATGCAAAACACAATAAATGATTGCCACTGGAGCTTTGCCCAAATGGTCACCGTAGACCTCATGCTGCAGAATCATATCAGGTTTTCAAGGTTCTTTCCTAGAACTCCAAAGTTGGAAAAATGACCCAGATAAATGATTGGGATAAAGACCCATCATGATTTAAAACAAAGGGTCTATTTCCAAACTTGAATTCGGTAATAAAGAGTATGGGCTGCAATTTTCTGTGATTATCTCAAAAAATTAAAATAACCTGTCTTCTTTCTTATCAGATGACACCTACCAGGTAGGAGGTAAATTTTGGTAGCAGATGCCTACCGTGCAGACTGGTTCAGTAATGGTACTCAGCATCACAAGATTTGGGGATTCAGATAAGGCTGCTTTAGAGCTAGAAATCAGAGAACCATGCATTTGCCAAGTATACCTACTCCCTCACTCACCCCATGATCAAAGGCTATTAAAAATTATCTGGGCCGGGTGCGGTGGCTCATGCCTGTAATCCTAGCACTTTAGGAGGCCGAGGCGGGATGATTACAAGGTCAGGAGTTTAAGACCAGCCTGGCCAACATGGTAAAACCCCACCTCTACTAAAAATACAAAAATTAGCTGAGTGCGGTGGTGGTGTGTGCCTGTAATCCCAGCTACTCAGGAGGCTGAAGCAGGAGAATTGCTTGAACCCGGGAGACAGAGGTTGCAGTGAGCTGAGGTCGTGCCATTGTGTTCCAACCTGGGCGACAGAGCAAGACTCTGTCTCGGGGAAAAAAAATAATAATCTGTAGTCCCACATCCCTCTATACTCCACAATCTATGGAGAAATAAGTATCTTGCATGCTTCCTCCTTTTGGCAAGCAGAACAGTCAGTGCAGGCTGAACACTGCTTTTTTGAGGGAGAACTGCTACTCTGAGCAGGTGTGTTGAAACTGTTTTTCCCAGGCAAAGCTATCCTTCCTATACTAAAAAGTGATGGAGATTTTTTAAAATGTGTTTATAAAATATCACATGAAAACACCTTCACAACAAAAAACATTCATTTCTATATTCCTTACCTATAACATTTGGCACAGCGTTCTGCCATGTATTGTGCTCTCACTAAAGACATACATAGAACAGAGAGATCCAAAATCAGGTTTTAAAAGTGATAGGAACTGATATTTCCAAGGAATCCCTGCATCAGTCCTGGCCTTTCTTTGCGCTATATTATAATTAAGGTTTTGTTTTTTTAAAAAAAAAAAAAAACAAGATGACAAAACAGATAAAACAGCATTATACTACTTTGATTAGAAAAAAGCCATTCATCACAGATGGACCTCCATTCCTGGATTCTTATTTACCTCTGGGAAACATAGAGGGCCTTAGCTACTGTGAAGAACAGCACATTATTACTGCAAGTAAGGCAAATGTTTCACTTAAAATTCTCTGTCCTGTAGTCAGATCATATGTGCTAGTTTTACACTGGAAAATAGTAATCAAGAATTGAGAATTAAATGCCAGAGATCTTTCAAGCAAGGGGGAGCCCAGTCTATCCTCACACACTCCCCAGTTATTGTTCTGTACTGTCTAGACCTATTACCTCTCCAGCGCTTCAACTCCGTCTCTGATATTCCTGCAGAGGAGATCTCAAAGAGGAGCTTTTTAATATTGTAACTAGCCATTTCTTCTGTTATCACTTCTTTTCTTCTCTCTTGGCACCAGTTCCTATTAGAATGCCCTTCTCTTTGAAAATGAAAGATGGGGCTGGGTGCGGTGGCTCACGCCTGTAATACCAGCACTTTGGGAGGCTGAGGCGGGTGGATGACCTGAGGTCAGGAGTCCAAGACCAGCCTGGCCAACATGGTGAAACTCCAACTCTACTAAAAATACATAAATTAGCTGGGCATGATGGCGCATGCCTGTAATCCCAGCTACTCGGGTGGCTGAGGCATGAGAATTGCTTCAACCTGGGAGGCAGAGGTTGCAGCGAGCCGAGATCGCGCCACTGCACTCCAGCATGGGCGACAGAATGAGACTCTGTCTCAAAAAAAAAAAGAAAAATGAAAGATGGAACTTCTGAAAAATAGATTCATCCTATTTGCAGATATTCAGATCAGTTACCCTTAGGGAAATAAGGCACCTATAATGTGACCCCAGATTGACTACAGGAATAGTACTGATATTTGGATCCTGTGTGGCTGCAAAAGAACATGACTTCCAAACAGAAGCACTACTTTCCTGCCACAGGTCAGGCTGCATCACACAGCACTGCTGTGCTGGTCTAACACACAGGCAGACTGGAGGCTCCAAAGAACTCAAATACAGACACAATTCTTCCTTAAAATAGAAAGTTACAATATCAGTTAGGTCTCTGGTTAACCTCATCAGTCCTTTCAAGTAATGTTTTCATGGTTGAGTGAGGAATATGGAGGAGCAATAGATGAGAGTAAGGAAACCTGGGTTCCAGTCCCAGCTCTATTACTTACTGGCTGTGTGACCTTAGGCAACTAACTATCTTTACCTCCCCTCACTCCCCACCCGCAGCCTGTTTCCTTATCTGTAAAATGGGGATAAAAATCACCTGCCTTGTCTACCACATGTTGTGACTGTGAGGATCAAACGAGATGCTGTGAAAGTGCCTTGTAAACTGAAGTACTGACTGTAAAGGCTTTTAAAGTAATAGTATACACTTATCACATTTTAATTAGGTCCTTATCATTGCCTATTTGACTAGAAGTGCCCCATGCAGGATGTGCC
The DNA here is from genome assembly GCF_000001405.40 of Homo sapiens. NCBI lineage: Eukaryota > Metazoa > Chordata > Mammalia > Primates > Hominidae > Homo > Homo sapiens. The sequence continues at coordinate 111,785,431 of NC_000011.10, forward strand.
TCACAACAGACAGAACTAAAAAATAGGTGCTATAAATATACACTGATCCTTTTCACTGGGGGTGGTTAAAAAAAAAGGAAAATTCTTAATTTCCTCAGCAATGGCCTCAGATTACATTACTTAAAAATGTGATGTCATCCAAATGTATCAATTGATAGAATTTTCTCCAAATATGTCCTATACAGTTGTAGTTTTGTCTGTTGATATCTTCACATGGAGGAGTCTAGAATTCAAAAAATAGCATGCTAAAACTGAACAAAAAAGCAATACAACCTTATAGTTACAGTTGGTTGTAAAGGAAATGAAAATTAGAGGCATCATTATAATAAAATTAGGTCACAGTTCCTCAAATGGTCACCTTTTTCCTGAGATAGCTCCAGGACAGGGTCCTAGTCCTGTGAAGTGCTTTAAAGAAGCTTAGTCTTGCTGGAGGTGAAAAGGACATGTGGGTTGGCAACTAGGCTGTGTTCATTTTCAGCATGAGGATTTCAATAAGAAGGTCTGCTAGGAGCTGCCAAACAGCTTTGGTGGAGAAGCCCATATGGCCTAAGAGAGGCTTGCTAGTTCTCAGATGCCAGGCCAGAGTGTGGAGAACAGCTTATCACAGCCATCCAGTACCAGGATTTTCAATTCTTCCTGTAAGTTGGTTCTGCTCTTCTCCGGTCTAGTAAATAATTGAACAGAGGAAAAACAATGAGATGTGGAGCAATATATCTATCTGTGCTTTAGGGCCTTTCTCTGCCTAGCTGCAAAAAGTTTACATGCAGAACAGAGACACACACAGGGAGCAAATGTGACTTTGATTAGACTTTGAAATAGACTTTGACTAGCCCAGAGCACCCAGATTCCAGTATTCATGTCAGAAGACCTTTATTACAAATGTTACAGGCGATGACTTGCAGGGAGTCAGGTCACTGGAATCAATAGTTAACAAGATGGTTGTCCTTTGGGGCCACAGGTGTGTTGCTAACCTCCACTTTTCTTCCTGATTTGCTTTGCTTTCCGGGGTTTGAGGATGGTGTAGTTTACGTACACTGTATACTGATCTGACAGGAAGGGGACATAGAATGCCCGCAGCAGCTTTGAAGATCTGAAAAACAAGGGATAAAAAAAAGAATTTTATCACTTGGGAGAATTTACTAATGGTACTAAATGTGATTAAAATAAATAAACTAATCTGTAGTAAGGATTATATTTTATTCAAGTGGCACAGAAAAGCCTATTATTTCGGTACTAGATCACGATAAAAGACTTAATCAAGGCCGAGTACCTTGTCACCTAAACGAAAATTTATTATTGTCCCTAATAAGCCACAGTATATCCTTCAGAATAGCTCTAGGTCTTCATTTTGCATTAGAATGTGCCATAGAAAAATTCCAGGTCAATCAAAGGACTTCTATTGCTGAAATGAATTCTTAACACCAAAATGGTTTCTGCATCTAAGAAACTGTAGAGATGCCAAGTACTCAAATGACCTGGACTCCAGCTCTAAGTTTTCCTGGAAAGGGCAAGAAAACTACATCCTGGGTACCTGTGCATAGTGTTCCAGTATTGTCTAAGTCAAGGAAAGAGTCTACACACAAGTTCATGTTGTGACAACATGTCCCTAGTAAATTATAATATATCTACTTATTACTGAAATATAAGAACTGAAAACCTAAATTTCTCATGAATTTCTGAAGAATGTGAAAAGTGCTTATACTTTTAAATATATTATCGGCCGGGTGCACTGGCTCACGCCTGTAATTCCAGCACTTTTGGAGGCCGAGGCAGGCAGATCATTTGAGGTCAGGAGTTCGAGACCAGCCAGACCAACATGGTGAAACTCTGTCTCTATTAAAAATACAAAAAAATTAGCCAGGCATGGTGGTGCATGCCTGTAATCCCAGCTACTTGGGAGGCTGAGACAGGAGAATTGCTTGAACCCGGGAGGTGGAAGTTGCAGTGAACCAAGATCATGCCTCTGCACTCCAGCATGGGTGACAGAGCGAGACCCTATCTCAATAAAAATAAATTTTTTAAAAATTATTTTATTTCTTTTTTTGAGACGGAGTCTTGCTCTGTCACCCAGGCTGGAGTGCCGTGGTGCGATCTCAGCTCACTGCAAGCTCTGCCTCCCGGGTTCACGCCATTCTCCTGCCTCAGCCTCCTGAGTAGCTGGGATTACAGGCACCCACCACCACGACCGGCTAATTTTTTTGTATTTTTTAGTAGAGACGGGGTTTCACCGTGTTAGCCAGGGTGGTCTTGATCTCCTGACCTCGTGATCCGCCTGCCTCAGCCTCCCAAAGTGTTGGGATTACAGGCGTGAGCCACCGCACCTGGCAAAAAATAAATTAAAAAAATAAAAAATAAAAATAAATATATGATTTAATCCATTTGATAATCCTGTGAGGAAGTGGCATTATTATCCCTATTTTATAAAAGGGAAATTAAGGCTTCAACTTGCTCAGGGTTACACAGTAAGTGACAGAGGCCTCATTCAAATCCAGGTTTGATTCCAGAGTCTGTACTCTTAACCATTATGGTTTATCATGCATCCCAGGAATAGACTAACAGGATTTATCATTTCCTAGAAAAAGTTGTAGTGATAGTTTTAAATTCTGTATGGAGTATTACTTCCTGACTCTGATTTCTGAGTCTGAAAATCAAAAGTTGGCCTAGTTACTGCCATCCTGAATGAGGTAGCTGAAGGTGCTCCACTGGCAGTCCTTTTCCAAATTCTAAACTTGTAAATGTCATGTCAACGTGGCATTTGTACTGGCAGCCTAACCTTGGGTTTGGCAGACTCCTACAATGCCTGCACACAATGACACTGTGCTTGGCATGCACACCTCTTAGAGATTCTTCCCAACTAGGACGCTGGCAGTGCCCTGTGCTCTGTAAGATTCACTTCACTTCAACAGTGAACTCTATCAAGGGCTTTGATAGAGAAAGGAGGTTTGGAGAAGAGACATGAGACAAAGCAGGGCTCCTATAAATAAAATGAACAGGAAGAGGAAGCACCTACCCCAGTCAAGGAGAAGTTAATGGCCAGGCACGGTGGCTCAGGCCTGTAATCCCAATATTTTGAGAGGCTGAGGTGGGAGGATTGCTTGAGCCCAGGAGTTTGAGCCCAGCCTGGGCAACAAATTGAGACCTGTGTTTACAAAAAATGTTTAAAAATTAGCCTGGCAGGGTGGCACACACCCGCAGTCCCAGCTATTCTGAAGTCTGAGCTGGTAGTATGGCATGAGACCATAAGCCCAGGAGGTTGAGGCTGCAGTGAGCTGTGATCATGCCACTACACTCCAGCCTGGGTGACAGAGTGAGACATTGTCCCAAAAAAAAAAAAGTTACTCTTTTCATCTACACTGCACAAATAAGGTGAAGGGTAAAGGGTAGAACAGAAAGATGCAAAATAGAGCAAACTCCTATAAGCTTTAGTAAAGAAAGTATAAAACTAACAAGTGTAATTTCCATTCTAGTTGACTCTACAATAAAAGCTTCATTAATATAGTCATTGTATATTTCTGGTCAACTCAGTCCTTAGTATAACCTCAGGGTCCAGTGGACCCAATTTTAGTTTTCAACTTTCTTTTTTTTTTTTCCCCCAAGAGACAGGGTCTCACTATTTTGCCCAGGCTGGCCTTGAACTCCTGGGCTCAAGCAATCCTCCTGCCTCGGTCTCCCAAACTGTTGGGATTACAGGCGCAAGCGACCTCGCCTGTCCCAGGTTTTTACTTTCTTTTTGTAGCAATTCCTTACTATTTGGGAGGATTGGTAGTTCATAATTTTATTCTTTTTAGAGTCTTCCAAAGAACAAAGATAAATTATACTTATTTTTATTTATTTATTTTGAGACAGGGTCTCGCTCTGTTGCCCATGCTAGAGTGCAGTGGCATGATCATAGTTCACTGCAGCCTTCACCTCCTGAGCTCAAGCAATCCTCCCACCTCAGCTTCCTGAGTAGCTGGGCTACAGGTGTGCCTGGCTAATTTTTTATCTTTTGTAGAGATGGGGTTTCATTATGTTGTCCAGGCTGGCCTTGAACTCCTGGGCTCGAGCAATCCACCTGCCTCAGCCTCCCAAAGTGTCAGGATTACAGGCATGAGCCACCGTACCCAGCCTATAAAATAACTTAAAAATAGGTTGGACGCGGTGGCTCATGCCTGTAATCCCAGCACTTTGGGAGGCTGAGGCCACCGAGGTCAGGAGTTCAAGACCAGCCTGGCCAAGATGGTGAAACCCCGTCTCTACTAAAAGTACAAAAATAACAGCGCGCCTGTAATCCCAGCTACTCGGGACGCTGAGGTAGGAGAATTGCTTGAACCTGGGGGGTAGAAGTTGCAGTGAGCTGAGACTGTGCCACTGCACTCCAGCCTAGGTGACAGAGGGAGACTCTGTCTCAAAAAAAAAAAAACTTAAAAATATAGAAAACAGAGGGTCAATTGGACTGAGATAGTAAGTGGTGATGACTATTTTCCTGGTAGGCTGATAGATCATGTTCAAAAAAATTTTCTGGTAATTTCAGAAAATGATCTTATTCTGATTCCACTCAGGAGTTGGAAAAAAAAATTTCCTGATCACTAGGTGTGAATAAAAGAGAAAAAAAAAGAATAATAATAAAAAAACTATCTTGGTCTGCACTGGGGATATATTATCATCAAAAACACTAACTAGCAGCCGGGCGCGGTGGCTCACTTGAGGTCAGGAGCTCAAGACCAGCCTGGCCAACATGGTGAAACCCTGTCTCTACTAAAAATACAAAAATTAGCTGGGCATGGTGGCGGGTGCCTTTAATCTCAGCTACTCAGGTGGCTGAGGCAGGAGAATTGAACTTGGAGATGGAGCTTGTAGTAAACCAAGATTGCGCCACTGCACTCCAGCCTGGGTGATGAGGCAAGACTCTGTCTCAAAAACAAAGCAAAACAAAATAAAACACAGACTAGGCAGGTGTTGTGGTATGTTCCTGTAATCCTGGGTACATGAAAGAATTGCTTGGGCCCAGGAGTTCAAGGGCAACCTGGGCAAACACAGCAAAACCGCATTTCTGAAAAATAAAAAAATTTAAAAAATAAGTGGCTGGACTGAAATAGAAGAAGGACTACTATGCATTATTGTTGAGTTCAAAAGGCAAGCTAAAACAAAGGTAAAAAATAAAAGAGATTGGGAGAAAATGCAATATATGTACCAGAAGATTTGCATCTAGACTATATAAACTGTTCCTGCGATCAGTAAGACAATTCCACAGGAAAAAATGACAAAAGATATGATTACAGAAGAGAAATGCAAATGGTTGATAAACATGAAATAATGATCAATCTTACCAGGAATCAGGGAAATGCAAGACTAGACACAATTTTCAATAATCAGGTTTGGAAAAGTTAAAAAGCCTGACAGTCTCAAACACTGATGAGGAATCAGGAAACAGATATTGCCAGTGAAAGTGTAAGCCTGCACAGCCACCTAGAAAGGCAGTTTTAGCAGTACCAATTAAAACAAAAATTATGCAGTCTCTATGATAGAGCAGAGGACTTTTACTTTGTACTATACACCATGTTATTCATTTATTTGCTTGTTTCACAAACAATCTACTTGGTTTTCCATTTGCTATGATTAAAAATTTCAAATATATATGAGTAGATAAATTTATTACTTACAATAATGTTTTAAAACCAGTAGACAAATTTTTAAATAAAGGAAACCTTTGATTTTCAAAAACAAAAAGCAATCAAACAAAAAAATCAATGTGCCTACTATATGTAAGCATTTGTGTGCTGGCTCTGAAGATATATAAGTCTCTCTTCTCAAAGGGCTAATAAGCTAATTGGGTAGAAACAGATTATGAATGATACATCATCATAACTTAGCATATGGTAAATTCTAAACAGCTGACACAGAAGTTCAAAGTGATAATGCAAACATTCAGGCGGGAGGTCAAATGCTGAGGGCTGGGTAGGTAAGTGTATAAGCAGCATTTAATAAACATGTAGCACATCATTTCATTTTATTCATCCAATATTCCAAGGTACGCTAAGCAGGAAAAGCAACTTGTCTAACCATAACCAAATCTACAGGCATCTCAGGTTAAATACTCTGTGCATTCAGCAGCAACTAGAGGTGGGCTGAATAAATCCCAAACTCTCTCATTGCCTACAAAGCCCTAGGAGATCTAGCCCTTGCCTGATTGTTCCACCTCACCTTGTGCAATCTTCCTCCCGGACCTCTACACTCCGGCCACACCAGGTCCTTTTCAGTTCTTCAAAAATACAAGTTCCTCCTACCTTAGAGCCTTTGCATATGCTGTTGCCTCAGCCAGGAACACTCTTCCACCCTGTTTTTCTCATGACTGAGTCCATCTCATTTTTAAAGTCTCAGCTTAAAAGTTACCTCCTTTGGCCAGACACAGTGGCTTACGCCTGTAATCCCAGCACTTTGGGAGGCCAAGGCGGGTGAATCACTTGAGGTCAGGAGTTCGAGACCAGTCTGGCCAACATGGTGAAACCCCTAAAAATACAAAATTAGTTGGCTGTGGTGGCGTGCGCCTGTAATCCCAATTATTTGGGAGGCTGAGGCAGGAGAATCGGTTGAACCCGGGAGGTGGAGGTCGCAGTGAGCCAAGATTGTGCCACTGCACTCCAGCCTGGGTGACAGGGCGAGACTCCGTCTCAGGAAGAAAAAAAAACCTCCTTTGAGAGGTCTTCCAACAATCCTAGGAAGCCCTAGGTTTCCACCTCTCACTTCTTTTCTCTCAGTGCACCTGTGTGTTTCTTCATTCTACAATTCACAATTTGTATTATTTATTTGTTGGTTAACTAGTTTATTATCTGCCCTCCCCCACAAAACACACCCACATTCTAGGGGCCATGTCTGTTTTATCTGCCAACATGTGCCTGGCATATAGTAAATGCTGAAAAACAAATGTTGGATGGATGGAAGGAAGGATGAATGGATGGACTGCTGAAGACAGCGAGAGAGGGATATCACACATATGAGATATGAGTTTAATTCAATTTAGTTTAACTACAAGTGAATGAGCTCCATGTCAAGCAATGAGTTAAATGCCAGGAACACAATGGTGGTTCCTCCTACTCTCAATGAGGAATTCAAAGTCCAAGTGAATTTGTGGTTTGGAATAACCATCTTGCTAAGGACAAACATGGGTCTGACTTAGCTACATCATGAGATCCAAGAAACATCCTGATTTGCCAAGCTCCCTCAGTGCATAATCAATCACAAGAAATTCAGCATCAAATTCTAAATAATGTATTCAGGAAATAAGGAGGCATTTCTAGTTAAGACAGAACACAAAACTACAAAAAAGGTGAGAATTACATAGAAGGAAAAGCTAAGAAGGATCTATTTAACATCAGAGTGTGGCACTGGAAAAAAATCCTTTAGAAGACAAACCTCCTTTTCTCCTGCAGATTCTGGCTGTGATCTTTAGTAGCATTATCTATCTATATCACACAAAGCCACTAACTAATTTCTTCCAGAAGATGGAATCAGAAAGCAGCCAATATATGCTTAGGCCCATTCTCACCTCTAAGCTGGGATGGGAATATATTGTAATTTCTTTTTTTTCTTTTGAGACAGGATCTCACTCTTTCACCTGGGCTGGAGTGTAGTAGTGTGATCCCAGCTCACTGCAGCCTTGACCTCAAGGGTTCAAGTGATCCTCCCACCTTAGCCTCCTGAGTAGTTGGGACTAAGGTGTGTGCCACCATTCCCAGCTAATTTTTTACTTTTTGCAGCGACGGGGTCATACTATGTTGCCCAGACTAGTCTCAAACTCCCGGGCTCAAGCAATCCTCCCACCTTGGCCTCCCAAAGTGCTAGGATTACAGGTATGAGTCACTGCACACGGCCTGTGATTTTCTTTTTAACCAAAAGAACAAGCTGGCTTGAATTCTTCATTTCTAACATTCCAGCTGCTGTTCTAGATTATTTTATCATCAAAAGCTTTAATATACTAAGCATAACTGGGGCATTTTGAATTGTTATATTGTATTGTTATTGAAAAAAGGAAATCAAATTGGTAATTTGCCTTTATAAAAGGAAAGAGCGGGCCAGGCATGGTGGCTCACGCCTGTAATCCCAGCACTTTGGGAGGCCGAGGCGGGCGGATCACAAGGTCAGGAGAGCAAGACCATCCTGGCTAACATGGTGAAACCCCTTCTCTACTAAAAATACAAAAAATTAGCCAGGCATGGTGGCGGGTGCCTGTAGTCCCAGCTACCTGGGAGGCTGAGGCAGGAGAATGGCGTGAACCCGGGAGGCGGAGCTTGCAGTGAGCCGAGATCGCGCCACTGCACTCCAGCCTGGGTGACAGAGTGAGAGTCCAGCTCAAAAAAAAAAAAAAAAAAGGAAAGAGCAGTTGTGCACTGGAATGACATGTGCCTGCACACATTTATACACATGGAAACAAAGATCAGACTGATTCACAGACAACACTAATGCCTATCAAAACTCATACAATAATGTCTGTAATAAAGTGAAATGCCAAAGTACTGCCCTAGGGCAGCACAGGCAGCGTGATTCAGGGAGACATAAATATGTGCCTCTATCATGGAAACTGAAATACTTCCCCTCCCAGTGAGAAAGTCACTCAAGTGATTCAAGGATGAAACAGATCTGGGCAAAGCAATTGCCTGCACAGCATAATTAGCTCACGGCTCAGAATGTTTTCTAATTCAATTACTGGCCCTATCTATCAGGGCTGAGGAGCATTCGGCGGTGGAGATTTAAATCTGCTCTTGCTGACGTCAATGAATGACTGGCTGCCAGTCCCTGATGTCACCAGTTCAGCAGGCACAAATGGAAATGCTGGGTCAATTTTTTATTTTAAAAAGAAAACATCCTAGTATCCAGGTTTTCTTTCTCTTTTAAAAGACAGGATCTTGCTCTGTTGCCCAGGCTGGAGTGCAGTGGCATGATCACAAGTCACTGCAGCCTCGACCTCCTGGGTTCAAGTGATCCTCCCTGATCTGTCTCCAGAGTAATGGGACTACAGGTATGTGCCACCACACCCAGCTAATTTATTATCATTATTATTATTTATAGAGACAGAGTCTCACTATGTTGCCCAGGATGGTCTTAAAGCTTCAAGCAATCCTGTGGCCTCAGCCTCCCAAATAGTGGGACTGCAGGCATGAGCCACCATGCCTGGCCCACATCTTGTCCTGTCTTCCTTCTCCTCTCTTCTCTTCTCCTCTCCTCTCTTTCTGTTTTTCTCTTCTCTCTCTACCTATCTATCTATCCATCCATCCATCCACCCATCCATCCAAGCATTAATATCCCCTGTAAGCCTGTAATCTAAGCCCACTGCCAGTTATCTTTCCAGCCGCAGCTTTTTCAAGCTAGTTTCTTTCTCTCTTGCATTGTAGCTCACCTTTCAGTGAGAGATTTTCTACAACCTTTAGTGCAGAACTTGGCTTTTGCAGCTATCTTCAGTTCTGAAGAGAATCTCAGAATTCCTTCAAGACTTAGTGATAGTCAACCTATAGTTCCATATCAAGCAATTTAAGCACATCTCAAAAAGCTGGTATGGAGCAAAAATGTGACTGTTATTTAATAGTTTTTAACAGGAAATGCGGTGAGAGACATTATTCTAATGGTAACTAATGCAAAGGTGACTTACAACCCTGTTATCCAAAAGAGGAGTTCCATGCTGTATGTTATACTCCACCAGTCCCTTGAGGATGGAATTTTATCTAACTGCTCTATCTCTAGTTTTTAGGAAAGTGCCACAGAAAGTCCTCAATAAATAGTCTGTGAATGAATGAGCGCCTATGCTCTGACTCTTAAACCAGAGCATCTGGTTTACCTCCCACCCTTCTTACAATATTCATCTTCCACAAGGAAAAGGAAATATCAAAAATAATCTAAAGTTTTTTTTCTGTTCTCTTCCTAAGCAATTCAATCCTAAAGCCATTACGTGGGGCAGAGCAAAGCAGAAGTCTAGAGTGGGGAGCTGGGGGGCTGTGGTGGCCCATGGGATGTCAGAGTGCAAGGGGGCATGGAAGGCGTGTTGCTAAAGAAAATATACTGCAAAAGGTCCCATAATTGTATAATGGCAATATACCCCGCAGGTGGCCGTTTACACAGAATTTGCTGAATCAGCATTATCCATGTGACCAGTATGATATTTTACTTTCAGCAGGCATGTTCAATAGACCCTTGATGTTCAATAAATATTCATGATTTTGACTATATGGAGCAACCTCCAAAAATACATTATGTGTAATGACTAGGAAGTTTACTGAGGCACAAACTGGAATCGTGGCATCGTGAGACTGGTATACAGAGTGGATCATTCCACTGATTTGTGGCCTTGGCCAACATCTGGCATAACATCATAACCTTTTGATCAGTCATCTTTAGCAAATATTCAGAGTGAGGAACTGGGGAAAAATGCTATTAGGCAACTGGCCATTTTCTGACCTCAGTCCCATCAAGGTTGCTGGAGAAATGCTCTTCACCAGTCTTTTTTCCCATCTCACAGCTACTTAGATATAAAGGTACTCTATGTCCCATTCATCAGTCCTGTGGAGAGGATGCCAATGTTCGAGAGAGTTTTCGTCCCTGCTCTTCGGACCCTCATTTGGGCTTCTTTTATGTGACAAATAGAAGGATTAGGGGTCACATCAGCAAATGATTCTGGTAAGCTTTACAGAGATGAAATAAACAATGAGTATGTCTTAAAATAATTCAATAATCTTTATTTTACCAAATAAGGGCATCAGAAGCTTCTGAAGAAAACCTTATACCATCTTTTTTCTATTTAGTATAAATCCAGTTTTAAGAATGTGAAATACACAATCAATACATATTTTCTAAGACTCTATAATGTGCTAGGAGTTGTAGAGAATCAACATGTAATGTGGTTCTAACTCTCAAGGAACTTGGAACAAAGACCTCTGATGATGCTGCCTGCTTAGGCTAAGCCAGCTAAAAGCAGTGGTGGTCCTAAAACATGTTACATGCTCTTCAAACCTGAGAGCTTCTATGGCATGGACTTAGAGAACAGATGGTCTGTAAATGGTTTCTTTCTAGAGAACTCATTTCACAACAATGGAAAGCAGACTCTCTAAGCTTCAGAAAAATGAAAAAAGGTTTATTCTTCTTAAAATGTCAGCAGATCTTAATGATTAAGCAGCTGAATAATGGCAAAACACCATGTGTTTTGAAGCCAAATCTGGCCTGGGGTAGCTCTGCCAGACGAAGGGTCTCAAGAAAGTATTCTGGGAGAATATGAGGAGGAAAAGCCAAAAACTGATAGACAGTGAAACAGAAAGTATAAGAGAATAAAAGTTGATAAATACCAAAGTATAGAAACTCTGATCTCTTCTTCCTGTTTCTCAGTATTCTTGGCATCGCTGAGGAAGCTAAGGGCACCACCATGATTGACATACAGGGAAAAAACAAAAAACTCCAATTACTGCTTAGGAGGGAGAACTAATTCTACCCAAAGGAGGGAAGCACCATCTGAAGCATGTCAAACTTGGCCTGCAACCAAATTCTGCCATCGGGTGGAGTCTCTCCTTCCATCTGGGTAATAAGAAGTTGCAGATGGAAAAAGCCTGCTGGACTACTGCATGTACTATATGCCTCTTCTGTAAGAAATCACCTTTAAAAAGAAAAGTTTCAAAGTTTATCCAATTTGGATGGAGAACGGCATTGCAAGATAAGTAGTGGCTTTAAAGCATGTCCATACTTCTTTGACACTCCTCCCATCAACAGGGGAAGTCTACTTCTTTTCCCCTTGAGCATGAGCTATTCAACTGGCTTGCTGCCAACAAACAGAATGAGGAGGAAGTGATACTGTGTGACTTCCAAGGCTAGGTCATAAAAAATTATGCAGGTCTTGAGATGCTTACTCTTGGAAGTCAGCCACCATGCTATAAGGAAGCCCAAGCCACATAAAGAAGACACATAGGTGTTCTGGCTGACAGCCCCAGCTGAGATCTAGCCAAGAGCCAGCATCCAGACATATGAGTGAGAAAGCCACTCAGCTGCCTCCAGCCCCAGCCACTATCTGATGGCTAATGCATTACAGATCCTGAGTAAGAACTGGCCAGTTGAGCCCATCAACTCCCAGAACCACGAGAAGAAACAATAATCAACTATTGTTGTTTTACGCCACTAAGTATGGATGACTGTTACACAGCAATAGCTGGAACAAATGCTTCTGGCTAATTTGCCCTTTACAGTAATCACTCCAGTCGTCTTATCTTCCATAGAGAAATAGTTCTGCTTATGCTGGAGCTAAGGGCTGGCTCCCTTCAACCAGATTACTCTCTACAACATAGGACAAAAATGAATATAAGTGCAATGGACTCTGTAGGCCTCAGAGCTGCTGGGTTCACCTCTTAGAGGGTAAAAGGAGAGCCATGGTCTTAGTAAAGTCCCCAGAACAGCTAAAGTTCAGTGGCCACTGAGAATCCTACGTAGGCACTGAAAGAACATAATAAGCGTATATGATATCAGCACAGTCCCCAACTTGCCCTTTGACTAGAAAAGGCCCCTCTCCTGCCATACCAGCTAAAGGTTCAACATCTAACTCCTTATTTGTATTTACTCTTCATCTATAATTGCCTGGCCAACATGGTGAAACCCTGTCTCTACAAAAAACACAAAAATCAGTTAGGTGTGGTAGTCCGTGCCTGCAGTCCCACCTACTTGGGAGACTGAGATGGGAGGATGGCTTGAGTCCAGGAGGTGGAGGTTGCAGTGAACAGAGATTGTGTCACTGCACTCTAGCCTGGGCAACAGAGCGAGACCCTGTCTTAAAAAGAAAAAAATAGAGAAAAATAAAATCTCACAATCCCCAAACTAAAGGTGAAAGCAGAGCAAGCAAGACAAAAGGGACATATAATGAAGGAGGACAGTGGGTGGAAAGTGGCTGTGCAAAGCACTGACAGGGCCTCCCAACTTGTTTCCGAAGCTACAAACAGGCCCTGTTGCTCATGAAGCCAACTCCAATATCCTGGAGAGGCATTTCCCACCAGACTCCCACAACCAAACATCTCTCAGCACACTTAGATAGGCACCCACCACTGAGCTGGTGATTTATTGCAACACTCTCCCTTCACTCCTCTCTGGGGACTCTCAGAGTAGGCATTACATCTGCCCACTTGTCAGCTATTTCATTCATGTAACAATTATATCATGCTTCAAAGAAAAAAAAATCTTTTATTTTAGAAAGTATGTAATATGAGATGGCCACAGAGTAACAAATGTGTCTGGTCTAAAAAGTGATATTGTCAAATAGTTTAGACTCCGCATCCTAAGAGTTTGATAAACCTTTATAAAATTAGCCAGAGAGACATGGCAAACTCAGGGAATGGAAGTTGCAGTTCTGGTACTAGTTGTGTGAGCAGGGACTAGAACGTGTTGATTAAGATCTTATGCCTGGATCTTCTCTCAAACTAATGGGGTCTGGGGTTTGTAGGCCTCTAATAAGGCAAAGAAGCAGCCAATTAGGAAAAGAAGTGAACGAACATCTGGGCTGTCATTCTCCCAAATGGTCTAACACCACTTAGCCTTATTTAGTAAGTACTTCTCCATCACTCCAACAATAAGGATGTTGCTTATCTTGCAACAATTTCAACAGGCTTCTTCATACATTCACAGACATGTGGAATTCCTAAATTTGCCCCAATCACAAAATTGTCCCAATCATCTTTAGGTTGCAACTCCCTGAAGTGGAAACTCCAATTACATATAACTCACAGTATAATTTTTTTTTGTATTGAGACAGTCTCGCTCTGTCACCAGGCTGGAATGCAGTGGTGCGATCTCGGCTCACTGCAACCTCCACCTCCCGGGTTCAAGTGATTCTCCTGCTTCAGCCTCCCGAGTAGCTGGGACTACAGGCATGCACCACCACGCCCAGCTAATTTTTGTATTTTTAGTAGAGATGGGGTTTCACTATGGCCAGGATGGTCTCAATCTCTTCACCTATGATCCGCTCGCCTTGGCCTCCCAAAGTCCTGGGATTACAGGCATGAGCCACCGTGCCCGGCTGATTCCTTTTTTTTTTTTTTTTTAAACAAACAAACAAACATGCTGGTACTGCCTTCAAACTACCCTGATTGCTTCTCTTTCAGACAGCTGAGGCCCAATCTAGGCCACAATAATAAGAATTGTCAGCAAGTTAAATCAAATAAGTAAACCATGGGCAAATCCACATAGTAAATGGACTATGGAACAAAGAAAATATATCTATGTATCTTCTTTCTCCCATCCTGCTTTTTGGAACAAGTCTCTTTGCTCGGGTCACATTAAAGCAAGATGACCATATATTTCAATTTATCCAGGACAGGACCCCTTTTACTTTCAAAAGACTTCTGATGTGGATGATACATTATAGATTACCTTACATAAAAGCAAATTCAAACCAGCCAAAGAGGTAAATAGAACTTTTTGATGCTGACTAATGGGCCCCTCATCCAACAGGCATTTTATATCTTTCCACTTTTACTCATGATTGCTTCTTGAATTAAATAAGTGGTTCTTCCCTCCTTACCACCAGTACTTATTTAATCCTACTTTTCTTCAGCTCAAGCACCCCCTCCTTCTGGAAGCCTTCTAAGTGTACTCTAATCTCCACAGGTCCCTCCTTTCTTTAAAGTTCTAGCACATGATTTGGTGCCTCTATGGTCTTAACACTATTTTCAAGTTGTTTTCATATGTGTAGGTCTTCCTGCAAAAGTTGTAAGTTATTCAAGGGAAAAGCCTGTGTCTAATCACTTCCTTTATGTGCCTTAAAGAATCTAACTCTAGGCCGGGTGTGGTGGCTCACACCTGTAATCCCAGCACTTTGGGAGGCTGAGGCAGGCGGATCATGAGGTCAGGAGATTGAGACCATCCTGGCTAACATGGTAAAACCCTGTCTCTACTAAAAAATACAAAAAATCAGCCAGGCATGGTGGCACGCGCCTGTAGTCCCAGCTACTCGGGAGGCTGAGGCAGGAGAATCACTTGAACCCAGGAGGCAGAGGTTGCAGTGAGCCAAGGTCATGCCACTGCACTCCAGCCTGGGTGACAGAGCGAGACTCCGTCTCAAAAAATAAAAAATAAAATAAAATAAAAAAGAATCTAACTCTATAACAAGGGCATACCAGATATTCAGTAAATACTTTCTGATCTCCAAACCTGCCTAACCAGCTGACTTAAGAACATACCAGGAAAACTCCAGGTGTCTCCCCACTGCTCACTCCTCTTGCAACACCCTGTACTTTCCTCTTACAACACATAACACATTTTGTAATTACCTATTGATTTGTGTGGCTATTTGTTTAAGGTCAGCCTCACCATTGTATCGTAAGGTCCAAGAGGACAGCGACCTGGTATGTACTGTTATTTATCCCTGTCTACCTATGATTTATCATAGTGCCTGGCAATGTTCAATAAATATTTGCTAACTGGAGATGAGTGATGGGTGGACAGACAGACAATGGAAGAAAGAACAAATGATCTGAGAAAAACCATAAAAAAAGCAGGGTTAGATTTTAGGAACTTAAACATTTGAGAAATTAACCTACTTACATTTCTAAACAAATCATGTGGCTATGTGTCATAGGCCTATTAAAACCTTTTTCTTTTCTCAGAAAGAGCTAGAGAATAGTGAGGTGTGCAGCCCCATCTTATCTAGGGTCTAAGACGTAAATGACCATTATATATGAATGGACCATTATTTCTCATTAATATATAAATTGCTAAAGTACAAAAACCATTGTTTCAAGATGACAGAGGAACTTTAATTGCTCCAGTAAATAAGTGTGAAGGCATTTCAAGATTATGCTCACAAAAGCATTTCATGCATCACCTCAGCTCTGAGGCACACAGGCTCTGACAGTACAGTCTACCTTAATTGGCCCAAAGTCAGCAACATCATATGTCATGGTGCTGACAGACAGAAACTGCTGTGGCAAAATTGGCTGTGGCATCCTGCTGTTTTTGCAGTTAGACCAATATATACTAGAAAATGCTGAGGAAGATAAATGTAAAGAAAATCAGCATAATTCTGGAACCCTAGACAGCCTGCTGATTAATTAAAAGGCTTAACGTTTCTATAATGTTTTAGAATGTAAACGGACTTTCATATATTCAATCTCATTTAATTCTTATAACAATCCCAGAAAATACATAAAATAGTTACTGTTTTACTGATATAGAAATTTTGGAATCAGAATGGTATGAACAGCAAGTGGCCAGGATTAAATTCACAGGTCTGCAAACCTCATGCTGTCTTCACTATACTTTACACATGAACTGTACCTCTTCAGCTCTTTACCCAAATGATTCTTTCCTTCTCAACAGGTGGTTGTGAAAATCATGCCCTGAACACAATTTATGGGAAATGAAAATTCTCTGAAGGCATTCCCCTGTTACCAGGAAGGTTGTTTGAGATCTGCTGTCCCCTCAGAGCTGGGGAACTTTCCAGGCCCAGGTCTCATGTTGTCACAGTTTTCTCAAATAAAAAATGAAGGCACAATAGAGCCCTACCCCCAAATACTATAACAAACAACAAGCCAGGTACCAAAGAACACGTGTGATTCTGAGAACTTCCTACCATCACTGTTGCTTCTATCTCTCCAGCTGTCTCCTATTACTACTGCAGTTCTGGCAATGTCTTGAACACCCATCCATGATCCTACCACCTTTCACTGTCTCCCACTCTCCCAGTGCTTTCCCCCAACTTCCCTCCTTACCAACTTAAGGTCACGGTTACTCATTAGATCACTTCCCTGCAGAAACCTTCGGTTCCCTTGTTCCTTCAGGCTGTGTTGAACTTTCTTAACTAAAGCCCAAGCCCCTACACAAAGATGTGTGGAGAAGGTTCATAGCAGCATTATTCCTAATAGCCAAAAAGTATAAATGATTGAAATGTCCATCAGTTAGTGAAGGATTAAACAATGGAACAGTATTCAGCAATAAAAACAGACAACTACTGATAAATGCTATAACATGAATGAACCTCAAAAACAGGCTGAGTGAAAGAAGCCAGACACTAAACTCCACATATGATTGCACTTATATGAAATGTCCAGAAAAGGCAATCTATAGAAGCAGAGAATAGATTAGCGGGATGCCCGGAGACGGCAGTGGGAATGAGGTATCTTACTGCAGTGATAAAAATGTTTTAAAATTGAACTGTGGCAATGGTTATACAACTTGGTAACATTAGTAATAATCATTTAATTGTATACTTTAAATGGATGAACTGGATATGTAAACTATACTGCAATAAAGTTTAAAAAAAAACACCCCGGTTAAATTTACCTGTTTTGTGCCTCACAGTGAAGCTGTAACTATACAAAAGTGAAGAAGAGAAAAAGCAACTACATGGCCCCGTTTAAGGCTCCAACGGATTCTGGATCCTGTCTTCCAATCACACTATATTTCTGTAGCTTCTGTGTCTCTCGCTCTCCTCAATTATTTCACACCTTCTTTCTCCTCAAATCTCTTATCACCTCATCCCTTAAGCTCCTTTCTCAGCTGATAATCCCACTTCCTACTTCACTGAGAAAGGCAAGGCCATCAGAAGAAAATGTCCAGATTCCTACCATCACACTCCCCAAAATGCAATACTTCAGTATAAATTTAGCAACATTCATGGATAGGAATGACTCAATATTGTCAAGATGTCAATTCCTCCCAATTTGATCTATAGATTAAATAAAATCTCAATCAAAATCCCAGCAAGTTATTTTGTGGATGTTGACAAACTGATTCTAAAGTTTATATGGAGAGGCAAAAGACCCAGAATCCACAAAATAATATTGAAGAAGAACAAGGTGTGCCAGGTGCAGTAGCTCATGCCTGTAATCCCAATACTTTGGGAGGCTGAGGTGGGAGGATCACTTGAGTTCAGGAGTTCGAGACCAGCCTGGCCAACATTGTGAAACTCCATCTCCACTAAAAATACAACAATAGCCAGGCATGGTGGCACGTGCCTGTAATCCCAGTTACTCGGGTGGCTGAGGCAGGAGAATCGCTTGAACCCGGGAGGCAGAGGTTGCAACAAGCCAAGATCACGGCACTGCACTCCAACCTGGGTGACAGAGTAAGACTCCATCTCAGGAAAAAAAAAAAAAAAAGAACAAAGTTGGGGGATTGACACTACCAAACTGCAAGACTTACTATAAAGCTACAATAATCAAGACAGTGTGGTACTGGAGAAAGAAAAGACAAATAGGTCAGTGAAACAGAATAGAGAGCCCAGAAATAGATCCACATAAATACAGTTAACTATAAATCTCTCACAAAGGAACAAAGGCAACACAATAAAAAACAGTCTTTTCAACAAACGGTGCTGGAACAACCATGCATCCTCATGCAAAAAAAATTAATTTAGACACAGATCTTACACACTCCACAAAAATTAACTCAAAACAGGCCACAGACCTAAATGTAAAAAGTAAAAGTATAGTCTGGGCATGGTGGCTCAAGCCTGTAATCTCAGCACTTTGGGAGAGCGAGTCGGGTGGATCACTTGCGGTCAGGAGTTCCAGACCAGCATGGCCAACATGGTGAAACCCCGTCTCTACTAAAAATACCAAAATGAGCTGGGCATGGTGGTGGGTGCCTGTAATCCCAGCTACTCGGGAGGCTGAGGCAGCAGAATCGCTTGAACCTGGGAGGTGGAGGTTGCAGTGAGTCAAGAGTGTGCCACTGCACTCCAGCGTGTGTGACAGAGTAAGACTCCATCTCAAAAAAAAAAAAAAAAAAAGAAACAACAACAACAAAACTGAAAGTATAAAACTCCTAGAAGATAATACAGGAGAAAATCTAAATGAACTCGGGTTTGGCAATGACTTTTTAGATACAACACCAAAGGCATGATTTATGAAAAAAGAATTGAGAAGATGGACTTCATTAAAATAAAATATTTCTGCTCTGTGAAAGACACTGTCAACAGTGAGAAGACAAGCCACAGACTGGGAGAAAATACTTGCAAAAGACATATCAAATAAAGGACTGTTATCCAAAATATACAGGGAACTCTTAAAACTCAACAATAAGACTGGGTGTGGTGGCTCATGCCTGTAATCCGAGCGCTTTCGGGGGCTGAGGCGAGAGAACTACTTGAGCCCAGGAGTTAGAGGTTACAGTAAGCTATGACTACACCACTGTACTCCAGCTTGGGTGACAGAGCGAGACCCTGTCTCAAAAACAAACAAAAAACCCAACACTAAGAAAATGAACAACCGGATTAAAAAATGCCCAAAGACTTAACAAACACCTCACTGAAGAAGATACTCAGATGGCAAATGAGCATATGAAAAGATGCTCTGCATCATATTAGCGAAATGTAAATTAAAACAACGATGAAATACCACTACACACCCATTAGAATGGCCAAAATTCAAAACACTGATAATCCCAAATGGCTGCAAGGATGTGGAGCAACAGGAACTCATTCATTCATTGCTGGTACGAACGCAAAATGATACAGCCACTTTGGAAGACAATCTGGCAGCTTTTTGCAAAACTAAACAGACTCTTACCATACAATCCAGCAATCATACGCCTTGGTATTACCCAAAGGAGTTGAAAATGTATGTCCACACAAAAACCTGCACAGGGATGTTTATAGCAGCTTTATTAATAATTGCTGTTATGGGCTGTTTGTGTCCCCTCAAAATTCATATGTTGAAGTCTAAACACTCACCTATGTGATGGTATTTGGAGGTGGGCCTTTGGAAGGGAATTAGGTCAAAAGAGTGGAGCACTCAACAATGGGATTAATGTCCTTATAAGAAGAGGCTAGAGAGCTAGCTTGTCTTCTTGCAGCCATGTGAGGATACAAGTCAGCTGTCTGCAGCCAGAAAGATGGCCTTTACCAGAACTTGACTATACTGGCATCGTGATCTTGGTCTTCCAGCCTTCAAAACTGTGAGAAGTAAACGTTTGTTGTTTAAGCCACCCAGTTTATGGTCATTTGTTATAGCAGTCTGAACTAAGACCAATGTCAAAACTTGGAAGCAACCAAAGATGTCCTTCAGTAGGTGAATAAACTGTGGCACATCCAGACAATGGAATATTATTCAGAGTTCAAAAGAAATAAGCTATTAAGCCATGAAAAGACTCAGAAGAAACTTAAATGCAGCTTGCTAAGTGAAGAACTCAATATGAAAAGCCTATATGCTGTATGATTCAAGCTATATGACATTCTGGAAAAGGCAAAACTATGAAGACAGTAAAAAGATTAGTGGTTGTCCGGGAATGTAGTGGGGGAGAATAGAGCATGGAAGTAGAACAGAGTTTTGGAGCAGTGAAATTATTTCACATGAAACGGTAATGGGAGACACATGACATTATATGCCATAGAACTGTATAACACCAAGGGTGAACCCTAATGTAAACTGTGGGCTTTGGATGATAATGATGTGTCAATATAGGTTCATCCATTGCTTTTTTGTTGTTGTTGTTGTTGCTGCTGTTTTGAGGCAAGGTCTCGCTCTGTCACCCAGGTTGGAGTTGGAGTGCAGTGGTGTGATCTTGGCTCACTGCGACTTCCGCCTCCCAGGTTCAAGCAATTCTCATGTCTCAGCCTCCTGTGTAGCTGGGACTATAGGTGCTCACCACCATAGCCAGCTAATTTTTTTTGTATTTTTAGTAGAGACAGGGTTTCGCTATGTTAGCCAGGCTGGTTTCGAACTCCTGGCCCCAAGTGATCCACCTGCCTCAGCCTCCCAAAGTGCTGGGATTACAGGTGTGAGCCACCGTGCCTGGCCACACTAAAAATTTTTTTAAAAAAGATAAAAAATCTCTAGTTATCACTTTTCCTGACACCCACCACCAGATATAGCCCTATTTCCCTGCTTCCTTGTATAGCAAAACTCTTTCAAAAGACTTGTCCATATTTGCTACACCAATTCTTCTACTATTCTCACTTCAACCTTTCTAATCAATCTCCAGTCCCTACACCCCCACCCACTTCACCCAAATTGCCTTTACCAGTTGCCAATTCTAATGGACAGTTGTTATTCTTCATTTTACTTGATTTATCAACAGCTTCTGACACAGGTGACCACTCCTTCCTCCTGAAAACATTTTCTTGCCTTAGCTTCGAGGGTACTCTCCTCTCCTGGGTTTCCTACTACTTTACTGATGATTGCCCTCAGTCACCTTTGCTGGTTCCTCCTCTTCTCCCTAATCTCTACACACTGGAGTTTCCCTGGCCTCATCTCGTCCCTAACTTCATTCTCTCCTTTGGTGATCTCATCCAGTCTCATGTTTTTAAAAAATATCATCTAAATGCCAATAGTTCTAAATGAGTCTGAGTCTCTAGCTCAGACTTCCCCCTTGAACTCTAGACTGTATATCTAGCTGCCTGTTCAATAATTCTATTTGCCTGGCAACTGAACAGTTAAGTTTGACTGATATCAAACTTAACAAAGCTTATCTCTCACTCTACCCCTAAAACTGTAAAACCTGTTCTACTTGCAGTCTCTCCCATCTCAGTTAATAGCAAGTTCATTTTTCCAGTTCCTTGGATCAAAATCCCTAGGATCATCTTTGACTCCTTTCTTTCACACCTCAAATACAGTGCATTTCTCTATATCCTCAGCATAACCACCGCTCACTATCTCCATTGCCCTCTCCCTGATCTGAAGAACCCTCATCTCTTGCCTGGCCTATTGCAATAGTGGCTTAACTGGTATCCCTGCTTCTATTCTTACTTACTACCATTTATTCTCAGCACAGAACTGAAAATGATCCTTTTAAAATAAAAGTTATATCAAGTCTCTGCTCAAAACCCTACAGTGGCTCCCCATTTAATTGAGAGTAAAGGCCTTTCAATAGCCTACAAAGCTCTTTATAACCTGCACTCTCACCCCTACTGCACTCTGACCACACCACCTGCTATTCTTCACTCTTGCTCAGCTCCAGCCTCACTGGCCTCCTGTTTCTTCCTTATGCCACAGCCTTTCACTAGCTGTTCCCTCAGATGTCCACATGGTTAATGCCCTTACATCTCTCAAGTCTTTGTTTGAATATCATCTTTTCATTGAGGCCGACTCTGACCACCCTAGCTCAAAGTGTAACCCCCAGCTCTAGTGGAACTCTCAATGCTCCTCTTAACCCAATACATTTTTTCCTTGCATTTATCATCCTCTAATATACTATATAACTTATTTTCTTGTATATTATGTCTTCCCTACCCACCTCCAAACAGTAAGCTTCACTAGGAGAAAGATCTTTGTTTTATTCACTATATGTCCAAATCACCTAGAACATTGCAGGCTCTCAAAAAAATTTGTTAAGGGCCAGGTGTGGTGGCTTACGCCTGTAATCCTAGCACTTTGGGGCCGAGGTCGTGCTACTGCACTCCAGACTGGGAGAAAGAGCGAGACCCCGTCTCAAAAAAAAAATTTTTTGTTAAGGCTGGGCACCATGGGTCATCCCAGCACTTTGGGAGGCTGAGGTGGGCGGATAGCTTGAGCTTACGAGTTTAAAACCAGCTTGGGCAATATGGCAAAACCACGTCTCTACAAAAAATACAAAAATTAGCTGGGAGTGGTGGCAGGTGCCTTGGGAAGCTGAGGTGGGAGGACTGCTTGAGCCCAGGAGGTAGAGGTTACAGTGAGCTGAGATTGTGCCTCTGCATTCCAGCGTCGTGACAGAGTGAGACTATCTCAAAAAAAATTTTTGTTGCTGTTGTTAAGAAGAAGCACTATTTCCCATTATGTAGAAATGGCACTCCTAGAAATTATGTATCAGATACTTGAGGGAATGGCTTCAGGCTACAAAAAGACTTACAAGATGAGAGTGTGGCTCAAGAGCCTACATTTGAGAATCACTCAAGAACTCAGGTGCCTCTTTACTGCCCTCCTCTCCCCAACCGTCCCTTCCTTGCCAGTTATAATTACCTATAAAGTCACTGGAGAGACTCAGTCTAAAAGCACAATGACCTGCCTGGGCACCTGCAGCTCACCAAACTCAGTTTTGGCCTCACTTCTATGACCAAGCTAGTGACCTGGTATGCAGGTCAGCATCTCAGCCTTCCTGCTAGTCCAGCTCTAATTGAACTCACTCAGAACAACTGGATTCTTGCTTACTCGTGAAGAACCAGCCTTATACCTCAGTTTCAGTAATTAGGGACCCATGCCTTTCTCTCCATATTTCATTTCCTGTCTTGGTATCCTGATCAATATTCTGTTTCCTCAGGCTTACACCTAGTACCTGTGCTTACTTCGTCTTTCTGGAGTCCTGTCCTGGGCCTGGGCCCAGTCCGTTTCTGAGCCCCAGACCTGACTCTCAGGACCAGGTCCTCTGTCTTTTGCTTCCTTCCAGACCTCCTGGCTCCTGGGCTCTGCTCACCAGGCCTCCCTGGATCTCCTTAACTCCAACTGTCTGTTTACCTGGACCTCTGCCCTCAGACACCTTGACCCCTCCAACTCCTCTTCCCCATTACTCCCTTATCTGAATGCCTGATCCCCTCTTATCATTAATTCTGAGACCTTTCTGAAGAGCGAGTCAAGCCCTGGTCCATTTGGTCTCTCTATTTAAGACTGAATAAGGCCTATCTCAGCCCTGGCTGAGCCTTGAGCCTGAAAATAATGAACATGAACTTCTAGTTCCTCAAAGGGCATAGTCAATCTTCCTAACAGTGTCAAAATGCTCTCAGTTAAGATAGCTGAAGTTGGTTGCCAAAAATAATCAGTGTCAAACACTTGTGCTTTCTTCAGCAGACCTATCTGCTTTACTTGGATGCTTTCACTTGGGCGAAACCAGAATATACTTTGCATTCTGGTGCCTCAAAAAAGAAATCTTTAAGATTTCTCAGGAAACTGGGCCCAAATAAAAAGAAAATGATGGGCCGGGCATGGTGACTCATGCCTGTAATCCCAGCACTTTGGGAGACCATGGCAGGTGGATCACCTGAGGTCAGGAGTTGGGAGACCAGCCTGGCCAACATGGTAAAACCCTGTCTCTACCAAAAATACAAAAATTAGCCGGGCATGGTGGTGTGCGCCTGTAATCCCAGCTACTTGGGAGGCTGAGGCAGAAGAATCACTTGAACCCAGGAGTCAGAGGTTGTGGGGAGTTGAGATCACACCAGCCTGGGCAACAGAGTGAGACTCCATTACACACACACACACACACACACGATGGCTACTAGAGTCAACCCAGGACTGGAAGTTATATAATCCTAGAATCCAATTTTTACCCATACTAGTCCTGGAATATCCCATAGGATTAAAGCCACATACCTAGAAGCATCAAGGAATGGTCTATAGGCCAAGCTGATCCATTCTTCTTTATTGGATGAATATTTTGGCTCCCGGGGTGTTTCTCTCATGGTGTCCAAATCCACTAAATAATGGCATTTACTGATATCAATCTGAAATGGAGAAAGGCCAACTCTTCATTAGTAATTTTGAAGGTCCCTTCAGGGTAGAGAACAGCAATTGCAATCCTAAAAATTTACAGAGCTTTGGAGGAACAAACATCCAAGTCTTCAGACAATGTTGCCTATGCTCTCTCCACTCAGATAAGAGTATTCAGGCTCTTGTGGGGGAGAGGCACACTCATTCAGCCATAGGTAAGCTTTGGCTGGTCTGATTCTAGGTTGAGTTCTTAAGTCCTTCTAGTCCCATAAACACTTCCAAAGCCACCATGAGCCCACAATCTCCCTCTGGAAAACCTATCTTCTTCTGCTCACTACTGCTCTCTTCCAGTCCATCACCTCTTATTCCACAGACTCAAAGGGCATGACTAAACACAGATGCTAATGTGTGAGAAGGCCTGCCTCTCCTCACAGCCATGGGAGGTTACGCTACACCTCACAGGGGTACAGAAATATCATGCATATCATCTCCTTCAAATATTCAATAGAATTTACAGAGACATTGGAACGGCTCCTGCAGCGAAAGTTTAGTAAAAGTGAGATATCAGAACTCTGCTTTTGTTAATACTATGTATTACATTAATATTGTATATTAACAAAAACAGAGTCAGCCAGTTGCTGATAACATGGATACATCAGAATATTGTAGATGCTCAAAGGAAAATATTAAAATATTTCATTTAAAACTATGCTGAGCCAGGTCCGGTGACTCTCGCCTGTAGTCCCAGCACTTTGGGAGGCCAAGGTGTACAGATCGTTTGAACCCAGGAGTTCAAGACTAGCCTGAGCAATATGGCGAAACCCCATCTCTTTAAAAAATACAAAAATTAGCTAGGTGTGGTGGCACATATCTGTAGTTCCAACTACTCAGGAGGCTGAGGTGGGAGGATCACTTGAGCCTCAGAGGTCAAGGCTGCAGTGAGCCAAGATCATGCCACTGCATTCCAGCCTGGGCAAAAGAGAGACCTGCTTCAAAAAAATATTTTTAAAACAATTAAAACCAAAAAAGAGTCCTCTTAGGTTGTTAGATGTCAGCTAAAATAAAGACTATTTGAAACATGTACAGATATGCAGCAAATATCACACTTGATGTTGTAGGACTAAAAGCTTTTCCTTTGGGATCCAGAATAAGTCAAGGCTGCTTGCTGTCACTACTCTGTTCAGCACTGTATTAGAGGATCTAGTCAGTAGGGTAAGACTAGAAAAAGAAACACAGGGCAGAAGAAACAGAAAGGAAGAAACAAAACTCATTCATCACAATGATATAATGGTCCAAAAGACTCTACAAATACATTTTGGAATTATTAAGACAGTTTAGCAAAATTTAGACTTACAGGATGTCAATCAATGTCATATGTTCCATAGCAATAAACAAAATGAAATTTTATAAAAATATAATTTACAAGCATTTGAAAATGTTTACCTTAGAATAAATATAATAAAAGATGAAAGTGCTCCATAAAAAAGTATAGAATCTTATTGGCTGGGCACGGTGGCTCACGCCTGTAATCCCAGCACTTTGGGAGGCCCAGGTGGACAGATCACCTGAGGTCAGGAGTTCAAGATCAGCCTGGCCAACATGGGGAAACCCCATCTCTACTAAAAATACAGAAATTAGCTGGGTGTGGTGGTACAGGCCTGTAATCCCAGCTACTTGGGAGGCTGAGGCAGGAGAATTGTTTGAACCTGGGAGGTGGAGGTTGCAGTGAGCCAAGATTACACCACTGCACTCCAGCCTGGGCAACAGAGTAAGACTCTGTCTCAAAAAAAAAAAAAAAAAAAGGATAGAATTTTATTGACAAATGCCCATCAACAGATAGATTCATGTGGTATATCCATACCATTAAAATGTGGTATATCCATACAATAGAACAGTACTCAGCCATAACAAGGAATGAAGGTCTGATACAGCCTATGCCACAGATAAACCTTAAAAATATTGCTGTGACTGAAAAAGGCCAGGCACCAAAGGCCACATATATACGATTCCATTTATATGAAATGTTCGTAATAGGCAAATCCTCCAAGACAGAAAACAGAGGTTACTATGAACTGGGGAGTGGCTGCTTAATGGATATTTAATGGGTATGGGTTTTTTTGGGGGGGAGGCATAATAAAAATCTTCTAAACTTGGATACTGGTGAGAGTTGTACATTATAAATGTACTAAAAGCCATTGAATTGTATGCTTTAAAATGATTAAAATTGTAAATTTTGTGTTGTGCATATTTTATAATTAAAAAACATTAAAATGGTGAATTTTATTTCAAATAATTTTTTTGATACACAATAAAGTAGACCTTATTAATGTAGTGATATATTTTATTCCTAGACAAAAACCTTACTATTATAAATATGTCAATTCTAAACAAATTGATTGATAAATTAAATATAATGTCAATCAAAATCCTAACAGACTTTTTTGAAACTCAACAAGCGGATTCTAAAATGTGTATGGAAAGGCAGAAAGACAAGAATAGCCAAGGCATTCTTAAAAAAGAAGAACAGGCTGGGCATGGTGGCTCACACCTGTAATCCTAGTACCTTGGGAGGCCAAAGTGGGAAGATAGCTTGAGGCCAAGAATTTGAGATAAGCCTAGGCAAGACAGTGAGACTCTGTTTCCACAAAAATTTAAAAATTAGCCGGGCATGGTGGTATGTACCAATAGTCCTAGCTACTCAGGAGATTGAGGCAGGAAAATTGCTTGAGCCCAGGAGGTCAAGACAGCAGTAAGCTATGATCATGCCACTGCATTCCAGCCTGGGTGACACAGCAAGACCTCATCACTAAAAAGAAAAACAACAACAACAAGGTGGGGGCTTAGTTACTGTAAAGCTATAGAAATTAATACAGTAGGCCATGTACAGTGGCTTACGCCTGTAATCCTAGCACTTTGGGAGGCCGAGGCAGGTGGATCGCCTGAGGTCAGGAGTTTGAGACCAGCCTGGCCAACATGGTGAAACCCCGTATCTACTAAAAATATAAAAATTAGCCAGGCATGGTGGTGGGCATCTGTAGTCCCAGCTACTCAGGAGGCTGAGGCAGGAAAATTCTTTGAACCCCGGAGGCAGTGGCTGCAGTGAGCCAAGATTGCACCACTGCACTCCAGCCTGGTGACAGAGCAAGACTCTGTCTCAAAAAAAAAAAAAAAAAAGAAATTAATACAGTGAGGAATAGATCAACAGACCAATGAAATAGAACAAAGAGCCTAGATCAGATGCAGGTACATGCAGACCCTTATTTACGACAGAAGCGACACCTCAAAGAAGCGACTGTCTTTTCACCAGCTGGTGTAGACAACTGGATATCCCTTAGGGGAAAAATGAAATTGAACTTTAACCTCACTCCACATGCAAAAATCAACTTTAGATGAATAGGCCTAAAAATGAAAAGATAAAGCTCTCGGAATATAATATAAAAGAATATCTTCAAGATCTTGGGTAAAAGAGTTTGTGGATAAAGCATTAATTATAAAAAAGAATGACGATACATTTGACTATATTAAAGTTTAGAATACCTTTTCACCAAAAGACACATTAAGGCCAGGAGCAGTGGCTCACGCCTGTAATCCCAGCACTTTTGGAGGCTGAGGTGGGAGGATCACTTGAGGCCAGGAGTTCAAGATCAGCCTGAGCAAAATAGTGAGATCCCATCTCTACAAAAAATAAAAAAATTAGCTGGGCATGGTGGTGCACACCTGTGGTCCTAACTACTTGGGAGGCTGGGGCAGGAAGACTGCTTGAGCCCAGGAGGTAGAGGTTGCAGTGAGTCAAAAAACATTAAGAATTAAAAAAACACAGAATGAGAGAAGATATATGTAATACATTTAACCATCAAGGATTCATATCTAGAATATATATAACTTCTGCTAATCAACAAGACAAAGACAAACCACCCAAAAGAAAAACGGGCAAGTGACTTAGGTACTTTATAAGAATAAACTGAAATGGCCACAACAAGTGAAAATGCGTTCAACCTCATTAGTAACCAGCAAATGCAAATGAAAACCACAATAAAAAAAATTACAGTATCAAGTGTTGGCCAGAATGTGGAACAACAATTATATATTACTAACAGGAAATTAAGTTGGTAAGAGTTCTTTAGAAAACTATTTGGCAAAATCTACTAAAATTGAACATATGTATTTCCTATGATCTAACAATTCTACCCCTAATTATTAGATTGAACCACATGAAATTATTATTTGATGTTTGAGCCACAAAAATGGTAATTCATATGGTTCAACCTAATGTATATCCAACAGAAATGCCTGCACCAAAAGAAAAGTTCAAGAATGTTCAAAGTGGTGTTATCTGTAGTAACCCAGATTGGAAACAAAAACACCCGTCAACAGTAAAATAATCAATAAATTGTGGTAAAGTCATACAATGAAATATTAATAAGAGAGAACAAACCACAGGCAATAACATGTGTGATTATTATAAACAAAATGTTGAGTGAAAAGATCAAGACACAAAAGGATAAATGCAGTGTGATTCAGGCAAAATGAACCTAAGTCATTTAGGGACACATGTAAAAGTCATAAATCTAAAGAGAAAAGCAAGAAAATCATTACCACAGGAGTCAGGAGACTCCCTCAGAACAGGGGTGTGGGTAGGTGATCAAAAGGAATTCTGGGGGAGCTCCTGGGTGCTGGCAATGTTCTATTATTTGACCTGGGTTACACAGACACTTGCTCTATTATTATTACTACTAATTTACTGTACAAATACTTTACACACATTTAGGCTTATAGATTATACATTACTAGAAGGTTTTTTAGAAGTGCATACAAAAACAAGTTGGTCATCTCTGGCTTACCGTGAACTCTGTTCTTCCCCAACCTCCACCTTACAGAAATGTTCTCATTCTCTCCCAGCATTATTTATATGTAAAAAAGACTTCAGTCTCACATCTGTCTCTACATATGGCCTATTCCTCCAGGGGAGAGAAAGCACACTGAGAATTGACGTCAGACCCAATTCCATTCCACATAACTCTCTAAAAATGATCCTTTGCATAAACACTTCAGGAAGTAGCCTTTTTGGTCTGAACACCCACTCTGTATCTCCCAAGGATTATAAGAACATGAAACAAGTTTTTAAAAGCTTTACAAGTGCCATGCCTCTGTAAGCAAACAGAACCAACAAGAGACAGAGACACTGAGGGTCTTATGCTTAGATTTCTTTTGGTTAGGGAGCCCTCAGTATGACATTTTAATACTTGACCTCAACGTGGCTTTTTCTGGCCAGGCACACTACAGGTCTGGTTATCTAGATTTGGTGTCGGGTACAAGGCCTACCAGGGATGTGGGTGGTAACTAATTAATATGCAACTGTATCAGTCAGATTAGGCTTCATTTATCATATCATCCCTAAGCAAATTCCATTTAAAGTAAAGGTCTTAGAAAGATATCAAGGCCCAATCTGAGCAACATAGTGACAGCTCGTCTCTACAAAAAAATTTTTTTTAAAAATTGGCTCAGTGTGGTGGCTCGCACTTGTAGTCCTAGCTACTTGGGAGTCTGAGGCGGGAGGATCGCTTGAGCCCAAGAGTTCGAGGCTACAGTGAGCTGATTGTGCCGCTGCACTCCAGCCCAGGAAACAGAGCAAGACCCTGTCTCTAAAACTAAAAAAAAGAAAGACACCGAAGCAAAATCATATTAATCAAGAGGATAATCCATTAGAAAAACTTTTAACCTCTTTTTCACCATCTCTGGGAAGCAGCTGATGAACAACTCAAACACACAAGGACAAAGGCCTCCAGCAGAAAATGATTAGGTATGATCAAGGGCAGGTTCTTCATTCAAGAACAACTAAGGTTATTAGAAAAGGAGTTCAAAGTCAGCCGGCCTAGATTCAGGCCTGGGTTCTACCACAGACTGGCTGAGTGACTCACAATCTTTTTTCTTATACCTCATTTTCTTCTTCTGATAATAAAGATAACATCACTTACCTCAAAGAGTTATAATGAGGATTAAATGAGATGATTCATTTAAATAAAACTGGTAAACTGTAAAGGACTATAAAAATAGCTGGAATATCAGAAGGAATCCTTGACCAGCTCTATGAAATGTGAGTATTTAGCTGGTAGAAACAATCCCTGGAATATTAGAGCCCATTAAAATAAATTATCCTTGTTTCAACCTAGGTTAGTGTCTATTATCAATTCAAGTTAAACCCAACATACAGGACAGAAGGATTACAATGTTAACCATTCACAGTCCCCAGTAAGCAATGAACTAGCAGTATCCACCAAATGATATCAAAATAAATCTTCTTGGTTTTAGGTTACATCTTCTTGCCTCTTCACAATTTAGTAGTTTTGATTAGTTGTTGGGCACTATGATTTTACACTTTTGAGTATTGAATTTGTTGAATGTATTTGAAGGGTGATACAATTTGTCCTGACAGGCAATAAAATTGCAGATCAAAAAGCAAAAAAGGAATCTTCTAGGCATCCTCAAAGCATTTATTAAGTATCTATTTGGTGAATCCTAGAGTATATAAAATTACATATAAGTCATAACATGTCCTTGTTCTTTTCTTTTGCTCACTGCAGCCTCAACCTCCTGGGTTCAAGTGATCTTCCCAAGTAGTTGGCACTACGGGCATGCGCCACCAGGCCTAGTTAATTTATTTTTATTTTTTGTAGAGACGGGGGTCTTGCTATGCTGCCTAGGCTGGTCTTGAACTTACGGCCTCAAGCAATCTTCCTACCTCAGCTTCCCAAAGTGCTAGGATAACAGGCATGAGCCACCATGTCCAGCTGGCCATTCTTTCTTTCTTTCTTTTGGAGACAGGGTCTCAATCTGTTGCCCAAGCTGGAGTGCAATGATGTGATCATAACTCACTGCAGCCTCAACCTCTCAAGCTCAAGTGATCTTCCCAGCTCAGCTTCCCAAGTAGCTGGGACCACAGGCATGTGCCACCATGCCTGGCTAATTTTTAAATTTTTTAAAATAGAGACAAGGTTTCACTAACTTTTCGAGGTCAGTCTTGAATTCCTGGTCTCCAGTGATTCCTCCCGCCTTGGCCTCCAAAAGTTCTGGGTTACAGGCATGAGCAACCACACCCAGCCCCAAGTCATTCTTAAACTTATAATTTAGGTAAGGAAATGACATTAGCATATATGAAATGCAGAAAGTGTTATTAAAAATTCAGAGTTCAGAGAGGATGAGATCACTGGAGGCTACAGTAGTTGAAAAGACTTCCTAAAGTTGGTAATAAAAGTTAAAGAGAAAACAGAGGGAAAAAGACATAAAGGAGCATGGTTGACAGGGGGAAGAGGAAGAATATCTACCTGTCCCAAAAGGTGTTTGTTGAGAAACAAAACGAGAGTGAGACAGTCTGAGGACTGATAATGGAGGATCCAAAGGAAGAGAATCTGGATTTTATGCATCAGGAATCTATTCTAGGTTTTTCAGCCAAGGAGTAAGATGATAAAAAACAGGGTCTTAGAAAGAGAGGCCTATACTAGCTATGCTGCGGAGGATGAGGCAAGAAAGTGTTGGAGGAAAAAGCTGAAGTAAGCACTCTAGTTACTACTGTAATATTCAGTTGTGAAGTGATAATGCCTTCTGATATTTCTTTCTTTCTAGACAGGGACTCACTCAGTCACCCGGGCTGGAGTGTAGTAGTGCAAATCACAACTCACTGCAGTCTGTGAGCCAAGATCACGCCACTGCACTCCAGGCTGGGAGACAGAGCGAGACTCTGACTCAAAAAAAAATAAAAAACAAAACTCACTGCAGTCTCGACCTCCCCAGGCTCAAGTGATCCTACTACCTCAGCCTCCTAAGTAGCTGGGACAACAGGTGCACACCACCACGCCTGGCTAATTTTTTTTGTATTTTGTAGAGTCAGGGTTTCACCATGTTGCCCAGGCTGGTCTCGAACTCCTGGGCTTAAGTGATCCACCTGCCTCTACATCACCTTCTGATATTTCTATGGCAGTGGGAATGAAGAAAGAAGAAAGGACAAATCTCACTTGTATTTCTTTTTTTTTTTTTTTTTTGAGACAGATTTTGCTCTGTCGCCCAGGCTGGAGTGCAGTGGTGCGGTCTCGGCTCACTGCAACCTCCACCTCGCAGGTTCAAGCGATTCTCCCCTGCCTCAGCCTCCTGAGTAGCTGGGATTACAGGGGCCCGCCACCACGGCTGGCTAATTTTTATATTTTTAATAGAGACGGGATTTCACCATGTTGATCAGGCTGGTCTCAAACTCCTGACCTCAGGTGATCCGCCCACTTCGGCCTCCCAAAGTGCTGGGATTTCAGGCGTGAGCCACCACACCTGGCCCTCACTTCTATTTCAAATGAAACCAGTGACACCAAGATTTCTAATTCAGTGAACTAAGGCTGCAGTAAAGAATAGGTTTGGGTGACATTGAGGAAAGATGATAACTTGTGTCTTACACCTAATGAGGTGGGAAGAAGCATGGGGTACTCAAGTACAGTCATGCGTCACTTAACGAGGGAGACAGGTTTTGAGAAATGTGTCTTAGATGATTTCATCATTATGTGAACATCATAGAGTGTATTTACACAGAGCTAGACAGTATAGCCTATGACACACCTAGGCTGTATGGTGTAGCCATAATAATCTTGTGGGACCACCATCAAACATGCAGTCTGCCCTAGATCAAAGTGTCACTGAGCAGCACACAACTGTAACTGAAAGAAGACCAATATGACTAAAATACTGAGTTAGAGAACTGTTTTCTGTTCCTACTCGTGGAACATTCCCTGTTGTCCCCTCATAAATTCCTACTCATCCTTCAGATTTCAGCTAAAAATGATTTCCTTAAGAAAGACTTCACTGACCTCTTAAACTAGGACAGGGCCTAAATTACATGCTCTTATAGCAACCAGTACTTCTCAAAACATTTTACAATTATATTCTATTAATTAATTGG
This sequence comes from Homo sapiens, assembly GCF_000001405.40. Classification (NCBI taxonomy): domain Eukaryota; kingdom Metazoa; phylum Chordata; class Mammalia; order Primates; family Hominidae; genus Homo; species Homo sapiens. The sequence goes on from NC_000011.10 coordinate 111,818,695, forward strand.
GAAATTCATTGTAAGCTCCATAAAATCTGGGGCTGTGTCTATCTCATTCATTCTTCTATGCCAAAAACCTAGCACAGTACAAAACATACAGTAGGTCCTAAGTAAATGTCTACTTAACAAATACATGAAGAATGCATGAAAAAAAGGGAGAGGAAGTGAAGGAGGGAAGAAAAGGTAAAAGAGCAGAAGAGAGACAAAAAACAAACAGAGAGGGCCAAAGACCACAGATAAAGCTGAGAAGATGCCCGTAGCACTGGGCAGAAGAAAGAAGTGGAAGCAGCCAAGGATGAAGGGAACCAGAAGACAGGACATAGAAGAATCAAAGAAGTACACAGTTTTGAAAATCTGGGTGAAGAGTAGATTTCAAATGCTACAGAAACACTATGGGGATCTGAAGACTGAGAAAAGGCAACAGGAGGAATGGGTTCAATGGTTGTATCAAATAATTTTATCACAGTTTAGAATGCCATGTGGGGACAAGGAAAGAACTAATAGTCCAACCTCCTATTCTCAGTGACCTTCTCTGCTGTCTATCCAGCTGCCTGAGCCAAAGCCCCACAAGTCCTAAGACAGGAAGGATGTGAAGTTGCATTCAATCATCTATCAGCTGGAAATGACAATGACGCAAGTAGCTGTAAAAATAGAGATCTCTGGCAAGGGCCAACATGAGGTTCAGGGAACATCACAGAGAAACCATCTCCACACAGAAGACAGATCTTATTTCTCATATGTCACTGAAAATCCTCTGGTAAACAACTGTCATCATGAATCCTCTAAGAGTCCAAGGGGATAATGTGAAAGATCAATCTAAATCAACTGCCCTGTAAACTCCTAGGCAAGTGGGAGGATTAAAGCTGAAAAAACTGTTTAGACAGTTTGCCCACAGCTAAGTAAAATTTGGTCATAACTGAGACTATCCAGCAGCCACAATGGCTGACATATGTTATTAATTTAATACTTAGCTTTTAAGCAGCATTCAGAATGTCTTCCTTCCAAACACATAATAAATTCTGATTCATCACATCTCCTCAAATCCCTCTGTGAGCAACTGCAGCAAGGCCCAAGCCTTCTTATAGCTGAACCTTGTAAGCTCTGTGAAGGCAAGAACTGAATCTGTCTTTATAAGCACAATACACCTGGTGCCTGGTACAGTACCTGGCATATCTCAGGCAGTCAAAAAGTATTTGCGGAAGGAAAGAATGGTGACCAGCCACACCAGGATGCTGGACAACTTCCAACACCACGCTGTTCAAAACTATGACCAGCTTATTTGTAAGTGCCAAGAATTTCTTCCCTTAGCTTCTAGCCCCTGGAGGACAATCTATTTCCTCCATAATACCATACAATAAAGATCACATCATATCGTAATAAATCTACTAAACAAAATCAAGGTGCTGGTGTCTGGTAAGGGCCTTCTCACTGTGCCATCAAAATATATGACTCTATTCAGATCCATGACTGCATTCCTGCTATTGGGAAAGGGATTACAGAATCCAAAGGAAATAAACAGAAGAATCACACTTAAGAGCAACTGTCTTAGTCCAATCTGTGTTGCTATAACAGAATATCTGAGACAGGATAATTTATAAAGAAAAGAAATTTACTTCCTTACAGTTCTGGAGGCTGATGAGTACAAAATCAAGGTGCCGGCGCCTGGTAAGGGCCTTCTTACTGTGCCATCTCATGGCAGAAGGCAGCACATGGCAGAAGGGCAAAGACAGGGCAAGAGACAGCAAGAAGGGGATGAACTCATTGTTTTACAAGGCACTGACTCTCGAGATAAACCACTCCGGCAATAATGGCATTAATCTATTCATGAGGGCAGATGTCCCATGACCCAAACACCTTCCATTAGGTGCCACCTCCTAACACTGACAAATTGGGGATCAAGTTCCCAATACATGAACTTTGGGGGACACAAACCATAGCATTAACTCAAATTCCCAATTGGTATTTCTTGCCTTTCTCAATTCACAGACAAGATGTTAGAGATAATCAAGTCCAGTTCTGCAACCTTCCAGAACTTTCTGCATGTAAAGAAGTTCTAAGATGTTTTTTGACTCCATTTTAGCCACAACTTTTTTACTATAAAAAATACAAATGTAGGGCCAGGTATTGTGGCTCACACCTGTAATCCTTTGGGAAGCTAAGGTAGGAGGATCACTTAAGGCCAGGGTTCAAGACCAGCCTGGGAACATAGTGAGACCCTGTCTCCAAACACGCGCGCACACACACACACACACACACACACACAAGCCAGGTATGGTGGTGTGCACCTGTAATCCTCATTACTCGGGAGGCTGAGGTGGTAGGATTGCTTGATATCAGGAATTTGAAACTGCAGTGAGCTATGATTGCACAATTGCACTCCAGCCTGGGCAAGAGTGCGAGACCTTGTCTCTAAAAATAAAATTTTTTAAAAAGTAAAAAGAAATCCTATTGCATATGCTCTACATATTTGAAAATGGATTATCAGTATTTTTTTCCTATAAGGTCCTACTTTCATGCTCTGTATTTGTACAAGATCAAGTGGGCTTTTCCCCTTCTGCTCCACGGGAGGCTTCTGTCCTCCTTGAGCTCACCTTAACACACCTGCATTACTGTTTGACAGGTGTACTGCCCCAGTCAAACATCCTACTTGGCACTGTCCCCAGAGCAGCACCAAAAGCCAGAGCCCCTTGGAGATCATCCCCAACCCCTGGGGCCTCCTGCTTATTCTACATTTCTCATGTCTCTCTACCATGCCAGACTAGAGTCAAGCTCGACAGGGTCTTCTTTTCCCAATGACTCCGCCAAGCCCATTCCCTTGGCTGTAGTTTTGCTGAATCATAGGTAGGAACAGTGGGAATCTGTTCTTACAGAAATGGTCCACTCATGTGTGTCACTAATGAGATGACGAGGCATTTGGCTAAGAGTCATAGTGACTTCCGCTGTTTCCCCAGGCTTCTTTTTTTTTTTTGAGATAGAGTCTCGCTCTGTTGCCCAGGCTGGAGTACAGTGGCACGATCTCGGCTCACTGCAAGCTCCACCTCCCGGGTTCACGCCATTCTCCTGCCTCAGCCTCCTGAGTAGCTGGGACTACAGGCGCCTGTCACCACGCCCAGCTAATTTTTGTATTTTCAGTAGAGACGAGGTTTCACCGTGTTAGCCAGGATGGTCTCAATCTCCTGACCTTGTGATCCGCCTGCCTCGGCCTCCGAAAGTGCTGGGATTACAGGTGTGAGCCACCACGCCCGGCTACCCAGGCTTCTCTGAATTTCTTCACTTTGACATTCAGAGCACTGGGCAGAAATCACACTGCATTAATACCCACTTGAGGGACTTCGAGATAGATACAGGTTATATCAACAAGCACCCATAAAACAAACATTAGAAGTGGCTAATGCTCCAAAATGACAGCAATAGAAAAACAGACTATAATAATGCTCTGTGCTGGGCCCAGTGGCTCAAACCTGTAAACCTAGCACTTTGGGAGGCCAAGGTGGGCAGATTGCTTGAGCCCATGAGTTTGAGTCCAGCAATGGGCAGCAGGGTGAAACCCCTGTCTCTACAAAAAATACAAAAATTAGCCAGGCACGGTGGCACGTGCCTGTAGTTCCAGCTACTCGAGAGGCTGAGGCAGGAGGATCGCTTAAGCCTGGGAGGTCAAGGTTGCAGTGAGCTGTGTTCGCACCACTGCACTCTAGTCTGGGTGACAAAGCACAACTCAGTCTCAAAAAAAAAAAAAAAAAAAAAGGCCAGGTGCTGTGGCTCACACCTGTAATTGTAACACTTTGGGAGGCCAAGGTGGGCAGACTGCTTGAGCCTAGGAGTTTAAGACCAACCTGGGCAAAATAGTGAGACCTCGTCTCTACAAAAAATACAAAAATTTAGCTGGGTGTGGTGGTGTGCACCTGTAGTCCCAGCTACTCAGGAGGGCGAGGTGGGAGAATCACCTGAGTCCAGGAAGTTGAGACTGTAGTGAGCCATGATCATGCCACTGCACTCCAGCCTGGGTGACAATGCAACACCGTCTCAAAAAACAAAATAAACAAACAAAAAAAACAGGCCAGACACAGTGGCTCACGCCTGCAATCCCAGCACTTTGGGAGGCTGAGGTGGGCAGATCACCTGAGGTTGGGAGTTCAAGACCAGCCTGACCAACATGGAGAAACCTCGTCTCTACTAAAAATACAACAAATTAGCTGGGCACGGTGGCACATTCCTGTAATCCCAGCTACTCAGGAGGCTGAGGCGGGAGAATCGCTTGAACCCGGGAGGCGGAGATTGCAGTGAGCCGAGATCACACCATTGCCCTCCAGCCTGGGCAACAAAACTGAAACTCTGTCTCAAAAACAAAAATAAAAAAGAAGCTCTGTATTTTCTGCCTCCGACTAAGTGCTCTTTTTATTTAAATCTAGCTAATATTTTCATTTGCATCAGGAAATGGGACCGCTGAATATTCTGCCTCTAGCTCTGTGATTTAGGGAAGTAGCTTAACCTAGGCTCAGAGATTTTACCACCTTTCCAAAAGGTTTGGAGTGCAAACCACTAAGATCCCTCTCAACTCTAGAGAAAGCAATTCCTCAACTCTAGAGAAAGCAACTGTAGAGAAAGCAATTTCCTCACAATTGCAAATATACTCCCCTTTGCTGATTCTACTCTTCTCTAAACTACTGCTGCTCATCATTACATACATTTCCATATTAAAAGCCCTGTGCTGGAGGTAACAAATATACAGGATTTGCTTTTACACTGCCAAGTCTTGAGCAATTAGAAAGTCTATGTCTTGCTTTTAGTACTGAACACAGTTACATTTGTGACTGAACGTGTCACAAATGGCAAAGGCAAAATAAGATCATTCAATTCTCTCAATTTGTTGATGTCAAGGAGCTATTTAAAGCCAATGTTAAATATGGAAAGGTTACAGAAATTTTGTGGGCTTACATGCCTGAAAAATTCTGAATTTTTACAGTGCTTCTTCATCTCTAAGAGCTTTAGCAATATAAAAAGTCTGACTTGGGAAAAGGTCACATGTCTTATCTACAGAGCCTAGATCACCACACAGATCTATCCTGAAGTTAGGTGATGGTAAATAAAGAAAGCTCCAATGGTTGTTTCCCTTCCCACTGTTCACATTCCACATCACCAATCAATTGTGGCACTCTTCCACTGAGCTTGGATTCAATGTCATCATGCTCTTTCATCCCAGGCTCCAGTAAGCCACTACCAATTGATGAGAGGTGTTATGTGAATTGCAACTATTTGTCCCCCTTGTGAAATCAGTACATAAGGGTGAACACCCAGGATGGTGGTACTGCAACTCAGTGAAGCCCAACTGGATGATATCTCTTAGTTCTCAACAACATATCTCAAAATAAACAAACTACTTTATACAAAAATGCAGATTTAGAAATCTGAGAAATCATGGGAGATCGCTTGATTTCTTCTGTTTTACAATAACAAATTCTGGGTTTCTTTCATAAATCGGACTTTTAAAATATCAGTGTATATAAAATATTTTAAGAATGCATCTATGATACAGAATGAAATTCACTAGTATTTATGACTAAAGTCACTATCACTGCCACCATTAAGAAAGTCCTGTTAAGTACTAAATTAGGAAACAAAAGAAAAATCACACAAATTTTAGAGAATTTCTACTTTGGAGTTAAGTCGACATATATACAAATAGTCACCATTTTTGTCAAAATCTCCATTTTTTTCTTTACGGGTTGTATATTGTTATTACAGTTTAAAAGGGGACCAGAGGAAGACAAATACATGGATAGATATCTTCCCTTTAGGAGCTTCCAACTTATGATGGACAATATCAGATGTATAAACTTTGAGTGGCATTCAGCCAATAGAATAAAGCCATTATACCAAAGCGTAAGTAAAAAGTAATGGGAAGTTAATTTTCAATTATCCAGAGTTGGCAAAACATGCTTATAAAATCTTTTCCTACCGTAATTTCTGTGCTTAATCAGTTAGTTTGCATTATTATCAGTTCCTGCTATATACTTTACAATCTAAGAAGAGGGAATGTCTTTTTAAACGCAAACCTTTTCACAGTTATTTTCATCACCCATTCAGAAGAATATAAATTCAATAGATAAAGTTCTACCCAGGTTAATATTTGCATCAACCTATGAAATTTTATTAAGTTGCATGAGGAAGGCATGGCTCCCAGGCTTTGAATTAGTTTCCATAAATGACCCTGAACAGAGAATTCGGAAACATCTGTGTGAAATAGACCTATCATAGCTAAAAGAAAAGTATTCCATCTTCCTGCAACATATCAAACTTGACAGGAAACCAGTGAGGACACAAATCTGCCAAATACCAACCTCTGTCAATTTACATTAGAAACAAACGACAGGAGAAAGCTAGACATGATCCCTGTTCTCCAGGTGCTTGTAACCTGGTACTCTTACTGGACTACAAACAACCTTGAAAAATGGTAGTGCTTGAGTCCTAATTGGTCCAAATTTCTACTATTAACAAGGTTTGGGGAGGCCTCTCTTTAGCTCAAAAAGACTAAATGAAGGGCTATTTGAGTATTTCACTTAAATTTTTAAAAATCACCTGCTGTGTATAATCCCTATGCCAGGCATTGTGAAGGTTTGAAAGATTAATGACAAACATGAACCCTTGTCTTTAAACAAATGTAAAATTTGCCAGAGAACACCGTCACATACATAAATATGTGAGAACAATGAAACAGAGAAGAAATGAGAAATGCTCCTGCTCAATTAACTAAAATCTAGAAACCTCAAGCCATTTAATTTCCCCTAAATATTCAATGTTATTTCATACTTCAGGCCTTTGCAAAAGCTGTTCCTTCTGACTGGAATGTCAATTTCCCCTTCCTCAGCCAGAAAATTCTTAATCAGCCTCTAAGACTCAACTCCTATGCTACCTCTTATGTGAGGCTGAAGTACGAAGAGTTTTCTCACCTTCTCTATGCACATTATGGCACTCAGTACACTGTTTAATAACATTTTAAGTTTGTTTCTTCTACTAGACTCTGAGGGCAAGATTTATGTCCTTTTCTAAATTCACCTTTAGGTTTATCAAAATAATATATACAGCCGGGCGCGGTGGCTCACACCTGTAATCCCAGCACTTTGGGAGGCCAAGGTGGGCGGATCACCAGGAAACACCTGACCTGAGGTCAGGAGTTTGAGACCAGCCTAACCAACATGGAGAAACGCCATCTCTACTAAAAATACACAACTAGCCAGGCATGGCGGCGCATGCCTTCATGAAATCCCAGCTACTCAGGAAGCTGAGACAGGAGAATCACTTGAACCCAGGAGGCAGAGGTTGCGGTGAGCCGAGATCGCACCACTGCACTCCAGCCTGGGCAACAAGAGCAAAACTCCGTCTCAATAATAATAATAATAATAATAATAATAATAATATGCGGCCAGGTGCAGTGGCACATGCCTGTAATCCCAACACTTTGGGAGGTCAAGGTGGGAGGATCACTTCAGTCTAGGAGTTTGAGACCAGCCTGGGCAACATTGCCAGACCCTGTCTCTACAAAAAAATAAAAAATTAGCTGGGTATGGTGGTGCAGGTCCATAGTCCCAGCTACTTGAGAGGCTGAGGTGGGAGGATTGTTTGAGTCAGGGAGGTCGAGGCTGCAGTGAGCTGTGACTGTACCACTGCACTCAGCCTGGATGACAAAATAAACAATATATCCAGAGTTTAAAAAAAAAAAACAAAAAAAAACTTAGTACAAGAAGCTTATTATGAAAAACAGCAGTACCCTCCTGATTCCCCAGTCCAACTTCCCAGAGACAACCACTCAACTCTTCCAGCTTTTTCTCCTGGTAGGTTTTTTTATTTTTTTCAGACAGAGTCTCACTCTGTCTCCCAGAATGGAGTGCAGTGGCACTATCTTGGGTTCAAACAATCCTCACCTCTCCTGGTAGCTTTTGATTTTTCAATTATCAAATAGTAACATACACTAACTTCTTTTGGTACTTGATATATCTTGGTATGGATCTTTCCTCATTCATCATTTCAGGGACGCTCTGCAGGCTCTTGCAATCTGAAAACTGATATCCTTCAGTTCTGGGGATAGTCTCACATGATTCCTTTGGCAATCTCCTCTCCTCCGTCTCATCTGTTTTCTCTTTCTGGATCTCCTATTAGCTAAATTCTGGATTCTGATTTTATTGTTCTTTTTCTATTTTCTATCTCTTTGTTTTTGATTTGTTTTGTATTATTATAGTCTGGAAGATTTCTTCAAACTTATCCTCTAATCATTCTACTGACTTTAAAAATCTCCTTTATTTTTAATTTCTAGCAGCTCTTATTTCCTGATTGTTCTCTTTTAAAAGCACAAATAATATGAAGAGCATATGTTTTTGTTTTATGAACCCCAAATTTTTAATCTATCAGGAAATATTTCTGCTTCCTACATTGTTTCTGTTTCTTTCAATTCCTTCTTTTCCCCATAATTCTGCCTTTTTTTCTTATAAGGGACTTTTCTTAAATGACAGGAGATTGGTGGGCACAGTGGCTCACACCTGTAATCCCAGCACTCTGGAAGGCTGAGGTGGGCGGAGCAACTGAGGTCGGGAGTTTGAGACCAGCATGACCAACATGGAGAAATCCTGTCTCTACTAAAAATACAAAATTAGCCAGGCGGGGTGGCGCATGCCTGTAATCCCAGCTCCTTGGAAGGCTGAGGCAGGAGAATCACTTGAACCCGGTAGTGGGAGGTTGCAGTGGGTCGAGATGGGCAATAAGAGTGAAAGTCTCAAAAGAAGGAGATTATGCTTTCTGTCACCTATTTTCAGCACATAGAGACAATAAAAAGTTGGATGAATGGCTGAATCAACCAACGAATGAAAAGAGTAAGAAACACTTAACAGTGATTAAGAACAAAAAAGATGCCCAGGCACAGTGGCTCACGCCTATAATCCCAGCACTTTGGGAGGCCAAGGCAGGTGGATCACATGAGGTCAGGAGTTCGAGACCAGGCTGGCCAACATGGTGAAACCCTGTCTCTACTAAAAATACAAAAAATTAGCCAGGCATGGTGGCACACACCTGTAATCCCAGCTACTCGGTAGCTGAGGCACAAAAATCCCTTGAACCAGGGAGGTGGAGGTTGCAGTGAGCTGAGATTATGCCACTGCACTCTGGCCTGGGTGACAGAGAGAGACTCTGTCTCCAAAAAAAAAAAAAAAAGGTGCCTAAAGATAAGAGATGAGTCCGGACGTGGTGGCTCACGTTTGTAATCCCAGCACTTTGGGAGGCCAAGGCTGGCAGATTGCCTGACGTCAGGCGTTTGAGACCAGTCTGGCTAACATGGTGAAACCCTGTCTCTACTAAAAATACAAAAAAATTGGCCAGGCATGGTGGTGTGCACCTGTAACCCCAGCTAGCCACTCAGGAGGCTGAGGAAGGGGAATTGCTTGAACCAGACAGATGGAGGTTGCAGTGAGCCAAGATTGCGCCACTGCACTCCAGCCTGGGTGACAGAGCAAGACTCCATCAAAAAAAAAGGAGATGAACATGGTTGTGCTGATAATATTTATACATCATTGTCTTCTTGAGCCAGTGATTCAAAACTGTTGGAATTACACCGCCAATGGATAGTCTTGAGCATGATTACGGGACAGACAAGGCTTTCTGTCCAAACCCCAACAACCAGAAAATTAACTTTATTTAAATTTGTATTTAATTCCTTAACTCACTTCTGCCTGGAAGAGTTTAATAACGTACTTGCCTTGTGCACTGCGGCATCCTCTTTAGTCCTAGGTTTCTAACAAAAAGCGTTCCTTGGAGCTTGTAAATTGGTAAACCACATCTATTTTTTTGAAGTAATCAAGATATAATTTGTGGAAAGAGTAGCAAAGATAGTATTAAATATGACTAAAATGACTTAAGAAGAGGCCTGAAGGCAAAGAGGGAAAAATTACTTGATAGAACACTTATCTTCCAATTTTGAGTTGAAAGTCCTTATGTTCAAGGAAGAGAAACTCGAGGTCAACTGAAAACACACTGAATGTTGCTCAAGTCCACCACAGATCTTCTTGGTAGGGGTATCAAAGATTTCACAGTGACAGCCCCCATTACAGTTATTTTTTTTCCATGATGAAATTAAAACATTATTTATTACAAAAAACATCTTACAAAATCACTTACAGTCCTCCGACCCAAAGAAAATCACCATCAGCCTATTAGTGTATATCCCAGAACTTCTCTGCAGATATTGATTTTTCTTTACAAGATCTGGATCATGTTATATATATTGTTTTACTGTGACTATTTTTAGCTTGAGAGTCCTCAGTTTATATCCCTGAAAACACCAACTGTCTACTGCCCCATAGGTCTAAAAGCTAAAGTAACATGACTTGAATTACAACCAGAGAGAATAAATTTATTCTCTCAATTTTATAAATATCTCACACTGCAAAATCTGAGATCATAACCACATCATCTACAATTCAAAAATCAAAAGACTGGATTTAAATCTGCCTTAAAGTATAACCAAAGAGCCCATTTTTTTTGTTTCTTCAGATTTAATCATTCTTTCTTGCATCAAAAATAACAAAATTGTAGGGTGACATTAACACATGATCATGAAACAAAAATGTGTTTCATTTCATTAGTCACAGGCTACATATCAACCAGCTGTCGAAGCTAAAAATATGCCTTAATTTAAAATTTTGTAAAACACAAGCATTTAAGACTCATTTTGAAAGAAATGTGACTTCTTTCTGTTTCAACCCACTAGAAGCTTTAGAGAAGAACAAATAAGCACCTCTAAACCAAAAGAGAAAAAGGTAATAGCGGGGGAATTCAAGCCAATTTATCCATCATCAATATCACATTGTTTACATCTTATAAACAAGCATATGTTAAGGATAACAATTTAATACCACTCCAGATGTAAACAAAACTACACATTCTCAAAGGAAATAGAAGGCCTGAAACAGAGGTTGAGATCCCAATAATAAAAGATGTGTATTTTGTCGGGGGAAGAGTGAGCTAAGGAGAGCTGGGTAGTAATAAATATTGTCACAGCTTTTCCTCATCAGCTGTAACAGAAACTTTGTCAGGGTTGCAGTCTTCAGTGACATCATCTCAACTCTCAAACACCAGCATCACACTCTTGGAGCGGGACACAGCACAGAGTAAGCCTCTAACAGTACTCATCTCTTCCAGGACAGAAGCAGCATGTAGACTTCCATCTCTGGTCATGAGGGCCCCGGCTCAGGACACATGTCTCAAGATAAACTGTGCTGCCATAAAATATTTGACAGGAAAATAGGTAATGGGATAAGCTAAAATATAAACACTCCAGTTGGATTTCAGGTGTAGTTTCAGCAAATTGGAAAGGGAAGCAAAGAAATGTCAATGGTCTTAGAAATTCCCAGTCATTTAAAAGGAAAATACATTTCACTTGATTCCAGAAAAGAATCAGACTCTCCTAACTTCCAGTCAATGCTCTTGCCACTATCAAATAGCCAATCATCAATATCCTCCCATGATATTTCCTTTATTGAAATAAGAACATGGAGGCCTGGGAGGAAACATCTGAAAGGGAAAAATTTCAAGTATTTTTCTGTCTTTTCATTTCCTCTTTTAGATATGCTCCAGTTAAATTTTAAAAAGTAGTTGTCCTCCAGAGCCACAGACTGTCTTAGTTTTTTGTCTCTCATATAGCCTTGCTAAATACATATTTGTTGATTGAATCTTTAAACTCACAAGAAAAAATTCATTGCACTGTAAAAATCTAAACTCACAGGTAAAAATTTTTGTTCATTCAATCATTATAGATCATGGAAACATCAATTAATTTCTAAATGCCAACATAATGAATACTAAAAAAATTAACTTTAGAGAAGTATTTTGAACATTCTCCAATTAAATTCTTAGTAGACTCTAATCTAATTGCACTGTATATATTACAGCAATTTGAATCTGCTTGCCTTGATACCCGAGACTGATAACAATTAGTGAGGAAACAAATAGGGCAAGTTATTTTTTCCTCCAATAAGGACTTCCAAAAAGGGCAGGAGAAGGGATAAAATGAGAGAGAAAGGAAGAAAAAGAGAAGAAAGGAAAGCATGTCGGGGGAAATCCTGATCATTTTTATTTATTGTTAAACATAATATTTACTACTTAAAGTAAGTACCTGTCATATATAAACTAGAAATGGAAAGTAATTTTTTAAAAAAGTAATGAGTTGGGCACAGTGGCTCACACCTGTAATCCCGCCACTTTGGGAGGTCAAGGCAGAAGGATCACTTGAAGCCTGGAGTTCGAGACCAGCCTGGGCAAGACAGTGAGGCCCTCTCTCCACAAAAAATTTAAAAATTAGCTAGGGGTAGTGGCTAATTTAAATTTTTTTTTTTAAACAGAGTCTCGCTCCGTCACCGAGGCTGGAGTGCAGTGGCGCCATCTCGGCTGACTGCAACCTCCGCCTCCTGGGTTCAAGTGATTCTCCTGCCTCAGCCTCCTAAGTAGCTGGTATTACAGGTGCACATCATCATGCCTGGCTAATTTTTGTATTTTTAGTAGAGACGGGGTTTCACCATGTTGGCCAAGCTGATCTTGAACTCCTGACCTCAGGTGATCCTCCCACCTCGGCCTCCCAAAGTGCTGAGATTGCAGGTGTGAGCCACCATGCCAGCCTAATTCTCCATAGAGACAGGGTCTTTACAGCACCTGTAGTCTCAGCTACTCAGGAGGCTGAGGTGGGAAGATCGATTGAGCCCAGGAGTTCGAGGCTATAGTGAGCTATGATGATGACACTGCACTCCAGCCTGGGTGACAGAGTGAGACCCTGCCTCTGAAAAACAAAACAAAACAAACAAACAGAAAGCAATGCTCAGCTACTTAATGTCTATTTGGCCTTGTAACATCAAAGAATGATTAGCTATCACACAAAAACAAGAAAGAGGTGGTATGAAAATAATATTGAAGAATCCTGAAACCAAGCCTTTTATCCTAGGGCTAATCTTTATCAAGTTATAATCTCTCTAGATCTCAGTTCTTTCATCCATAAAATAAAAAGATCACAGACTACATTTTAAGTTCCCTTCTAAATCTATGATTCTTTTTACTGGTTAAACTGGAAAAGCAGGGATAAAGAAGAATGAAATAAAGAATATTTTGAACTGATATACAGTCAATTCTGTTCTAATACTAGTTTCAAAAATGCAAATTTTTTCCAACAAAGGGATATATTAGGGAACACTTTGAGCGTAATTTAATTTTTGCATTTGATTATGTCATTTAATTCACAGGAAACACTAGGTGAATGCAGAAAAGTACACTCAGTGGAACCAATCAGCATAGGAATACACATAGTGTATACATACACAAATATATCTACTGGCCTTCTCAGTTCACTGTGTTATAAGCCACATCCACCCATTCACCTTTGCTATTATAACTTTTGTAAGATTTCAGATAATCCTTTTACTACTACAAGCTGCAATCCTTCCAATACCAGGCCACAAGCAAACTTCAAGTCTTCTGCAAAGTAAACAGCCACATTTATTGTAGTATTTATGCACTTTTAACCATTTAACATATGTAAAATCATGCTACCATTTTTAATCTTTTTTTAATTTTTATTTTTTCAGAGAGAGGGTCCTGCTATGTTGTCCAGGCTGGAGTGTAGTGGCATGACTGTAGCTCACTGTAGCCTCAAACTCCTGGGCTCAAGCAGTCCTCTCACCTCAGCCTTTGAGTAGTTAGGACTACAGGCATGAGCCACCATACCTGGCTAATTTATTTTTTTTTTATTGTAGAGACTGAATCTCGCTATGTTGTCTCAAACTCCTAGCCTCAAGCTATCCTCCTGCCTCAGCCTCCCAAAGTGCTAGAATTATAGGCATGAGCCATCATGCATGGCTAATTTTTAATCTCTTTTTTAACTGACAAAGTTTTTTAAGTATTGTGTCCCTAACTCCGTTTTCCCAATAAGCTTTGTGGTTTTTACCACATATTAATTTTTCATAACTTTATATCTTATTGTAGCAGAACTGACTATATTACTGCTTAGGAAAAAAATCAATGACCAATCTATGTTTTCAAAGATAACAGATGGAGGACAGGCATGGTGGCTCATGTCTATAATCCCAGAGCTTTGAGAGGGCAAGATGGGAGGATTGCTTGAGACCACCCTGGGCAACACAGCAAGACTCTGTTTCTAGAAAAAATAAAACTATTAACTGTGCATGGTGATGCATGCCTGTAGTCCTAGCTACTCAGGAGCTTGAAGTGGAAGGATCACTTGAACCCAGGAATTTGAGGTTACAGTGAGCTATGATGGCACCACTGCACTCCAGCCTGGGTGACAGAGCAAGATCCAGTCTCTTAAAAAAGAAAGAAAACAGGAAAACTTCCAGCAAGTCTGCTTAAGCATTAAATTAAAGTCAGAAAAAAGTCTTTTTCTGTAAGCTCTCTCCTGAAGAGCTGTTTTTTCCTCCAAGGTTTCATCCATTGACTAGGTAGCTCCTAAATCATATACTAGATTTGGAGCTGGAAGTGTATCATTCACCTTGAAATAGTGAACAAAAATGTGAATTTTTCAAGAACTAAAGAGGTGACACTGAATGTATCTTCCAAATTTAGATCTTGATTCTGGCAGAAAATCTTGGCAATCTTGGCATGTACCCCTGTAAATGCTTCCTGTTCAATAATGAGATATTCAATAGCTACTCAATACCTACCATGAAAAAATATGCAGCAAAAACATTATTTTTGCAATATAGTTATAATGGTACAGTACAAACCACAGAACCTTTACACTTATTCACTCCTAATTCTTGATTAGCCCAGAGGTAAAGAAAATAGTGAAATAAAAAAAGTCATACAACTTTCCTCGTTTCCATGCACAATAGAAACGGGACAGGCTGGAGCACTTAGCATTGAAGCCAAAGGCTGGCTAAAACCTGCCACCCAGAGCTAAAGGTCCATGCCTAATTTTCATGATTCTGCCACCACAGATAAGCAAAAAAATCCTCGCATTCAAAGGGCTGGACACAGCTGCTACCCAGCAGACATAAATCACTTGTTTTTCCCTGCTTTTATCAGCCAGCATTTTGGTGACTCCTACTGGCATCCTGAAAAATCATCACCTTTCGGGTAAAGCTCATATAGAGTCATTTAATCAAATTTAACACTGTCTGACAGCAGAGAATATGGAAATATGATCTAACTAAGACAACCAGTGATAAAAGCCTAAGAAATGTGCAAAAGGCCACTGTAGATTTTCTAGCCAGCTTTCTCTCAACATCATTACCACAATGACGATGAATATTCATTATCCACTGAGAAAGCATGTAAAAGTGAACTACTGGGTACATGACACCGTCCTAGACACTATGGTGAACACAAAAGAAACAAAGTGCAGTCATTCTCTTCATGGCATTCACATATTTGATGTGGAAAGATATGATATCAGAAATATTTAACTAAGACCAAGAAAATTAAATGGCTAAATGAACTGCACAGATAAATACTGAAGACACTTAAAGGAAGGTCTGCTCAATATGGACTTAAATAGTTCACTTCAAAGAGGAAGATAATTTTGATAGTGTGAGAAGAGACACAAGGGTAGTTCAGGCATAGTCACCAATATAAGCGAAGTCACTGGGGTGGAAAACGCAATGATGAGTCTGGAGACACTGGAATAAAATTACAAGGATGGGAAACAATAAAAAGAAGGAAGGGGAGAGATTGGGTTTCTTTACCTGGAATCTGTCTAATATACCATTATCAGATTAAGAACACTTGTGCAAGCATAAGAACATTGCATTTTTGCTACAGAGAGATATAATATCAAATATCATAATTCCAAAGTAGGTGCCATTTTACAGACAGAAACTGAAATTAAACAGAGAAGCTAACTAATTTGCCCAAGGTTATCAAGTTTAGCAACAGAGCTGAGGTTTGAATGCAGGCCTACTCAACTCCAAAGTCCACGCTCTTTTTTTTACTACTCCATTTTTACTACCTCTTCCTAAAGCAAAGCTCCGATAACATCACTCTGAATTCATACTGTCCCCCTATGACAGTGTATTTTCCCACCCTTTGACTGTCCAGCTTCTCTAGAATGATGCCCTGCACTCAGGAGACTCATATCTGCAGATAAAATTAAAATGACCTGTAACAGTCTACCCTGCCCAAGGGTATTTCCATTGTAACAGGAATCAGAGCCTTAAATTAAAAGAATAAAGCTCTAATACAATCCATGTGGCAGAAACGCCTGTCTTACAAGGGAACAGCTCAAGGCTGTGTCTTTAAGTGTCCATTTTCATAGCTTATAGTTACAGCTCATACAATAAGAATCTCACTCATAAACCCTGAGGGTCTCCATGGAACTCTAACCAGCCCCAATCTGGGAGACAAAAGACCAGATGTGGCTGCAGGTTTGCTTCAGAAGAGAATTGGAAGTCTTGCTATTTTACATTTTAAGCATATGACATAAGAAAATGTAAATTAAATATAGCTGACATTTAAACTGTTACATATTTCTTTAACGGACAGGTTATCAGGTTATCAAAAAATGTGCTTTCTAATAATTCTAGACAACGATCTTACACTGTCTTTGTGACCCAAAAGGAGCATTATCTTTATTACTTCTTACCTTTTTCATTATCAAAGATTTCACAGGTATCAAATGTCAAAAGTGTCATCTTTCAAAGGAACTGAAGTAAAATTCGCATGGGATCTCAGAATGTGTAAAGACAAGTAGGGAGAAGATCATGGCCCTGACAGAGGCTGCTCCCTGGCATTCAGTATGGAAACAGTCTTTACTGTTCATTTGTTAAAACCGGAATATACTAATAGCTAGGTCAAAGGTCCACCTGATAACTTGAAAGTTCCTCATTAAGGATTTTAATAGGCCAAGGAATGATATGAGTTTCAGAATAATGGTTCAAACTTCTACCGTAAGAAAACTTTCAGCCTACCCAAAACCTTCAAAATTAAATTATACATTTTACATAGAAAATAAAGAGGTTAATTTGAAAATAAAAGTGATACTGTTTACTGTTTTTCAACAAAAGCTGTTATACCCCTCATCCTAAAAAATATCCGGTTTTTTTCTGAGACAGGGTCTCACTCTGTTGCCCAGGCTGGAGTGCAGTAGCGGAATCATGGCCTACTGCAGCCTTGAACTCCGAGGCTCAAGTGATCCTCCTGCCTCAGCCTTCTGAAAGGCTGGGATTACAGGCATAAGCCACCACACCTGGCTTATTTTTTAATTTTTTGTAGAAATGTGATCTTGCTATGTTGCCCAGGCTGGTCTCGAACTTCTGAATTCAAGCAATTATCCCGCCCGTCTCCCAAAGTGCTGGGATTACAGGTGTGAGCCACAGCACCCGGCCTTAAAAAAATTGCTTTCTAAGAAATTCTCATTTTATCAATGCTCTAATATACACACCAACAGACTTTTAGGCATAGAATTCTTTTCAGAGAAGCAAGAAGAGAATGTAGCCCTTACATATCTGGATGGCTCTTCTAGATTCTGGTCATTCATGTCAGTAGGAACAATCCGGGTGGCCAGAGGTCCTTCTGCAAAAGGTTTTGGTAACTGACCTCTGAACTCTGATGGAATGAACTGAAGCTGCCAACTGTCAGAAACACAAGGAGAATAAGAAAAACACAGGGGGATAATATTGCTAAATGTACTTGAAACAAACAAGCCAGGAAAATCATGTGAAAAACATTTCTCTTGAAGAAAAAATATTTCTGCTAAAACCTCAACCAGGGAGCACAGAGGCAGAGGTCACAAGTCAGTCCAAAATCATTGAGAAATTTATAATTAGATGTCTCTTGACCCATTTCACCAACTGTTAGCAGTGAAATTCACAACCAAATGGTCATATCATCAAAAAACCAGAGAAGTGCCAATGCTTATTGTCAATTACTATGTGGGCAGAGAGACTTATCAAATAAAGCAAATTATCAGGTGTAGAGAAAAAGAATGAAATGTAATATATGGCACTGAGAACACACTATGGGAGAAATACTTTGTTCCGGAGTAACCCTCAAACATATCTTTATCTATAAAACTATTTCAAACGTAAAAGGCAAAGGCTAAAGTCAACACTTAAAAAACAAGTTTTAATTTAATCATTAATGACTGACACAGGGTCTTTATGAAGCATAAGAAACTACTACCCAGTAAAGCCAAGCTACTGAAGCCATTTCTCAAATGGAGCAACATGACTCATCTTAACCAGATTTCCCTTTAACCTACACAGGACTCTTCTCTGGCCAAATGAAGCAAACTACAAAGAACTTTAGGGCCTATGCTCTCAGAACCACAGAAAGCATAAAGGAAACTGGTATAGACATTTTAACCACAGCCTTCCCCAGTGTCCACATAATGGTGGAGAACTTTCACTACTGTTGGGTCAAGAATGTCTTCTCTCTTCTAGCTGGAGTTTCTAGACCACTTTTAGAAGAGGATTAACATCAGATCATTATAGAAATGTAAATATGAATCCCCACGAAGAGCCACTGGCAAAAGCCTAGGACCCAGGGCATTTTCAGAAGTCCCCAGACACCTGCAGTTATGGGCAGTGCAGAATGTCTACCTAGACCCAGCCCTCAGCCTAATAAGCCTAATGAACACAGGAGGCAGGTACACAGTACACAGGCCCCACAGCTCTCCGACGTGGTAGATAATTCAATAACTCTCTGTGAAAACTCCAAAAGAAAACAAAAATTAGAAGACACTGATATAGAACTGCTCTATTTACTCCTTCATTTAAAACCCTAGGAATTAAAGGACAACTTACTTGTCAGGAAGAAGGAAGCTGCTGGGAAATCGATACCACTCTTTTCCCACACAGACATTCACAGGTCTGCCTTCTGGGACAGTGTGGATGGTTGGGTCTGTAGCAATTCGGTAAAATTCTGGATACAAATCAAGGGGCCCGTGATATCCTGGAAGGGAGAACAGTTAGTGAGAGCCAGAGATGAGTAAGATGAGATTCTCACTTTAATTATACTGCTCATTAATGTCGCACTGTAAGCCACAGGAAATTTAAAAGGCAGGAAGGGCCATAGCCATTCCAGCATGAAGCCTGCTCTGCAGGTATAAAATGTCTCTCTAGCTGGGAACACGGTTACAGCAGAGGCCCTATTCTGCAAAAAATAATTGGCTTTCTTGCCCCTCTCTATGCTCCTTCTTCTTTTTACCTTCATTTTCCTTGAGCATATTTTTAATATTATGGATCCAAACAATGATTATAAGAAAGAATATAATCATGAAATGTTAGCCCAAATTTGCATTTTAAGTTTAAGGCTTCCTTAATTTATCAGCATCCATTAAAAGAAAAAAACAACAAAAATAGACAAAAAATGTACAGTTAATCACACTAAAAGGAATTCTCAATCTTCTCTTCAATCCTAAGATACAGAAGTCATATGCCACTCATTAATATTAAGTCTACAGGTTCTCTTTTTAGAAATGGCTTCTTAGTATAAGCCAAATATGTATTATATAATCATGAATCAAGTAAAACCTAAGAGCAAGTGACTCGTCAGTGTAGGTTAAGATATTCTTAGAAGATCTACCTCTGAACAGTGCCACAGAGCGAGAAAATGACAAGAGCCCAAACAGGAAGACAGTTCCTAATGCCAGCCAATTCGATGTCACAGTATAGTGCTCCAGGCGATATCGTTGAAACACAAAGTGGTAACATTTCTGGAAGTACAGAAAACTGTGCTGATAAAAGAAAATATAATTTGTAGAATATACATAATTACAAGACATCACAGTAACATCAAGAGCGAAGCCAAAAAAGAGGTTCTATTAGGGATCTGAGCATTTGCCAACAGTGAGGTACCTACTCCAAACTCTAAGATAAAAGCCAACTCCTCTAAGACTACCTGTAGTCTTGGCCAGGCAGAGGGCTTGCCAACAATAAAATCTCACTAGCTTCATAGGAAAATTATTTGAATATTTTGCTAGCATTTATAGTCCTAATAAGTTATTTTTTTTAAATATTTAAGCAATGCTTTTTTGGTAGTTTTGATATATAAAGTATTCCAATTTGTTTTTGATATAATGAGTACTAATCTTTACTATCAAAGTTTTTATCAAAGCTATTAGTATCAAAAAAAGGTCTCATGACCAAATAAGAAAAAAGAATTCCCCTTATAGAACACTAGGAACATGCTCTTAATTATATGCTGAATGACTTTACAAACTAGATGAATATAATATAAACACACATGCATGAATTCTGCTGTCTTTGAGTACCTTCTACTCAGACTTCTTCCCTTCCTTCCTTCCCTTCTAGACAGAAACTACTTACAGAAAGCAATTTTCCAATATATAACAAATGGCATAAATCTGTTTGAACCTTTTTCATATTTTTTGGAATCTATCCTGAGGAATCAATCTAAATATCTAAATGAAGATATTTATCCTAGCATAATACTGAATAAATGAGCAACCTAAATTCTACCATGAATTATATCCAATAATTACATTATATAAAGTCAAGTCAATATATTACATATTACATAATAATGCTATATATTATATCCAACTCAGAACATTCTACAGCTACTAAAATGATAAGCACAGAGAATGTTACAATATTAAATTAAAAGGGATATAAAGTGGCTGGGTGCGGTGGCTCACGCCTGTAATCCCAGCACTTTGGGAGGCCGAGACGGGAGGATCACAAGGTCATGAGATCGAGACCATCCTGGCTAACACAGTGAAAACCCCGTCTCTACTAAAAATACAAAAATTAGCCGGGCGTGGTGGCGGGCGCCTGTAGTCCCAGCTACCCGGGGGACTGAGGCAGGAGAATGGTGTGAACCCGAGAGGCAGAGCTTGCAGTGAGCCGAGATTGCGCCACTGCACTCCATCCAGCCTGGGCGACAGAGCAAGATTCCGTCTCAAAAAAAAAAAAAGGGGGGGGGGGATATAAAGTTACATGTATACTTATTATTACAACTATAACAAACCTTGGTATATGATATACAAAAATGCTGGGAGGAGTTTTTGTTAGGTTAATGTGACTAATTTTTCTTTTACTACTTCCTAAATTATCTGCAATAAAGTTCAATTACTTTTATAATTAAAATTATTTTTTAAAACTATCACCTAATATTGATGAACCTTGAAAACATTATGTTAAGAAAAGCCAGTCACAAAAGACCACATATCATATGTTTCCATGTATAGGAAATGTTCAGAATAGGCAAATCTATAAGAACAGAAAGTAGATTAATGGTTACTTAGGGCTGGTGAGAGATGAGAAAGGGAATGGGGGAACAATAGCTAAAGGGTACAGGGTTTTTGATCTAAAACTGACTGTGGTGACAACTGCACACATCTGTGAATAGACTAAAAACCACTGAATCATACCCTTTAAATAGGTAAACTGTATGGTTTGTGAATTATATCTCAAAAAACCTGTTAAGAAAAAAACCTATCATCCTAATTATTTTTTTTCTGCCAACTGCAAATGGTAGCAGAGGGCAATACAGGGTTCTGAGGCTACTGAAGCCGTAAGTACAGAGATATTCAAACAGAGTTAAGATGAGCTCTGCCAGAGAATTGACCTGGGCAGGTTTTCAACCAGGATTACAAAGTGCCCCATACTGTGAACTGCCTGCTGTGATCCCAAACTCTTGAGCAAGTTTTGTTATGATCTAGCAGTTCAAAGAGCAGACATTCCATTACTTCTGCCACAGAATGGAATTCTGCAATTGGATTCCTGTTGGTAACAGAGGCAAAGTAACACACAAATTAACACTGCAAACATGTAATCAGCAAATACAAGTATGGTAAACAGCTAAGCAATCAATATAAGAAGGTTTAATAATATGATCTATATCAGGTTTAATGTTATGGATAAAATATCTTAGGTGGAAGCATTCTGTAATTTGCACTTAAGTTTGTGAGCAATTATTTAATAAGTAAAAAAGAATGAGGCAGATACACTTCTCCCTGAAACTCACCTGAAGTGCAGAGAGAGCCACAGCGCCACAGAGACATATAAGTGGATACACAGGGAAAAGAAATCTCTCCTCTTTGTGAGGCTGGATGAAGAAAATTATAAACCAAATATACATTGGAGCCAAGGTAAGCCAATACGGGTGGCCTAAATTCTGAACTGCAAGACACAGAAAAATACCCATCTTTCATTATATTAGAACAAAACAACATATTTAGTTTTAGTGTTATCTTGATCTCAAATTTAGGAGTATGCCCTAGGACACTCCATAGAATGTTTCTACTCTTGTATTCACACTTTCTCCAATGCCATAAAGGCATCAAAAGGAGAGAAGAATATACTCCTTAGCTCTCCCAAGAGATCTAAACTCTAACAACAAGCACAATACTAGATTTGGTTAGGACACATATAAATGTCAAGTTAATGGCTAATAGAACTTAATAAATTCTACGTTAGATGAAGGAAAAATAAGCCGTCTCCTTTAATGAGTCCTGCCACTAAGACGAAAAGTTCCTGAGTTTAACCAAAAGCATAACATAAATTCATTTCTGGGGTTTTAATTCCAATGTTCTGTTTAATTGGTGTCTCTTATCTATACACCAATCAGTCTGTTCAAATAGCCATGGATCAAAGGAAAACAAAATTGTTGGATTCTCAAATTCATTACTGGTTTTCATCAAGCCACAAATGACGGAGTTTGTTTCAAGGCAAACATAAAAATGCTCTTAAAGGAAGTTCAGTGATTGTTTTCTCTCCATTTTGCAATACTCATCCACTCCGGATCCCCAAATTGGAACAAAAATGTACTTAAAGCATGTGAAAGAATTAAAGGAATGTAATGAACACTAAAACCCAAGAACCTGCTGGAAAGTTCCCGTGGTTAGGTACATGAGAAATGAGAGATAAGCCTGCAACCCACAGTGAAGGCATCTCCTACTGCGTTTACAGGAGTGATAATGAGCAACGCAAATGCGGGCAAATGGTAGATAGACAGCGCCCCCTGGTGTCCACCATGTTAACAGTAAGCCAGTTTACAAGATCAGGATTATCGTCAAGATCCACTTTAGCTATGCCTAATTTAGCATTCCTAGGCTATCACTTTCACTGTAGAAATTCTTTAAGGATAAAAATTCTTGAACTACAATAACAAGATTTTGTTTCAACTTTTGCTCTAAGACATTATGGGATTTTAGATAATAATTTAGAATATATACCTTTCTAGGTAGTATATTTTAAGGGGGAGGTTTTTTGTTTTTTGTTTTCTGAGACGGAGTCTCTCTCTGTCACCCAAGCTGAAGTGCAGTGGCACAATCTCGGCTCACTGCAACCTCTACCTCCCAGGTTCGAATGATTCTCCTGCCTCAGCCTCCTTAGTAGCTGGGATTACAGGCATGCATCAACACACCAGGCTAACTGTTGTATTTTTAGTGGAGATGGGGTTTCACAGTGTTGGTCATGCTGGTCTTGAACTTCTGACCTCAGGTGATCCACCCGCCTCGGCCTCTCAAAGTGCTGGGATTACAGGCGTGAGCCACTGTGCCTGGCCTAAGGTGGGGTTTTTTAATTAGAAGAAAATAAATCCACTTATTGTCCACAAGTAAACAGTCCTTTTCTCTTCTGTACCTTAAAGGCTAACGAGTAATCTTTTTTTAATAAGGCAAAAAATTTTGAAATGTCCTCCATAAAATATACAAAATCACAACCACAGCTAGATATGATGAAATCAAGAGTAATTTCTTTCCTGCTTCTTAATAATTTTCTATGGTTTGGGGGACTTTTTTTTTCTCTTGAGACAGGGTCTCGCTCTGTCACCCAGGCTGGAGCATAGTGGCACAACCATGGCTCACTGTAGCCTTGACCTCCTAGGCTTAAGCAATCCTCCCACCTCAGCCTCCCAAGTAGCTGGGACTACAGGTGTGCATCGCCATGCCCGGTTAATTTTTTAATTTTTTTCGTAGTGACAGGGTCTTGCTATCTCACCCAGGCTGGTCTTGAACTCCTGGGTTCAAGCAATCCTCCCACCTCGTGCTCCCAAAATACTGGGATTATAGGCATGAGCCACTGTGCCTGGTCTTTTTTCTCTTAAAAAAGTATTGGTTCTATTCTAAAATCACATAAAAATATAAAGAAAAAAACAGAAAATGTTTTCTTACTAGGTAGATATGTGCATACATTATGCATTTTAAACCAATATTTTATACTTAAAATTTTATCATACTGTAGAGAACAGCTTAATATCCTGTTTTTTTACTGACGTTACAAGCATTTCCAAATTTTCCACAAGCATAAATAATTATTATTGTTGTTTTTAAAAACAGAGACACAGGTCTCACTATGTTGCCCAGAGTGGTCTCGAACTCCTGGGCTCAAGCAATCCTCCCACCGTAGCCTCCCGGGCAGCTGGAACTATATGCACGTGCCACTGCTCCCAGCTATCATAAATTATTTTTATAGTCAGAAAAATAGCTATTTTCAAAAAAAGAAAAAGTGATCCTTAAGAAATAGAAGGGATAGAGGAATAAGTTAACACCTCAAGGGAGCAAACAGCTGAGTCTAAAATGTGGGACATTATGCAAGATGATGGCCTGGTTTCTTTAAAGAAATCTTCGAAAGAAAAAAAGTAAGATGGGGGTCTTCTTAAAAAGCTTAAGAAATATAACACTAAATTCAGTACGTGACCCTTGTTGAGATTCTGCTTTAAACTAACTATAAAAGGCTATTTTTCAGACAATCTAGGAAATCAATGGGTATTAGATGATATTAAGAAATTACTGATAATTTTATTAGGATAATGGCATTATGGCTACGTTGAAACAAAAGTCCTAACACCAAAGAAAAGTGACTCTGAAGGCTGCTCTAATATTCTTATAATACAACGAACTCATTATAAACCATTAATAGTAGAAAAGCAGAATGGAGGTGGGATGGGGGAACTGATCATATGGCATCCAAATCAGACTGCAAAGTCTGAAATTAAATCTTTTTCCAAACCTCATATGAATTTCTGTTCAAATCTGTCTTCCATAAAAGAAATGAGAGGCACTAGATATCCAGAGCCACGACAACTTGAGAAAACACCAGCTGTGCACTACAGAATCAGAGCAAGCAAAGCAAACGACAAACCAAACTTTCTCCAATAAGGCAGACACAGAAACAAAAAGGAACAAAGAAAAGCATCATGCTTCTGAGGAAGTCCAAAGCTTCCCTTACTTCACTATCAAATTTGGGGAAATCCCTGTATGGTTCAGATTTTATACTTTCGTTTGAAGTACTATCTCGTGGATTACCTTAAGCAACCTATCAGGTTAATATACACTTCTTTAAAAGATAGAAAACTCAAATAGGCTTGTTCTCTTCTGAGATTTTTTTTGAGATGGAGTTTTGCTCTTGTCGCTCAGCTGGAGTGCAGCGGCGCAGGGTCTTGGCTCACTACAACCTCTGCCTCCTGGGTTCAAACGATTCTCCTGCCTCAGCCTCCCTAGTAAGTGGGATTACAGGCATCCACCACCATGTCTGGCTAATTTTTGTATTTTTAGTAGAGATGGGGTTTCACCACGTTGGCCAGGCTGGTTTTAATTCCTGACCTCAGGTGATCCACCCGCCTCGGCCTCCCAAAGTGCTGGGATTACAGATGTCAGCCACCGCGCCCGGCCTCCTTCTGAGATTTTATAAATATTTTTACTTCCCTGGGTGATTGTGTAAATTATATTGACTTCCTCACTTAAAGCAATAATAAAGCTCTTCCTCCTGTCAATTTAATTTGCCACAATTCACCAAATCTTCACAAGGGTTCAATGGATCAACAAACACAGACTGAAAATTCAGTAAGCCAACCATTTCCATAGGAAGAATGTGGAAAATAAAGTAAGTAGGATTTTCCTTCAGTTCTTGGTATACACCATTACTTGCTCTTTCCTCCCAAAACACCTACCATCTCTTATGCCACTCACCATGAAATCTCTGCAGCAGGTATTCCATAAGAGAAGTCAGTGGTAGGACTAGGAGAGCCAAAGCAAAGGCTACATTGAAATTCAGAAATCCATTAATTAAATAGAAATACCAGGGTTCTGTACCTGAGGGAGACATAAAGGTAAGAAATCATTAGTGGATGCCTTTAACACCTATTACGGTGCTTGACATATAATGTTCTTTGTTGGAATAACACTGATGATCCTATGCCTCATGGGAATGAGAGTGCACAGCCCACTCTTCCCATGCTAAGCTACACAAAAGAAGCACAAGAGCGAGATGGAAGAGAATGGGATTGGTCATGAGGATTTAGGGAGAAATCAAGTTTCAAATAGTTAGCTGTATTTTCTATACTGACCACTATATCTAGCCCAAATTGCTATGCCCCAATGGAACTAATACTTTTGAGAAGCACCAAATAATTTAAATCGCTTTAGAGCCACATAGGGCTAAAATAATAAAACTGCCATTTCAATTTAACTATTCTCTCAAGATCGCGCAGACCAAAGGAAAGAGTGATAAAAAAACTTAGTTGGTGGCTGGGTGTGGTGGCTCATGCCTGTAATCCCAGCTACTAGGAAGGCTGAGATGGGAGGATTGCTTGAGCCCAGGAGGTTAAGGCTGCAGTGGGCTGTGGTCGTGCCGCTGCACTCCAGCCTGGGCGACACAGTGAGACCCTGTCTCAAATAAAAATAAAAATAAGGAACTTAGTTTGAGCTATTCAGGCATCTCCCATTTTGTTTTCATCTGCTTGTCCCATTTACATTCTAGCATCTTTCCCCTTGATATGCTCAACCACTTATAGTCGCGTACATTGGGCAACATGTGTTTGGTATAAAGCAACAACCCGTTTTTCTTAGATCATGTTCAGAGGCCCAGGCCTTGCTGAGAAGCTTTAAGGATTCAGAATGAAGCAAAATCACTAAAAACACAAGTCTTACTCACACTATTTTTTATTCTTTAACTCAAAATCCTTACACCCAAATGATGAGAAACAGACCCCCTCTGCACATTTAGCAGGTTTTTCATCTGCTTTTCCCCTCTGTATGATTACTTCAATCAAGAAGTGAATGACACATGCGGGTTTTAATCACTGTGTGTTGTGACACCCGCCTTGCACCATAGCAATTTCCTGCAATCAGCATTGCTTAAAAGGGTAATCAGAAGGCAGAGGAATAGTCAGAAAAACCTGACATTCTTGCAGCTTGCACAGCAAAATAAGATTAGAAACCAAACCCATAATGCTAGAAACATTTAGGGGAGAAGTAAGAGGGAGGGAGGTTACACTAAGGAAAAGTTCAAGTTCAACTGTGCGTCACCTTTGGGGGAAGCTCACTCCTTCCTGTCTCAATACAATGATAGAGAATATTCATGAACAGAGGTCCTATTCCAGGCCCAGTTCATTAGGGACATTTTAATCTTGTATTCTTTACAAATATGCATTTGGGTTATAGAAAACTAACGGATGGTTTTATTTTCAAATCAAAAATGTCTTTTCTGAATCTTAATTAGAATTTAACAACATTATTTTTTAAACTGAGTCCTTTAGGATCCAATTTCCAGAGAGGTAAGCTTTTGCACAATCCTCTCCTGACCACCAGTGCGGAAGCAGGGCTAGCAACCTCTGACTCACCTTTTTCTTAACAGGATTCTGGAAATCTGAGCTTGTGAAGAAAAACCATAGAGTGACCAGACAGAAAAGGGGTTATCCTTTCTATTATCTATTACAGATGTCAAGCACCAATAGGAAAAAGCCACTTGTCTCTTTCATATTTGCAAATACAGACTGTTTTTTTCAGGAAAGCACTTTAGCTTCCAGAAAATATTTGTCTCTAACACAATTTACTATACCCTCCTGTTACAGCTATCTTTTTATCTAGGTATACTGTACTCTGAGATGAGGAAACAAAAGTATTAAGCTGGTAAATGCAATCATTTTTATGTATTCAGAGCTCATAAATCAAGTTTCCAACTAGGCTGTGAACATTTCATAACAGACTGTTATTTCCCTGAAAGATGGGGCAAAAATTGGGGGATAAGCCAAAAGTGAAGAAGGTTCAAGTGTCAACAGTCTTAAAAACAAGGGCAAAAGGGAACAAAAAGAGTGACTTCTATCAGCCAGAGTCCTCCCCTGCTTGATGACACATCTGCCTTAGGAAAGCAAAGGGTATAAACTTTTATCTCTTTTCAGGGAGATATTCAATGCTGCTGCTCAGAAAACATCAGAGCTGAACTATGCAAAAAACCATGTCAGAATGACAAGCTAAACGCTGAACTGGTGCAAGATGTTTAGGTGAAGGAAAGCTGGCAGCAGGGTCTCTGCAGGGAGTGACTCACCCATCCTCCTCTTTATGGAAAGTGCCTCAAGTCCTTTCAATCAAATGAGCTAAGGGAAGCTTTCAAAGAAGCTAAAAGAAGGGATAATGTTTACTGCTCCATAGATTGAATGAAGGAGAACTACTTCCCAAAGTTATAATTTTATAGACCTGTAGGAACTAAATCATAGTAAGACATCCTTATAAATGTCAAATTTGTACCACCGAGAGGGAAAAGCCACTAAGTTCAAGAGAAATGATTAACAAAAGAGCAAAGGCTCTAGAACAGTTCTGGCTGGCAGTGAATTCTAAGCAGGACTGATAAGACCCCACTGGGGCTTCTTCCTCTGCCACTGCAATTATGGAAACCTGTGGGCCTCCCAACAGAGGGCATTTGCGGGTATCGTCTGAAACTTTCCATCCAGTGATCAGACAGATGTTGATAAAACACATAAACAGGCAATGGGATCCTGTCCTAAGCTGCAAAGTGGCAACCTGAGCAGATTCACTGTTCTTTCTGAGGCAAGAGTATTTCCTGTAAGTGTATTCCCATGCCTTCTCCAGGCCTGTGCACTCCTCAGCAGAGAGCACCACTCTTCACTCACCAGACAAAAATACTTGCCAGCATCAACATCTGAGAACTTGAAATGTTATGAGGGGCAAAATCAGTGACAAGACCAATCACTTTCTTTTCTGCAACACTAAATTTCGCCTCTTGATCTCTGACCCCACAGAGACATTTTGCCTAAGACTTCACAATTCTAGTCTATCCTATTCTAAATTTTCTAAGTGCCAAATGTTCTTTACCTTATCCAAACACTCCTTCTTTCTTCAACAAAAGGGTCTGGTACAGCGCTCCCATGTAAAAGGAGAACTTGCCAGTGTGCACGTCACTCTGCCACTCAAGCTCGCTAGGGGCTCCTGATCACTTTCCAAACCAAAATGCACAAACCTTCAAAGGTATAATTTTCCACCTATTCTATAGATTGGATCCTATCTTCTCCCACCCTCAACTCATGCTCTCTGCTTTAGTAAGCTTATTCTCTGGTAAAGTCTCAGTAGCCAAACTCCAGGGTTTTGCTAAGGGTCTTGTTTTCAGTGCAAAGAACACGGGCTTTGAAGTCAGACAACACTAGACTCTTATCCCACTTTTGCTACTTTTTTAACTATGTGGCATATTCCCCACCATCTCAACCTCAGTTTCTTCATCCAGGAATACAAATAAATAAGGCCTGTCTCAGAGTGTTTTGAGTGAAAAAAGATGGTATGTGAATAACTTCTGACACACAGTAGGCATTCAATAATCAGAAGATATTGTAATTAATATCTTTCAAAATGTACTCCCTTTATTTTCCCCAGCTTCAAATGAAAGGTGTCAGCTCAAGTCTAGAATGTCTCACTAATACATGCTACCTAGCCAGGAAAGTGTAGAAAGGTCCCTTTGAAAACCAGGAACAGTTCGTGACCAGCTTGACCAACATGGAGAAACCCCATCTCTACTAAAAATTAGCTGGGTGTGGTGGTGCATGCCTGTAATCCCAGCTACTCAGGAGGCTGAGGCAAGAGAATTGCTTGAATCCAGGAGGCAGAGGTTGCGGGGAGTCGAGGTCACCCCACTGCACTCCAGCCTGGGCAACAAGAGCAAAACTCCATCTCAAAAAAAAAAAAAAAAAAGAAAACCAGGAACAATAGAAAGGGTAAACATTTATATGATTATAACCACAATGGAGTGATTGAAATCATCTTGCTCATGTCTGAATAGTTTCTACCTAAAATCCAACCAATGCTGTAAAAATAAGTTTTTATAAAGAACTCAATATTCAATCTTTTTGCTTCAGCAGTCCCTATATTTGACATTCCATTTGTCAGAAATGTACCCCTCTTGCATTTACTAAGGACACTCCTACTCTTCCTTCCAGGCTCAGCTCAAGAGCCGCACCTTTCTTGACACCACCAGAAGGACATGCTCCTATGATTCCCTATCTTTCCCCTGTAGCACATAAAACACTGTCCTGTAATTATCTATTTGTGTGTCTGCAGCCTAATTAGACAGTAAGTACTATGATGAAACAAGATTAATGCTCAAAAGCAATTTATTCAATGTTTCTTTCTTTCTTTCTTTCTTTTTTTTTTTGAGACAGGGTCTCCCTCTGTCGCCCAGGCTGGAGTGCAGTCGTGCAGTTTCGGCTCACTGCAAGCTCTGCCTCCCGAGTTCAAGCAATTCTCGTGCCTCAGCCTCCTGAGTAGCTAGGATTAAAGGCATGCACCACCACGCCCAGCTAATTTTTGTATTTTTAGTAGAGATGGGGTTTCACCATGTCGGCCAGGCTGGTCTCGAACTCCTGGCCTCAAGTGATCCACTCACCTCGGCCTCCCAAAGTGCTGGGATTACAGGCGTGAGCCACCACACCTGACCTTCAATGTTTCTTTAACTGAAGCCCATTTGTCCATCCAGTCAAGAAATATTAATAGGCTTAGTATGTTCTTACACATGAGAAATAGCACTAAGAGATGTATGCAAAAACTATCTTTTTTCCTGTTTTTAAATTGTTTTAAGTTCTGGGGTACATGTGCAGGATGTGCAGGTTTGTTACATAGGTAAACTTGAGCCATGGTGGTTTGCTGCACAGATCAACCCATCACCTAGATATTAAGCCCAGCATGCATTAGCTATTATCCTGATGCTCTCTCCCTCCCTCCGCCCCCTCCACAGGCCCCAGTGTATGTTGCTCCCCTCCCTGTGTCCATGTGTTCTCATCGTTCAGCTCCCATTTATAAGTGAGAAGATGTGGTGTTTGGTTTTCTGCTCCTGTGTTAGTTTGCTGAGGATAATGGCTTTCAGTTCCATCCATGTCCCTGCAAAGGACATTATCTTGTTCCTTTTTATGGCTGCATAGTATTCTATGGTGTATACAGCACAATGCATTTTTAATTTTCAGATAAGAAACTGTGTGCTTAACATAGCTAATGAGGCACCTGGAGCAGGAGACTCTTGTAAAACAGCCAAAACAATGCCAAATAGTGCCCAACATGTAATAAAGTGAAAGAGCTAGCATTTCCAATACAAAAGACATGCTATCTCGCTGTCTGACAATTTTACTGCCTCAAAACATCTAGTAAAATACAAGTCTTTTATGTATACTGAATGGCCTCACCAATTATAATAAAATTAGCTGACAATCATGAAGTACTTTTTGATTTAAAAGGTATTTTATTTCTATCTATTATAGTATTATTATTTGGTATCACGAAAATCTCAAGCTAGCACCACAACAGGTCTAACTAAAGTGATTCTATGATACAACTGTAAATGACACACTAATGTAACCCAATGGATACCCCAGAATTTATCCATTCATTGATTCTTGACAGATCTTTCCTGTAAGTCTGGAATATACAAGGAATTCCTACTCCTAAGATGGAAGAAGTATTCTCTCTGCAGGCCTCCTAAACCAAAAAGGAGTTAACACTCTCAAAGAATGGAAATCAGGCCAGGCATGGTGGCTCATGCCTGTAATCCCAGCACTTTGGGAAGCTGAGGCAGGCAGATCATTTGAGGTCAGGAGTTCAAGAGCAGCCTGGCCAACATGGTGAAATCCCTGTCTCTACTAAAAATACAAAAATTAGCCAGGCATGGTGATGGGTGCCTGTAATCCCAGCTACTAGGGAGGCTGAGG
The DNA here is from genome assembly GCF_000001405.40 of Homo sapiens. Classification (NCBI taxonomy): domain Eukaryota; kingdom Metazoa; phylum Chordata; class Mammalia; order Primates; family Hominidae; genus Homo; species Homo sapiens. The sequence continues at coordinate 111,850,612 of NC_000011.10, forward strand.
CAGGCGAATAGCTTGAATCCGGGAGGCAGAGGTTGCAGTGAGCAGAGATCGCACCACTGCACTCCAGCCCGGGTGACAGAGCGAGATACTGTCTCAAAAAAAAAAAAAAAAAATCAGACAAAAATTTTTTTCTTTTACCAAATTCAAAGATGAGGTAAAGGCACACAAATCCTGCCATCAAGGAACAACTGCCTAAAGTCTGGCTGACTGCAGCACTGTATCAGTCCTGTTCATGGTTGGTATGCCAATTCTCTCTGTTTCAACAAAGTTTTTGCTACCCCCAGGAAAGTGATCAGTTTCTGTACATCCAAAATAGCAAAATCTGAACTGAAGCTATCTCAGGTTCATTAAAGTAGGCAGAAAGAAGTCCCAAGGACTCTTTCCCTGTTAAACGCTGACTGAAATGAACAGCAAATGCCAATATCCCAGGAAAGACTGGCTACTGCTCTACTGGATCTCAAAACCTACCACAGGGGTTCCTGACTGACCCACTGTTAAATTAGCACCGTAAACTTAAATCAGAATTTATTCCTTCTTTCCTACTTTCCCTACCACCCTGATTATTCCTATATTTAAGAGCTTCATCCCTGGGCGTGGTGGCTCATGCTTGTAATCCCAGCACTTTGGGAGGCCAAGACTGGTGGATTACCTGAGGTCAGGAGTTGGCAACTAGCCTGGCCAACATGTCGAAACCCCGTCTCTACTAAAAATATAAAAATTAGAAGGGTGTGGTGGCGGGCGCCTATAATTCCCGATACTCAGGAGGCTGAGGCAGGAGAATTGCTTGAACCCAGGAGGGGAGGTTGCAGTGAGCAGAGATCATGCCACTGCATCCAGTCTGGGTGACAAGAGCGAAACTCCATCTCAAAAAAAAAAAAAAAAAAGAGAGAGAGAGATTCATCAATCCAGAGGGATACAAAAAAATCTGTCACTTTCATAAGTCTCTCACAAAAGGTTTTATAAAGAGTTAGAGTATCAGTAACCCATTATAAAGGTGGAGAAGTCAATTTTTCAAAATTAACACAAATTAACTCAATTTATTCACCCACAGAGAGTAGATATTGTGTTTCTAACAGGCTCTCTGTGAAACAATTTCTACTGTGCAGTCTAGATCTAAGATCTTTTATTGCCTTGTGAAATAGAATAAAATTTTACAAGTAAACTAAAACAAGAGGCAATCACAAACAAGCAAACTCTCCCTAGCTAAAGGGAGACATCTAGAGGCAAAAGCTTAATACTGGGGCCTTTTCTCACACCCCTGGGGATCTTAGAGCCATAAAGGAGCTTTTTTAAAGTTCTTTCACTTAGTAATTATTCTCTAACTGTGCAATTTGTGAATTCAATCCACTGAACAAAGCACTGCTTATCTTAAACTATTACTTGCCACCTAGAATGATAATATTCCCAAAATTCCAGAAGACTCAAGTAAATCTCATTCATATTCTTACTTTAAATCTCCTTATTCAATCTGTTGGTTCTATTGGCAAAATGGCACAGGCAAATGATGGACATGGCTAGTGACAAGACTTAAATTGACAGGAGTACAGATAGATATAATCTTAACCTGCTTCATAGCAGAACCCCAAAGCAAGCCCTTATACAGAATGTTCCAAGACCCTCAAAAGATTAAGGCTGAAGAAACTATAATTATTTTAATGAAAAAACTGCCTCTCTCGTGAAATGTTTGCTGAGTTGGCTGATTTGATCCAAAAGATCTCTAGCTCATCCCCCCATTACTGTAACTAACGCAAATTCCTTCAGGGGCCAAATGAAACTGGCTGGTGGAGTGAAAGGCATCAGGGAAGGAGTGGAGATGGGGTAAACTGAAGACTGCATCCCCAGATTAAAGGCATTCCATTTTCTCTCTTAACCCTAAGCTGGTCAACTTCCCCACCCTCCCATGCTGACCCCAGCCCAGCCCCAATCGCTGTAACTTTGTCTACAGATTTTCCAAACTTTCTCCCCAAATGCTGGAATTGAAGTAAAGCAAATCTGGAAGAGAAAAAGTAACATCAAATGTGTGTATATATAGAAAATGTCTGGGCCGGGCACGGTGGCTCATGCCTGTAATCCCAGCACTTTGGGAGGCCAAGGCGGGTGGATCACCTGAGGTCAGGAGTTCAAGACCAGCCTGGCCAACATGGAGAAACCCCGTCTCTACTAAAAATACAAAAAAATTAGCCAGACATGGTGGCGGGCTAATAGCTGTAATCCCAGCTATTCGGGAGGCTGAGGCAGGAGAATCACTTGAACCCAGGAGGTGGAGGTTGCAGGGAGCCAAGATCGCGCCACTGCACTCCAGCCTGGGCAACAAGAGTCTAACTCCACCTCAAAAAAAAAAAAAAAAATGTCTGGGGTATACTCCCAGGTGTTAGTAATAGTTATATGGAGATGATAGTATTATGCTTTCATTTCCTTCTCCTATCATACTGATTTTTTAATAAGAAGAGAAAAAAGTAACTTTTAATTAAAAAAAAAAAAAGCATCAAAAGCCATAGCATACCCAGAGTCCTCAAAACTCTGAAAGTGAAAATAACAAACAGGAAAAATAGAGAGCCAGTATTGGAATATCACATTAATCAAGGAGAAATATTTGAGTGGCTACGTGTCATCATTGTGCTATACTCAGATGTCATTTTTAAATAGGAAAAGATAATATCAGCCAAGAAATGCTACATCTAATAATACGAGGCAACTGAATTAAAATGCTGAAGTTCAGGCAAATTAAGCTATCTCCTAACACTTGCCCAAATTTCACAAAGCCTTACCATAAAGATCAGGTCCATGAGGAGTAAAGACATTATACAAAACAATGTTGAGTGGTGCAATCACCAACTTCCCATAATAGTAGCTGTCAATGACCACCACAGGCACCTAAAACAGAGCAGAAAATAGTTTTGATCTAGAAACATTCTCAAAATGCTAATAGGATAAACCTGAGAATGAAAAACAGAATAAACTCCTGATGTTCCTTTTTTCACATCAAAGTTGCTTTCATTACAACTTTAGGACAAAGCAAGTAAAAAAGAAAACTCACCAGAAATAGTATGAGGGCCATCAGCGACCAATGAAAGAAACTCTTCCACCTGTGTTTCATGACCAGCAAATCAAAGGCAATGGGTAAACTATTTAACAGAGAAACAGAGCGGGGAGTTAAATAAATACTGACAGAGACAAATCAGATTCACACATACCTCATGCTGAACTGAGAATAAAATGCCTCTGCCAGTTATAGTGAGGGAAGAAACCTGGTATGTGAGAGGATGTCGTCACAGGACCTGTCAGAGTGCTCTGTATCCCACTGATGCACAAGAAATAGAATTACTGAGCTGCTGGAATGAATTCCATTTTATACACATTTATGGGTAACAGAAATTTAAAATATATGTGCCCTACTGTCTTACACCCACCCTGCCAAATAAATAAGTACTAACCTCACCCTTCCATGATTTACTAGGATTTTAGTAATAACCTTATTACAGACTTTTTTTTTTTTTTTTTTTTGAGACAGGGTCTCACTCTATTGCCCAGGCTGGAGTGCAGTGGCGCAATCTCGGCTCACTACCGCCTCCATCTCCTAGGTTCCAGCATTCTCCTGCCTCAGGCTCCCGAGTAGCTGGGACTACAGGCACAGGCCATCAGCCCTGGCTAATTTTTTTTTTTTTTTTTTTTTTTTGAGACAGAGTCTCACTCTGTCGCCCAGGCTGGGTGCAGTGGTGTGATCTCAGCTCACTGCAACTGCCGCCTCCTGGGTTCAAGCAATTCTCCTGCCTAAGCCTCCCAAGTAACTGGGACTACAGGTGTGCACCACCACACCCCGCTAATTGTTTTGTATTTTTAGTAGAGACAGGGTTTCACCATGTTGGCCAGGCTGGTCTCAAACTCCTGACCTCAGGAGATCTGCCTGCATCGCCCTCCCAAAGTGCTGGAATTACAGGCATGAGCCACCACGCCTGGCCCCATCTTTGAATTTATATGGCATCATCATCTCTATCATTGATTTAGCAATGTCATGTGCTGTCACAGTACCTCTTCTGTGATTTGAACCTCCATGTTGTTATGTAAATTCCGTATAACATTTTGCGTTTTTATTTTTTGTCACCCCAACTACTTCCATTTCCATAGCACCTGTATTTCTCCTTTGATAAGTCATACTTTTAATTACTTGTCCAATATCTGTCTTTCCTACTAAAATGTTAAGTTCCAAAAGGGCAGGAACCATGACTGTCTAATTTCTAAAATATCAGCAGTATCTAGCACAAAGCATTCAATGAATGACAGTATACTGATTGCTAACTGACTAATTGTGATCCTGAAATCACTTATCTTGGTAAAGGCAGACTCATCGAAATGTGGCACCCAAGAGGTATTTGAGGAACTCAGTGAAATTCAATGTAGATGAAATAGTGAATGAAAGGAATGGAAGAACTGACAAAAAGAAGCTGGAAAAGTAAAAGGAAGACCATGCAGGGCTTTCTGTGTTATCTTTGAGTTTGGATACCACAGGGCAGGGGTTGGCAAACTTTTTATTTAAAGGATCTGACGGTATATATTTTAGGGTCTGCAGGCCACATATGTTCTCTGTTGCATAGTCTTCTCCCTCTGTGTATGTTTGTTGTTTTTTAAAAACCCTTTAAAAACGTAAAAACTATTTAGTTGTTGGGCTATACAAAAACAGGTCAGTCGGCCAACCTCCATGACATAAAGCAATGGAGAAGCTGCCATAGAGTTTAAAACAGGGAAGTGATACAACCACATCTGCATTTGAGGAATATAACTCTAGTGGAGTTTGGAGAGCTGATTTACAGGGGTCAAGACTAGAGAGGAGGAGATCATTTAGGAGGCCGTGTAGTGATCCAGGAACAAGGGGGAGTGAAGACAAGTAATCAGATTCAAAAGATATTCAGGAGATACAACCAATTAACACTGATGGGAAAGAGAGAAGAGTCACAGACAATTTTCAGGTTTCTGGGTCAGTATTGAGGAGACAGCAGTACTATTTACTGGAATAGAAACACAAGTAAAGGAACAGCTATGGAGAGAAGATAATGAATTCAGCAGCTATCTACTAAGCAGCTGGGAATATATGAATGAAGCTCAAGAGAGATAACTGGACTAGACATTAAGCTATGGGAATCACCAAGATGGCTGAGAGATAGCAGAAAGTACAGAAGAGGACCTAAGATACAATCCTGAGGAACATGAAAATCTGAGAATGTGCAAAATAGAATAGAAGAAAGGAATGGAGATGAGGAAACCAGCCTTTAAAAGGCACTTAAGAAATTTTAAAATGGACTATTCTCTTAGTAACTCCCCTCATAAAAATTTACCCCATAGGTAAATTCCCACAAGTGCACAAAGATATCTGTATAATAATGTTCACTGGGCCGGACACGATGGCTCACACCTGTAAACCCAACACTTTGGGAGGCCGAGACAGGTGGATCACGAGGTCAGGAGTTCGAGACCAGCCTGGCCAATATGGTAAAACCTCGTCTCTATTAAAAATACAAAAATTAGCTGGGCGTGGTGGCATGTGCCTGTAAACCCAGCTACTTGGGAGGCTGAGGCAGGAGAATTGCTTGAACCCGGGAGACAGAGGTTGCAGTGAGCCAAGATCGTGCCACTGCACTCCAGCCTGGGTGACAGAGCAAGACTCCATCTCAAAAAAAAAAAAAAAAAAAAGAAAAAAAAATTGTTCACTGAAGCATTGGTTATAACAGTAAAAAAATGAAAACCAAATGTCTACCAATAAGGCAATAAGTAAATCATGGAATGTTATGCAACCAATATAAACAATTATATAAATTTAATATGTAGAATACCTATATATATACAGAATAATTCCATTTGTTTTAAGAATGTAGATAGGTATGTATACAAATATTTATACACACAGCATAATTTTTCTGGAAAGACATATACCAAACTATTAGCAGTGACTATCTTTGAGGATTGAGCTAGCGGAGAAGAAAATTAGGAATTGTTTTTACCTTATACAATCTGGTACTTACTTTTTTTTTTTTTTTTTACAATAAAGATATAATCCTTCTAAAATAACCTTAGCATCAGATTAAAATATTTTCCTAAATTACCTGTGGTACAGGTAAGAAATTAAGGTACCACACACTAGAACAGAAGTAGTGGGAACAAAGAGTATACAAGGAGCTTGGTGGAAAAAAAGATGCTGGGGGCAAGAAAGAAGGAAGACTGGGCCAGGCGCAGTGGCTCATGCCTGTAATCCCAGCACTTTGTGAGGCCAAGGTGAGCGGATCACCTGAGGTCGGGAGTTCAAGACCAGCCTGACCAACATGGAGAAACCCTGTCTCTACTAAAAAATACAAAATTAGCCAGGTGTGGTGGCGCACGCCTGTAGCCCCAGCTACTTGGGGGGCTGAGGCAGGAGAATCACTTGAACCCAGGAGGCGGAGGTTGTGATAAGCCAACATCGTGCCATTGCACTCCAGCCTGGGCAACAAGAGTGAAACTCCGTCTCAAAATAAATAAATAAATAAAAATAAAGAAAGAAGGAAGACGGGAGGAAACTCAGATTTCAAATCCGAGTGAGTGAAAAAATTCACAGAACAGGGTGGTGCCGCGTGGAGAAAACATCAGCTATAGAGTCAAAAAGGCCTGGATTCAAAAGCAAACATAATCTTAAAGGTAAATTATTCAAACTCTCAGAGTCTACTTTCTCATTTATAAAGTACTAATAATTGTATTTCTCCTGCAGAGTTGTTGTAAGGTTTCAAGATAAGGTTTACGAAGGGTTTCACTGTGCCTAACACATAGCAGATGCTCAATGGTCATTATTCTTATTAGAATTAATCATAATAGTAAGTGCTAAGAGAAATATTCTTCCATTTCCCAGAATCTTTGAAAGCCCAATTGATTAACTTCAGATTCTATGCAGACAATATGGAGCTAATCCAACATTAAGATTTACTATATGCCCAGCGATATATGGGAGGAGAACTGTTAGTTTCTTACCCAAGAGCTGCACTGAATGGCCAGCCTAAGATAGCCCCAGCTGCTACTCCCAGCACAGCAATGGAAGTCTTGTCCATATACCATCCAGTCATGGCTATCAACGTAGTGTACATACAGAAGCTACTAGGAAGGAATGCTGCAAGAGTAAAGAAGTGAAAAAAGGCAGGAGGACAAGAGCTCGAGGTTAATTAGGTATCAATTAAAAACTGATTAAAAATTTACCTACATTATAAAATGTCAATAAACAGGTACATAATTGGGGAAATGCTATATTAGAAAGGACAGCAAAGTGATATTCTTTTTTAAAAAAATGAAGTTCAATGACTCTTATTTTTCTCACTCCTGGTTTTTTTTTTTAGACGGAGTCTTGCTCTATCACCAGGCTGGAGTGCAGTGGTGGGATCTCAGCTCACTGCAACCTGATTCCCTGGTTCAAGCGATTCTCTTGACTGAGCCTACCGAGTAGCTGGGATTACAGGCACGTGCCACCACACCCAGCTAATTTTTGTATTTTTAGTAGAGACGGGGTTTCACCATGTTGGCCAGGCTGGTCTCGAGCTCTTGACCTCGTGATCTGCCTGTCTCGACCTCCCAAAGTACCGGGATTACAGGCGTGAACCACCGCACCTGGCCTCTCCTTCCTGTTTTTTTAGGTACCAACCCAATTATACAATTCTAACCATGTAATTCCTCTCCCAGCCTACACCTCAAATCAAAAACTCATAGAATTCCACGCTCCCCAGGAACACCCCATGATTATATTTCCAGGAAGGGAATATGCTTTAAAAGACTTAGAGCCATTGCTGACAATTTACTTCTGAAGAAGCTTATCTTCCATTGGTCCTCTGAGACTGTCCTGGTCCTAACCTCTAGCCCCGGAAATTCTAGAAAGCCTCCTCAAGGGCCAGATATTGTATGGCAGCAATGCTTTGCACTCTCCACCTGCTGACACAGATAATCTGGCCTTTAAATAGCCCCCTAATTAGTTCCATCTACCTCAACCTTGTTTTATACAGCAGAGGACAGAGTACAGGGTCTCTGGAACAGAAACAATTGATTAAAGTGTTTCTAGTAACTCTGAACAAAAATGCAGATCTGCCTCTTCTGCTGCAGAAAGTCTGAATCAGTAGGGAAGAAAAATCAGTATCAACTACAAAACAACCACAATTAATAGGCAGTGAGGTTTTTTTAAACTCAGCAAAGGGTTCAGAGGCTCTGTATGAAAAGATGCCTTCAACTTATCTGTGTCTCAAATGAGATTACAAAACTAAAGATATTCTAAGGAATTTTCTACATATAAAGATCAATTGTAGGAGTAGCAGGCCAGGCACAGTGGCTCATGTCTTTAATCTCAGTACTCTGGGAGGCCAAGGTGTGGGGGGCTGCTTGAGGCTAAGAGTTTGAGACCAGCCTGGGCAACACAGTGAAACTCCATCTCTACAAAAAACTTTAAAACTAGCCAGGCATGGTGATGCATGCCTATAGTCCTAGCTACTTGGGAGGCTGTAGTGGAAAGACTGCTAGAGCCCAGGAATTCAAGGCTGCAGTGAGCTACGATTGTGCCACTGCACTCTAACCTGCCTAGGTGAAGAGCAAGACCTTGCACTTGAAAAGAAAAGAGGCCACGTGCGGTGGCTCACACCTGTAATCCCAGCACTTTGGGAGACTGAGGCGGGTGGATCACGTGGTCAGGAGTTTGAGAACAGCCTGACCAACATGGTGAAACCCCATCTCTATTAAAAATAAAAAAATTAGCTGGGCGTGGTGGTGCACGCCTGTAATCCCAGCTACTCAGGAGCCTGAGGCAAGAGAATCGCTTGAACCTTGGGAGGAGGGGGTTGCAATGAGCCGAGATGGCATCACTGCACTCCAGCCTGGGCAAACAGAGCGAGACTCTTGTCTCAAAAAAAAAGAAAAGAAAAGAAAAGAAAAAAAGTAGTAGGAAAGCAACTTAAAAAACATCTGAGGTACACCCTTTACCAATAAATGTCAAATAATAATGATGCCATCCAAAGCTGTCAGTTCCAGCTGCAGTGTAGAGGACAAAGGGGGCAGAGGAATCTGAGGGTAGAGCACAGATGCATTTAGGACAGGCTCTCAAAGTCACTCTGGAGTACAGCCCTGACATCTCTGCAGAACAACATCAATTTTGATATATTCAATAAGGGAAAAGTAAGCATATAATTTTGTGCCAGATACTATGTTTTTGTGTATACTCTGTATATACTAGATCCTGGTACACACAAGCAGAAACTAAAATTGAGACAATTATATCCAGTAACTTAATTTTTCTGGAGAACTGGGAATAGACTACCATTTGGCAGTGGACCAACTTGATTCAGCTTATACAACACAAATGTTCAATGGCAGAACAGTCTGAAAGCCAATGCTCTAGAGTGAGGTTTTTATTCTAAATTTCCAGAAGCTTATTATTAAAAGAAAGCCCAGCAGAAGATGCACATAGAATACATATCAAATAATGTATCATCAGTAGAAAACAGAATCATCAACAACAGGTCTTTATGTACAAATAACTTCTTTAAACAAAATAAAAGAATTACTTTCTTTCCACTAATGGCCAAGAAAGGAGGTGGGTGGTTGATGCAAGAATGGAATAGAAAACATCCTGGTGAGACTACCAGCTCTACCATTTATGAATTTTGACTTTTAGTAAATCATTTCATCTACGTTTCAATGTCCTTACCTGCAAAAGTGAGAAAATGTTTTTCTTACTTACATGGTAGGATTGTTACAAAGGTCAATCAAGATAATGTAGATAACAGTGCTCTGCAAATTATTGACATGTTCTACAAATATAACCTACATTTGGACAAATGCTTCCTTTAAATGCAACTGTGAACTATTGGTGAACCTGCAATTCCCTCATCTGCCCTTTTACTTACCTGGTGATGACCTGCAATTCCCTCATCTGCCCTTTTACTTACCTGATGATGAGCAAAACATGCCAGTGCTGAGAACCAAGAAGGCTAGCATCATTCGACTCACGTGCAACCCAAACTTCTTGCACACAGCCCTAGGAAAAAGGCAAAGACTATCAGCATTGAGAATATTAGGAATAGACATTTCAAATCAAAGGAGAAAAACACGTACCACAGATAACACTGAAGATCTAAAGTCAAACACAAAACTACCTTGTCAGGTTTGTTAGCAATTCACTGTGCATAAGAAACCCAAACATTCTTATTTCTGACACAGAAGAGAAGCTCCCTACCTAAAAGAAAATGTATTCTTTACATGCTAAGATTATATCTATCAAGTGGAAAATAGAATGATGTGGTGAAAAATAATAGACCTCAGATACAGGTGGGCACACATTCAAATTCTGGCTCTGCCACTTACTAGCAGTGGAACCCTACTCTGGTTGAATAATGTCTCTGTCTGATTCCTCAAGCATAAAATAATGATAATAATACAAACTTTGTAAGGTTTCTGTGAGGACAATGCAAGGAAAAGTGCTTAGGAGAGTGCCTGGCACATAGTTGCTCAATAAATGGTAGTTGTCAGAAAAAAAGGCTAGGAGATAGATGAAAATGTGAATAAGTGGTTAAATCAGTGTTTCTCAAACTTAAGCAATTACGTATCTTCTTCTAATTCTTTCTTGTAGGTGTGAACCCCACAAATTAAATGTATTTAGGCATTATTACTGCTTCACTCAGTCAATGTTTGTTCGGACATACCCACGTGTTCATCATTTCCTAGCTCAGATTCCTTACTGCATTTCAGAGCTTCTTTCTGAAATAATTTTGCTTTTTCCTAAGTACCTCTTTTAGAAGTTATTTCAATAAGAATCTGTTAATGATAAATTCCGTTTTTTTGGTTGGTTGGTTTCCTTTCGTTTCCTTTCTTCCCCTCCTCCTCCCACTCCGAGATAGAGTCATACTCTCTGTCGCTCAGGCTGGAGTGCAGTGGCATGGTCATAGCTCACTGTATCCTTGAACTCCAGTGTTCAATGGAACCTCCTGCCTCAGCCTCCTGAATGGCTAGGAGTAACTGTGACTACAGGCATGTGCCATCACATCCAGCTAATTTTTTGTAGAGATGAGGTCTTGCTATGTTGCCCAGGCTGATCTCAAATTCCTGAGCTCAAGCAATCCTCAATGATCCTCCTGCCTAAGTCTCCCAAAGCACTGGGATTACAGGCTTCTTCCTTTTTTTTTCCCTTTCTCTTTTTTTTTTAAACTGAAAAGTCTGTATTTAGCTCTTGGTCTTAAAAGATGGCTTAACCTAATATACAATTTTAGGATGAAAGTTATTTTCTCTCAGGACTTTGAAGATATTCTTTTTTGGTCTTCTGGCTGTTAAAAAGTCTTCTGTCAGTGTAATTGCCTAACACTCCTTTGCAGGTATTCTATTAGTTCTCTGACAATTTTTAAAATCTTTCTCTTTGTCTCTATTGTCTTACACAGTTTCACTACACTAATTTTTTATGTATCTAGCTTGGGATATGTTAGGTTTACTAAATCCATGGATTAGCATCTTTTTTTCCCATCATTTCTAGAAAATTCTCAGCTATTAATACCCCGAATATTGCCTCTCCGCATTCTATCATCTCCTTCTACAATCTGATTAGATGTATGTCAGTTCTTTCAACTCTGGCTTACATGTTTCTTTTTTTTCTTTTTTTTTTTTTTTTTAGAGAGAGTCTCACTTGCCCAGGCTGGAGTGCAATGGGGTGATCTTGGCTCACTGCAATTTCCGTCTCTTGAGTTCAAGTGATTCTCGTGCCTCTACCACCCAAGTAGCTGGGGCTATAGGCATGTGCCACCACACCTGGCTAATTTTTGTATTTTTAGTAGAGATGAGGTTTCGCCATGTTGGCCAGGCTGGTTTCGAACTCCTGACCTCAAGTGATCCACCTGCCTCGGCCTCCCTAAGTGCTGGGATTACAGGCATAAAACACCGTGCCCAGCCGTGGCTTACACATTTCTTAACCTTTTCTATATTACCTTTTTTTTTTGGTCTGTCTGTACTGCATTTTGAGTAATTTATTTAAATCAATCTTCCAATTTACTAGTTTACTCATCAGAATGTCTAATCTGCTGTTTATCTACTGAGTCTTAAATATAAATATTATATACATATTATTCATATTATATAATATTACATATTATATGATTCTTATAAGTTCTGAATTTTTTAAATTTATTTGGTCATCTCTTGTTTCTTGTTCATGTTTTTGGTTCTTTTACTTGTTTGAAAATGTTAAATATACTTACATTATATTCCTATTTCCCAATAAATGAAGTTTTTCAGGTGAACGTTCTGTTGACTGTTATTTCTGCTGATTCTCACCCATAATGTTTTGCTCCCTCTGTGCTCTGATTTATTTTTATTATAATTTCTTGTTCACTAGAACTTTATCTCTGGTAATTTTCAGACACTTGGGTTAAGGGTCCATTTCTCTAGAGAAATTTTTTGCCAGATGCCACGGGCACTACCAACCCAGAACAATTTAAAATAAATTCTCGGCTGGGCCTGGTGGCTCACACCTGTAATCCCAGCACTTTGGGAGGCCGAGGCGGGCAGATCACGAAGTCAGGAGACCAAGACACGGTGAAACCCCATCTCTACTAAAGGTACAAAAAATTAGCCAGGCGTGGTGGTTTGCACCTGTAATCCCAGCTACTCAGGAGACTGAGATGGCAGAATTGCTTGAACCCGGGAGGCTGAGGTTGCAGTGAGCCGAAATCATGCCACTGCACTCCAGCCTGGGTGACAGTCTCAAAAATAAAATAAAATAAATAAAATATATTAAAGTAAATTCTCAGCTTAGGGCTTGAAGGACCACATAGGTGATCTGAATTCAGGCCCAAACCCATATAAAGACCAATTTACGGAATTTACGGTTACAATCCTCAAAGGCAGCACTAGCTTTACTTTTTTTCCCTCCACTCCACTCACAGTCAAGGCCAAACATTTTTTAAAATCTGACATTTTTAGCTGTGGGAAGATTTTAAATAATGATCACTAAGTCCAAATACCTTTAAATATATTACTAAAGCATTATTAAAACAAGACGTTTGTTAGTTATCATGTAAAAAAGGTGGCTATATTTATTACCGGGACACTTAAATGCTTAATAGTCCCAACTAATATTCAATCAACTAATAGGTACTTTGTGAAAGACAATATATTGGGTGCAAACAAGAGCAGTGATATCCCACACCGGGAGTAGTTTATTATCAACTAAGCTGTAGGGCAGAGGCAAATCATGATCCTGTATCTTAGGACCGAAAATAGGGTTCTACTAAATCCTATCAAGTAAAGACCAGTTAGATAGTTTTTAACAGAATTAAAATGAATGATATAAGGATATGGTATTTATGACCTCAGGAAAGAAAACGATAATTAGAAGTACAGTGTTCCCTTCAACTGTTGGTTTCAAACGAGAAGTCACACTTCAGATTTAATATCAGGAGCTACAGGTGATGGGTGCATCAAAATCTCAGAAATCACCACTAAAGAACTTATCCATGTAACCAAAACCCACCTGTACCCCAAAAACTATTGAAAAATAAAAATTAAAAAAAGAAAAAGAAGAGAACAATAAATAAAAGCAAGAAGTTTTCAGTCAGGCCCCGCTGACCCACGACCCACCAACCCACGAACTGGCCCGGCCCTCACGTGCACCATGTCTGGCTCCTCCAGCGTTGCCGCTATGAAGAAAGTGGTTCAACAGCCCCGGCTGGAGGCCAGGCTCAACTGCATAAAAGTTTCCCAGGCAGCTGCAGACTTCAAACAATTCTGTCTGCAGAATGTTCAACATGACCCTCTGCTGACTAGAGTATCTTCAAGTACAAATCCCTTCAGACCCCAGAAAATCTGTTCTTTTTTGTAGTAAAATGAATTTCAAAAGTTTCCCAAACCACTTCTTATGATCCAGTGGATATTCAAAAGAGAGCTAAATTTGAAGCCTGTACAAAAGCTTATCCCTGTAGCACATGTGCTGTAATATACGAACTTCTAGTTTCATCAGTCTTTAACATCTACCTCTCTGAATTTCATGAATTTCTATTTCACAAGGGTAACTGTTTTATCCACACTGGCAGCAGCATACAATAAAACTCAGTATGAAAAAAAAAGTTTTCTTTCCCAGAAAAAAAAATATGTATATGATATATATATCAGGAGCTAGGAGGAAAGTGTTTTCTACTTCTTTCTCTTTTTTTTTTGAGATGGAGTTTTGCTCTTATCGCCCAGGCTGGAGTGCAATGGCACAATCTCAGCTCACCACAACCTCCACCTCCCAAGTTCAAGTGACTCTCCTGCCTCAGCCTCCCGAGTAGCTGGGATTACAGGCATGCACCACCACAACCGGCTAATTTTGTATTTTTAGTAGAGATGGGGTTTCTCCATGTTGGTCAGGCTGGTCTCAAACTCTCTACCTCAGGTGATCTGCCCGCCTTGGCCTCCCAAAGTGCTGGGATTACAGGTGTGAGCCACCGCACCCGGTCAAGAGTTTTCTATTTCTAATCACTGCCTAGACTATCACAACAGATAATCTATGCAATAATGGGTTTCCTCACAGCACTTTTAGAAGCAAAGTTTTTATACTCACTTGTAAAAGTAAAGTTCACAAATACAGCTCACAAAAGCCAGAAGACATCGCAAAAAGTAAAACACAAGAATCTAAAAGAAACCCAGAAAAAGAAAACAGAAGTCACAGATATGAGCTAGAAAAACTCATAAACATGAACCACTCTCATTTATTGTCAATAACACTGTAAATTGGTATAATTCTTTTGAAAAGCAACATGGATCAAGAATTTTCATATCCCTTGACTCAATATCAGTATACCTACTTCTATCACTCCAGCTGGTGGGGGTTGGGAGGTAGAGCTCCATTCATGAAAATGTTAATTGCAGTTTTAGTAAAAACTGTTTCAAAAACTACAAAATATCCAATTATAGGGAAATGATTAAATAAACTAGGCTACATCTAGCTCATGGACAATTATACAGCTATTAAAATTTATGTTTACAAAGATAGTGAAAACATTCTTGCAATATAATGCTCATTCAACAAGCAATTCTTCAACAACCATAATATATCAGGTAGTGATTATGACAAAATATTAAGAGAAAATGTACAATATTATTTATACATCAGTTACAGCTATGGACACTATATGCATGTGGAAAGACTGGAAAGAAATGTAATAAAATGGTAAAAGTAGCTATAGCAACCTGGTAGATTTAGATGAGTATTTTTCCTCCTATCTTCCAAAGTTCTGTTATGTGGCTTTATTAATTTTATAATTGACATCAATTTAAAAAATAAAAATAATAAAATAGGGGTTATATTAAGTAGCTTTATACTACAGAATACCATATGGTTAAGAGCACTGAATTTCTCAGAACTTAAACACTACTTAATATATAGTATAACTGGCCGGGCATGGTGGCTCACACTTGTAATTCCAACACTTTGGGAGGCCGAGGCAGGCGGATCACTTGAGGTCAGGAGTTCGAGACCAGCCTGGCCAACATGGTGAAACCCCATCTCTACTAAAAATACAAAAAAATTAGCCAGGCATGGTGGCGGGCAACTGTAACCCCAGCTACTCGGGAGGCTGAGGCAAGGGAATTACTTGAACCTGGGAGTCGGAGGTTGCAGTGAGCCGAGATCGTGCCACTGCACTCCAGCCTGGCGACAGAGTGAGACTCCATCTCAAAAACAAACAAAAAAAATGGGCCTACTTGTGGGATCTCACTCCTGAGTGTACACTTCAGAGAAATTCACGAACAGGTCCATGAAGAGATAATACAAAGGTGCTTTCATTTGGGGTAGCAAGAGATTGAGAAGGTAGCTATCACTAGATGTGCCAATTGTTACCACCCTGTCTCTCAGAAACAACCATCCTTCTCTACTCAACGTTATGATGCTGGGGCTAAGACTCTCTAAGCTACAATTCCCCTTTGCTGAATGGCTAGGAAAAAGGAGATCAGAAGTAAGAACAAGAGAAGAAGAGAAATCTTGCTTTCCATTTCACTTGCTGTGCACATCAGTGATGTAACAGGATTAGAGAAGAGGAAGAATTCTGTGTTGAACATGTAAAATTTGAAGTGATACTAGATAGCCAAATGGAAATAAAAACCCTCTGCATAGCACATTGTTAGTTTTCTGCTGAGCCCTTCACCCTTTATTATCTTTCCTTTGACAAGTTCAAAAAAAAAAACCAGAAATGAGGCCAGGTGCAGTGGCTCACGCCCGTAATCCCAGCACTTTGGAGGCCAAGGCAGGTGGATCACTTGAGGTCAGGAGTTTGAGACCAGACTGGCCAACATGGTGAAACCCTGTCTCTACTAAAAATACAAAAAAATTAGCCACACGTGGGGGCTCAAGCTTGTAATCCCAGCCACTCAGGAGGCTGAGGCAGGAGAATCACTTGAATCCGGGAAACGGAGGTTGCTGTGAGCCGAGATCACATCACTGCACTCCAGCCTGGGCGACAGAGTGAGACTTCGTCTCAAAAACAAACCAAACAAACAAACAAACAAAAAAATGGAAATGAGATACCGGATAGGGAAGGGAGGGACAGTATTTTGTCACTTTCTGCAGGTGCCACCTTTCTGATCATTCTAAAATGTAAATGCAATCATACCTCTCTTTTGTCTGAAAACCTTGCAGTGGCTTTACATAACAGACTTGGGGGGAAAAGAACAACAGTCTAATACCTTAATAGATCCTACCAGGTCTTGTAGAAATCTCAAACTGAATGAAAACAGTCCATCGATAGATTCCAACACCAAGATGACAGAGGTGTCAGAATTATCTAACAAAATTTAAAGCGGGCTTTGTAAAAATATTTCAGTGAATAACTAAGAATATGCTTGAAGCAAATGAAAAAGGAGAAGGTCTCAGTAAAAAAAATTAGAAGATATAAAGAAAAACTGAATGGAAATTTTAAAACTGAAAAAGTACATAGAACAAACTAAAAATGCAATGGACGGGGTCAGCATTGGAAGAGGGGACATAGGAAAGAATCAGTGAAGTGGAAGACAGAAGAAAAGAAATTACTCAATGTGAACAACAGTTCATTCAGTTTGAGATCTTCCTGATTCTCGGTATGACAGGTCATTTTCAGTTGAAAGCTGGACATTTTAGGTATTGCATTATGAGATTCTGGATTATTCATGGGCTCAGCATGCTTTCTTTGCACTGTTGTGCTCCTACGATCTTATTTAAGCTTTCTGTTTTAGCTGGCTTCTTTTGATACTACTTCCCACTAACCCAGCAGGGAAAGAGCGTTAGTGGGAAGTCTCTACCTTGTTACCGCCAAGTGGAGGTAGAACTCGAGGTTCCCTACCAGGCCTCCACTGACCATTGAGAGAAAATAAATTGAAAACAGAGTCTCAAAGACCTGGGGGACTAATAACAAAAGATCTGACATTCACATCATCAAAGTTCCAGAAGAAGAGGAAACCGGACAGGGCTGAAAAAGTATTCAAAAAAATAAAAACTAAAACCTTTCCAAATTTGGCAAAAGGAATAAGCCCAAAGATTCAAGAAGCTGAATAAACTCCAAACAGGACAAACCCAAAGAAATCCACACCAAGACGCATCATAGTCAAATTTCTGAAAACTAATCAGGTTAGGTCCCAGTTAACATCTAATTATTTCTCAGCACTCTACTTAAATTAGACCCTCCTAATATGCTATTCCACCGTACATTGTACTTTTCCTCCATAAGACCCACCATATTTAGAATGATTTGTTCAATGTTCATCTTCTCCACTAAACCACAAGTTTCATTAAGTCAGGGGCTTGGTTACTGTTATAGCCACAGCACTTAATACAGTGTCTACCAAATAAAAGTTGTTTCATTAATGCTTGTTGAATGGTGAATTGGATAAATGATTCTTCTTCAAAAAAAGTTCCCTTTTAACTTCCAATTCATTTTGTCCTTTTCTCAAAACTATACCAGAGACTCACCTCTTGATCAATTGTGATTGCTTCCAGGTTGGTCTGCCCTTACCTTATTAGTTTGTAGAATTCTTGCATGAAATGCAGCTGGCCAGGCATGAAGCAACAGGTAAGCATAGGAGCGAATGGCATATGCTGGGGAATATTCCCAAGTCTGAAACCCTTCCCCATAGATGAGGTAGTGTGTCTAAAAATACAAAACAGATAGATTCAGGGTTATACTGGCCAAAAATCTCTGTTAAGCAGATGCAAGTGAAGTTTCTGAGCAGAAATATTAAAAACAAAGGCAAGCCAGGCACGATGCCTCACACCTATAATCCCAGCACTTTGGGAGGGCAAGGCAAGCAGGCTGCTTGAGCCCAGTAGTTAAAGACAAGCCTGGGCAACATAGCAAAACCCCATCTCTACCAAAAAAAAAAAAAAGTAGCATGGTATGGTGGTGCATGCCTGCAGTCCCAGCTACTTGGAAGGCTAAGCCAGGAGAATCACTTGAGCCTGGGAATTAGAGGTTGCAGTGAACCTAGATCATGCCACTGCACTCCAGCCTGGGCGATCTGCAATTGATGGATAAAAAAGGAATCAAAATGATACAATATTTAAAATATTAAGACATTATAAATTTTACAAGATTGCTGTTTGGTCAACACTGAAAGCTTAAATTTTACCTTCTACTTATTTTTTCTCAATACTTGTTAGCCAAAACAGAAAACCTCTAAATTTTATATTCTCCTTAAACAACCTACACTTAACAGTCTTCCTTCATTTTTTTAATTCAAAATGTGATCAGAAAATTTTACCTTTGAATTTTCTATAATAAAAGTCAACAGGTAATGTGTAAATCAATAAATAGCAATAAAAGTATACTATTTAGTAACACTATTTTGGTAACCGTCAGAAGAAATAACTTAAAAAGTGAAAAAAAGTGGTTGCTTCTGGAAAGTAGGATTTGGACACGAGAAGTGGAATAGAAAGCTACTGTTTTTCCTTTAGGTATTTTAGTAGTTGTTAACTTTAAAAACTATCTCCAGGTATTATTTTCATTTAAAAAAAAAAAGAAAATTACAAATTACACCTTTGTGTAAACCAGCTAAATTCCCTACAGCCTTCAATAGCAGGTAAATCATCCGCTTAGAATACAAAAGTGAAAACATGTTACTGGCCAGGCCCAGTGGCTCACGCCTGTAATCCCAACACTTTGGAAGGCGAGGTGAGAGGATCGCTTGAGCCTAGGAGTTAAATACCAGCCTCGGTGACATAATGAGCCCCCATCTCTGTTTTTTGAGACAGAGTCTCGCTCTGTTGCCCAGGCTGGAGTGCAATGGTGTGATCTCGGCTCACTGTAAACTCTGCCTCCCATGATCAAGCATTTCTCCTGCCTCAGCCTCCCGAGTAGCTGGGACTACAGGCGCCCACCACCATGCCCGGCTAATTTTTGTATTTTTAGTAGAGTCGGGGTTTCACCATGTTGGTCAGGCTGGTCTCGAATTTCTGACCTCAGGCAATTCACCGGCCTCAGCCTCCCAAAGTGCTGGGATTATAGGCCTGTTTTTTTGTTTTTTTTTTTAAGAAAATACAGTTATTTTACTAGGAGTCACACTTGTATATTATTTGTCTCTCGATTGGTAATAACACCTATGCTGCAAAATCAAGAACAAAAAGAGAAAACTAAAGAAATCACCTACTGGCTCCCAGTAGTTGAATGTTTCATCACAGTCAGAGATGTTGCTCAGGAGAGCAGCACATAACCTTGCTGAAAGCAGACACTTGAAAGCAGTAGATCCTTCAGGTGCCCAGACTTGTCCTGCTTTGTTCCCAGATAACCTGTTCAAAAGCAAAAAAAAAAAAAAAAAAAAAAGCATGTCAGGAAGGACCTGCTAATCAGAAGACCTAAATCTAGATAGAAAGGACAAAAAGGGCAAGGGACATCAAAGCACTTAAGTTATTCACCTAAAAAGGTGAATAGCTAGTTGTTTTTTCTCAGTAAAATTAATAAAAATTCAGATTTTTAAGAAAAAATTTTTATGAGATAGGGTCTTGCTATGTTGCCCAGGCTGGACTTAAACTCCTAGGCTCAAGTAATCCTCCTGCCTCAGCCTTCTGAAGAATTGACTTTAATCACTCAATCACTCCTTCCACTTCCTGCTTTTAAGGCATAAATTAACTCATACACTTTAGCTCAATGCATTTATGTCACTCCATTTATCCCAAGCCAACTAATCACTCACTTGAAGGCCACAAAGCTGTCATTCTCCTTTTCTTTCTTTTCTTAACAAGGTCATTGCTTTTGATGGCTTTATTCATTCCCCCTTATGTTCAGATAGAAGCCTAGGTGCAAGGTACATAGCCTACTCCAATTCCATATGTTGACAGCTCCCTTAATGCAGTTCTAACCTGCAGCCTCCAGGGTTTGGGAAGAGGTGATGGCGGGTTGGATGGGCCCAGTAAAGGGTCGGGACTTGAGGGAGAATAAAAGGAGCTGTGAGGAACAGCCGTAAAAGGTATACTCTTTGATCCTGTCTACATCTCCCACAGAGGCTGTGCCCACTCTAGGCCTGGCCCAGGAGCATCACAGATCCGCACTCCAAGGCAGTTTTACAGCGCAGTGGAGGGATCTAAGGTGGGCGAAGACTGAATGCTGACCCGCCCAGGAAGACCAATAGGACCTAGCTGAAGAGGGAGCTCGGGCCTCCCGCGGTGAGGCCAGGCCGGACTGAGCCCCGCGCGCCACAGCTAAGACCCTCCCGGGGGCAGCCCCGAACCGCCCCGCCGGCCGGCCACGCCCCTGCCGCGCCGCACACGTACTCGGTCCGGTGCTCCGCGCCGCCCGCCTCTCGGCTGCCCAGCAGCTCCCGCAGCTTGTCCGCAGCCGGGGCCGTATCCCCACTGCTGGCCCCGCTGCCCTTCAGGCGCTGCCGAGCCCCTCGACTAGCCATGGCAAGCCTGGGGAAAAAAGAATTCGGCACCCTATGAAGTCGGTGAGCGCGCAGACATAGCTTTGGCTGGCAAACGGTGTCCGCCGAGGGACAAAAGACCTTGACATGCGCAGAAAATACTAAATTATAGCGTTACTGGGCCAATTGGGGCAGATCCCCGAGTAGCGAAGAAATAGAACCTGAGGAGTTTCTTCATCAGGGCTGTCCCATCCACCTGCTTCTAACTCTAGCCATTCCTACCTCCCTCCAACCCTCTTTTCCGTCACTTTTCAGCATTCTCCATTCTCAAAAAAAAAAAAAACCACCTCTCAGCTCCCCTATTTAAATGAAAAAACAAATAGAAAGTGATTAAAGAAATCTACATAGTGAGATGTGAAGTATTCAGTTAAATATCACAGCACAGCTATCTACTAAAAGGTCCTTAAAATGTCATTTTTAACACCTTGCCTTCTCTGTATTTTGGTAAGAGTGACAGAGGCAGCCTGTAGCTAAAAACTGCTTCAGAGAGACAAACCGGTAATGGCAGAGTGTAGACTGATGAAATTCTGTGCGGCAAATTGAACCAGATGTCCATCACTGTCATCGCTACTACGGCATTGTGGTAGGCATTTTACATATTTTATCCTTTTTAAACTTAATACAACAACCTTGTTTTATTTACCAGGAAACTAAATAAACTTGGAGCTAGTAAATGGTGGAGCTATGTTCCAGCCCAGGACTATCTTACCGGAAAGCCCATGCTCTCTCTTCCCACCAGATCTGGTGAAAGGTCTTCATTTCCTACAATCATTTTTATACTGGCACATTGATGATATCATACCTGTGACCCCCATATCTTGGGGGTCATTCATCTAATCCTGACACTCTATCCACTCCTCTAATCACAGAGCTATATCCTACCCTGTCGAGCTCCATGCCAGTAACTGGGACAAGTTTATAGAGGGAATGCTAATCTCTTGACAAGGTCTCAGAAGGTTGTGATTTCCTACTAAAAATTCCCAAGTATTGAAAATGGAGATTGATCATATTGCTCAATTCTCACATGCAGTCATTAGTTACCAAGTTCAAATATCCAGCTTAACTCTTTTTTTCTTTTCTTTTTCTTCTTTTTTTTTTTTTTTTTTTGAGACAAGAGTCTTCCTTGCTCACCCAGGCTAGAGTGCAGTGGCACAATCTCAGCTTACTGCAACCTCTGCCCCCTAGGTTCAAGAGATTGTCTTGCCTCAGCCTCCCTAGTAGCAGGGACTATTGCCACCACACTGGCTAATTTTTGTATTTTTAGTAGAGATTAGGTTTCGTCATGTTGGCCAGGCTGGTCTGGAACTCCTGGCCTCAAGTGATCCACTTACCTCAGCCTCCCAGAATGCTGGGATTATAGGCGTGAGCCACTACACCCAGCCTAACTGTATCTCATATACCCATCTCCTCCTTTTCATTTAAGTCTAATGCAGGTCCCTCCCTGTCTACGTAGGACTAACACAATAGCATCTCCACAGGGATCACTCATCTCAAATTCATCCTGTGCAACATTAACCAGTTAATTTTCCAAAGCACTACTCTGGGGCACTTCCTTAATAAAAAACCACCGGATGTTTTCCTATTGCCTACCAAATAAAGTACAAACTCCTTATTCTAGCATTTGGTATTCATGAACTCCAGCCCCAACTTACCGTTCCAATCTTATCTCCCACTACTTTCCTATGCACACTTTACATCCCAGCTAACTAGCCTAGAAAGTGCCCCCAAATGCTCCCTTATCTATATCTCTGTTTATGGATGTCCTCTGCCCAAAATGCACACCCTACTTGCCTAACAATTCTCCCTTCACATTCCTGCCCTTGTTTTAAGATCCAGCTTTCAAACGCTACCTTATACATGTACCAAGCACTACTGAGGATAGAAGAAAGGGATAAATCACATTACCTGCCATCAGTTAGCAAAATAGTCAATGTGGAGAGCTCAGCAATAGATGTGTCTGTAAGAGATCCCTTGATTCTTTATCCCACTCCCCAAACTTACTCGTATGGCAGTGTTTCCATCCAAGTTAATGACACTTCCAATCTTCTAGGTATTCAGGTCAAAAACCTAGTAGTCTTGCTTAATTCCTTTATTTCTCTAACCCCACACCTCTCTCACCCACACACAAATGTTTAATTCATCAGCAAGTCCTTCCAAATATTATCCAACCCAACATTTTACCACCTTGGTCCAGGTCATTATCTCATTTGCATTACTGCAATAACCTCCTAATTTGTCTCTGTACTTCCATTCTTGCCTTCCCAAGTGCTTTTCTCTAAGAATAAATAAGACAGTCATGTCTCTCACAGAATATAATCCCAAATGTGGAGCCTAACTATTAACAGGAGCATACATTACTTCACATTAGAGTACCGCATTCTGCAGAATCCTAAGCTAATTTTCCAGTGTCCCTTAGAGATACTTACAACAGAAGGCCCCAAAATCCAGAGAGGCAAAGTTTAATCACAGTTGAACGATTACTGTTAAAGACTAGGGAAGAAGTAACAGAAAGTAGCAGAAAGAACATGGGCTTTAGAGTCAAACAGACCCAAATGTTAACCCTAAATCTGACACTTTATTCGTTCCATGACTTTCAACCACAGAATTAAAATGGTGATGATTATAATAATAATACCAAAATTAATGTGGAATATTTGCAATTTCCCAAGCTAATAAATGTTAGTCTGATGCCAAAAACTACTCTCATAAGGTGATTTAATGAAATGATACAACAAAGTTAAGGGAAGAGTAATTGACAGTGTGGAAAACATATTTATATTTGATGAGACACTTAAGTTCTACTGCCTGTTCAACAATAGAGCATCTAAAGTACAAGATGCTGTTTTGTTTATTGTTTTAGTCACTTCTCGGGACCAAAATATTACACAACTCCAAATGTCACCAATCACATTATAATCTATAAGTTTCAGTAATAGAGTCAAGGTATCTTTAAGATCAACTAACAGTAGGCCGGGCGCGGTGGCTCACATCTATAATCCCAGCACTTTGGGAGGCCGACGCAGGCAGATCACGAGGCCGGGAGATTGAGACCATCCTGGCTAACACGGTGAAACCTCGTCTCTACTAAAAATACAAAAAAAAAAATTAGCCAGGCGTGGTGGCAGGTGCCTGTAGTCCCAGCTACTCGGGAGGCTGAGGCAGGAGAATGGCATGAACCTGGGAGGTGGAGCTTATAGTGAGCTGATATCATGCCACTGCCACTGCACTCCCGCCTGGGCGGCAGAGCAAGACTCCGTCTCAAAAAAAAAAAAAAAAAAAGATCAACGAACAGTAGCTATGGTCACAAAGTAAAAGATTTTACAAAAACAAAAATCCAGAAAGGACTACTGGTTGCAAGTTGGTAATTTTCCTCCACATCCCCCGCAATGAAGGATCACACTGCAGAAAAGGATTTACCAAACTACCGAGGTATAACATATAGGTGTTGTTGAATCTCCTTCCTAAACTGGGACTGCATTGATGCTACTTGCTGCTGGGTGAGGGCCTTGTCACAGGTCTGGTAGGTCAATCTATAGCAGAGACTGACCTGTTGAGTCTTTGGATGCTGGAAACGGCTAAGAAACTGTATGGATATAATAGTGTCCTGAGACACTGCTCGGGCCACAGTGTGAAACTCTAGTTCATCAAATCCTTTCTTCTGATCTATCCAAAAACTAACATCATGCACATAACATGGAGGATACAGAGAATGACTTTTAAAGGGTTCTATTTTGCCAGGGACAAAATTTTTCAGGAAACGGTTATCAAACGTCCACAACATTCTCCAGTCAGAGATACACCAGACAAGCATGGCTAATAAGTCCAAGTTCATAGACACAAACACAAAACACTGGTCTTTATGTATAACACTAGTGGCAGATGTGATAACAGACCCAATAATTAGATCCTCAGTACAATCTGGGCTAAAATTATGAGTCTTCACACGAATCATATAATCCTTTCCATTTGACTGAAGGACAAATTTGACTAAACTGCTCAGCTTAGAGCTCTCCGGCAATGTCTGGGTCAGCAGGCTATCTAGAATGCCCTTCAGATGATCCAGCAGTGATTGAAGACAGCCATCCTTCAGATTTTGATTAACCCCAAGGATAAATAAAGTTTCATGAAATGCTGGCATTGTGAAAGGCAAAATGTGGCACTTCTGAAAGACAGGTCCACTGAGGATGTGCAGAGAACCTGAGAGGAAGTCTGGTACTTCGATGACATCCTGAACATGCACTAGGAGAGAAGGTCTAAGGCAGATCTTGGCCTGGCCACAGGTTCCTTCACAAGCTTCTTCTTTACCATCTCTTCCAGGATTCTTGAGAAGGCTAAGTTCTGAAAATGACACTAGAAAGTCTTCCACATCTTGTGATGTCCCACCAGTCAGGGACTCAGAATTTGAGTTATCTTCATGGAGACTAATCCAAAAAGCAGCTGACAGAAAGTCACAATTCCAGAAAGGAAGAACACTGGTACCTTCCTGTGGCAGCAAAGGGTAGGAACACTTCAGCCTTTTTAGCGGGAAAACTTTGCCTAATTCAGCAATGAGTTTCTCATTTATGGTTTTGATAGGATGACATGAAGGTGCTTCCAGGAAACCCCTGTTTAAACACACACAAAAATAACTTTTCTAACTTAAGATAGTAAATAATTATAATGTAGCTAGAATTAAAAATACAAATAGCTGGACAGAAAAGAATTATCTTTAAATTGATCTTGAAAGGAAACAAAGAAATCATCTACCATAAGGAGAAACAGACGTGTATTTCAGAACTCTGACAGCCACCATCCCTACAATATATCAGAAAATGTGACCATTTATAATTCTAGAGATGCTTAAGGAGGCCAGGCTGACAAATAAACATAGCACCAACATCACTAACAATTTATGCACCATCCATTCAATATATGGTTGCCATCAAGACAATCAGGATACAACTGGAGATGGAAGTGATTTCCAGCAAAATAACTGGTTACCTGTTCAACTTTCCTACAAGTGCTTCTGGTTCTGGAAAGGAAAACCACTGGTTACCCAGTTTGATCCTGAAGATTCTGGGTTGAGAACCTTCAAAAGGTAAGCTCCTGGTGAAGATATGGTTCAAAGCACCTTCTACATGAAAGGACTTATCTTGACTCCTGGCAAAATAGACACCAATATGAAGTCTGTCATTATTAAAATAAGCAAGTATTTTTAGAGACCGAATCAATTAATTGGCAGGGCCTATTGAGTCTGTCTATGAGATTTTGTTATCATTAGTGAGAGAGATGAAAACGCAGAAGGCTTAAACCTATGCTATTACCTACCTATATCCAGTGCACTTGTACCCTGCCACAGCCTTACAGCTGAATGGATACACGTCGCTTAAAATGAGCCCCCCCAGGGCTGCCATGGCAACCACTTGCCAACTGTTGTGCCATTCTCTCTGGGGCTTATCCGCAGGAGTTCCACCTTGTCCTCTACATAATGCCACGTGGACTTCTCCTTCCTCTGCAAGAACGTCTGCACAGCTAATAGGGAGAAAAGAAACACTAACTAATTATCATAAACAAGCAGAAATTACCACAGGAGTTGGCAACATACACATGGTTTGCCTGTGAAATAATTAAAATCCAATCATACCTATGTGCAAAAATCTATTAGACCTCAAAAAATGCAAAGAAAGTAGCTGGAAGTAAATAGAAGCATAAATTAAATGTTCAACCCACTCACTGATAAGATTGGCTGACCAGGGTCTGCTTTGCATTTGTGTCATTCATGCATATGTCACAGAAAGATCAATATCTGCACAGTTCCTATATATGATTCATTGCTTAGGCTGTTTCTTCCCATTTAGAAAGTTCTTTTCACTGCCCTCCTGAAATTCAAATACTAGTTTAAAATACCACCTCTGTCAAAACTTTATTGACAGCTATGCCCCATCGGACACCTCCAATAGTATCATGTCTTGTGGTATAATCATGTAAAGCACTGTTTTCAGTTCACAATAATTTTATGAGGCTGTTAGTTACTTTTTTTTTTTTTTTTTTTTTTGAGATGGAGTCTTGCTCTGTCGCCCAGGCTGGAGTGCAGTGGCACGATCTCAGCTCACTGCAACCTCCACCTCCCAAGTTCAAGCGATTCTCCTGCCTCAGCCTCCCAAGTACCTGGGACTACAGGCACGTGCCAGCACGGCCAGCTAATTTTTATATTTTTAGTAGAGGCGGGGTTTTGCCACTTTGGCCAGGCTGGTCTCAAACTCCTGACCTCAGGTGATCTGCTCACCTCGGCCTCCCAAACTGCTGGGATTACAGGCATGAGCCACCACGCCTGGCCCAGTTAGTTACTATTAATATCCCTAGTTTACAGTTGAGGAAACGGAAGCATGTAAAGATTAAGTAAGCTTGCTTAAAATAACAACTGTTGGCCGGGCGTGGTGGCTCATGCCTGTAATCCCAGCACTTTAGGAGGCCAAGGCAGGCGGATCACAAGGTCAGGAGATCGACACCATCCTGGCTAACACGGTGAAACCCCATCTCTACTAAAAATACAAAAAATTAGCTGGGCGTGGTGGCGGGCGCCTGTACTCCCAGCTACTTGGGAGGCTGAGGCAGGAGAATGGCGTGAACCCAGTAGGCGGAGCTTGCAGTGAGCCGAGATTGCACCACACCACTGCACTCCAGCCTGGGCGACAGGGCGAGACTCTGTCTCAAAAAATAAAAATAAATAAAAATAAAAAAATAACAACTGTTAAGTGGTGGGCTGGGATTTGAATCCAGGCAGTCTGGCTTCTAAGTGCACGTTCTTAGCCATTAGACTATATGGCTCTCATTATTTTGCACTGTCAAAAATAAATGATCCTCTTTTACACACCCAAGAGTACATTATTTGTACTTTCATTTAGCATTTAGGGTTTATATATCTGTCTTTCCAACTAAACTTGGGGTTCCTTTGGGGCTTTATAGTCTCTTCTAAACATATCATAGTAGCTTGCACGTGTGCCTTATGTTTGGGTACAGTAACTATGTTATGGACATCTTAAACATTTTCCTTGTGAGGGCGCTCCTTTCCTCACCTTTGGAAAAATTTGGCAAGCAGTTCCCTGTTCTTAGCTACGCCAGCTTTGCGTCCACAATGCGGGAAGATGAAATAAATTTGATCAAATTCTCTCTCGTGCAGTTCAAAGACATCTGCCAGCTGGGTGCAGTCCACACCGAAACGTACATCGATACCTGGCAAAGATAGTTTGGGGGCGCAAAATATAGACAGGAGGATGCCTCAAGACATGGAACAGAAAAACTCTTCCTAACTTAAACCGTGCAGACCAGCCCAAGTCTGGGCACAAAGCCGGCTTTATGTGAATATCCGTGGGACGATCAAGAACAATCTCCACGTGGGTTACATCCCCACGCCCCCACCCTTTCCACTTTGGGACGCGCCGGCCGCTGGGCGGGGTTTCGCAGAGGGGCGGGCTCGCTACCTCGCTCGCGCAGGCACTGCAGATTCTCCCAGGCCAGTGGATCCCGAGCCAACTCGGCCGGGCGCTGGAGGCAGGTGGCGGTAAGTTGAGTGCTCTGATCCAGGGTTTCGCTCAGAGCGGCGGCGAAGGAGAAATTCCCCTCCCCAACCAACAGGAGGCGCCGAGGGGCCATGGCCTCCACGGACTCCCGGCTCGCGTTCTCTGTGGCGCTCGTTTTACGTCACTTCCTTCACGGATCTCTCTCCGCCCCGTCTTCTCCCGTCACTAGTTGATGACGCACCCATGGCGCCTGGTTGTCTAGACGAGCCGGTGTACCGACTCCCCGGTGGATGATAACTATGAGTGCAAAAGCAAGACGCGCACTTTCCTGTCACCTCGCCCTTTCACCCCCTCGGGAAGATCAAAGTGTCTTTAGCCCAAGCATGGCCTTGAGCGACTTCATCACACCTGCATGAGGTCACAAGCAGTCACTAGCGCAGGGGGGTGAGGCGAGTTCTGGGTGAAAGAAACGGGGCGGGGCTGAGGCCAAGGAAGAGGTTGGACTGTGTCTCGCATGCTCCTGACGCAGAAGGTTTTGAACCTTTTTTCACCTCGTCTGAAATGGCTGCCTCCCAGTGTCTCTGCTGCTCAAAATTTCTCTTCCAGGTGCTTAAATCTCCTATCTTCTATTCGTTCAAGAAAGAGTATTGAGTGTCTATTGCGTGCCAGGCCACTGTGAGGGTGGTTACGATATGTGGATGAACAAAATGTGGCCTATGATTTCAATGAGCCTGCAGTCTGGTGGGGAATGCACAGAGCAAAACAGGCAACTCTGATATGGCAGGGTGTGTGCTCTGGGAGCACACAGAAGAACGTTACCAAGTTTGGGGGCGAAGAGGGTCAGAGAGTCCTTGGATGAAGTAAACCCGAGTTGAAAGCTAACAGGGTAAAAGTGCATCTTAACTGAGTCAAGAGGCGTGAAGAGGCAGAAGGAACAATATATGCAAAAGCTTGATGGAGAAACAGAATAGTTGAGTTTGGCTGAAACACAATTGGAGGGAGAGTAACAGATGAGACTGAAGAGTTAGGCAGGGGCCAGGTCATAGGGAGCGTTGTAAGCCTTTAAAAAAAATC
Source organism: Homo sapiens (assembly GCF_000001405.40). Classification (NCBI taxonomy): domain Eukaryota; kingdom Metazoa; phylum Chordata; class Mammalia; order Primates; family Hominidae; genus Homo; species Homo sapiens. Next base: position 111,880,074 of record NC_000011.10, read on the forward strand.
AACTTTTATTTTACAAATGGGGGTACAGGTACAGGTTTGTTACGTGGATATATTGCACCCAGGTAGGTTGCAGGTTTGCTACATGGGTATATTGCACCTAATAGTTTTTCAACCCACACCACCCGCCCTCCCCACTCTAGTTAGTAGCCTGGAGTGTGTGTTGTTTCCATGTTTAGGTCCATGTTTGCTCAATGTTTAGCTCCCACTTATAAGTGAGAATGTCAGAGGTATTTATACCAGAGCAACTCCGTCTTGAATAGGGGCTAGGTAAATAAGGCTAAGACCTGGGCTGCATTCCCAGTAAGTTAAGGCATTCTTAGTCACAGGATGAGATAGCTCAGCACAAGATACAGGTCATAAAGACCTTGCTGATAAAACGGGTTGCAGTAAAGAAGCCAGCTAAAATCCACCAAAACCGAGATGGTGATGAGAGTGATCTCTGGTCATCCTCATTGCTACACTCCCACCAGCGCCATGACAGTTTACAAATGCCATGGCAAAGTCAGGAAGTTACCGTATATGGTCTAAAAAGTGGAGGTATGAATTAATCCACCCCTTGTTTAGTATATAATCAACAACCATAAAAATGGGCAACCAGCTGCCCTCAGGGTTGCTCTGCATATGGAGTAGCCATTCTTTATTCCTTTACTTTCTTAATAAACTTCCTTATGCTTTATAGACTCACCTTGAATTATTTCTTGTGTCTCTTGGGGTCTGGATCAGGACCCCTTCCGGTAACAAGAACATGCTGTATTTGGTTCTCTGTTCTGTTGTAAGCCATTTTAACAGACTGAATCTTACTCTGAAAACGGTGGAAAGCCACTGAAAGATTTTAAATAAGAAGATGATACAATTATACTTTCACTTTGAAAAATTCTCCTTTCCTGTGGAGAAAGGTTTGGAGAGGAACAAGGCTGATGGCATGGCAGGATAAAACAAGAGGCAACTGCAATAATGGAGACAAAGCTGACAGTGATTTGAATTGAAATTTGGCAATGGGAATGGAGGGTGGCAGTCTGATTCAAAAATCAACAAGACTTAGTGACTGGATGAAAATTAAAGACAAGTCAGAGTCAAAGATAAGCCCCAGGCTTCTGGCTTGGACAACTGAGTGGATGGTGATGTCTGTCATTCCAGCCCTAGAGACAGTTACACCTAGATCTCCAGTATGAGTACCAGGCCCATTGGACTTTGTGGCACCAGCTACTCTGGTCATCATGTTGTTTGGTAACATCAGTGCATGCATCTGTCTTCACAAAGGCAGATGGTATGAGGGTAGTTACCTGGGATGTCATCCTTCAATGCTGCATTATTGGCTTTGTTTCTGCCTGTGGAAAGGCAAGTGGGTGGTGACTCCCAAATCATGGCCACTTGCCCATGGTAATCTGGGTGATTCTTTCTTTGCTTGGAGAACTGGGAAAGCCAGGTTTGTTGACATCTTTAAAGAACATGGAACAGCCAAGTAAGGATTTCTGTGACTCTCATAAGAAATCTTCAAAGAGCTCAACCTACTCAGCATCAAGTTACTCTTCTTCAGGAAAGGTATCATCTTCCTAAGTCAGGGGGCCAGACTCACATTTTGGGGAAAAAGAAAGATTGAGCTTTTATCTTACCAAAAAAAATGAAATCAGACATTGATCATCTGGTATATGCAATCCAGATTGATTGGGAGAACAGGCAGAAGGACAGGGTACAATAATGAATAAAACAGATCCTGTCCTTAAGGGGCATACAGCTCTGTATAGGAGATATAATGCAGACTTAAAGAACTCTAATGTATGGTAAAAAGTTATAAATACAGGGAAAGATAAAGTTTTATGTGAGTTGAAAGAGAAGCTAACTTCAGGGAAGGCATCATTTGAGCTAGAAGGAAGGAAATGATCATTTATTACTCATTTATTGTGTTATCTAGTTACTCAACTCTCACTTCTTTTTGTTCTCTTTGACTGTAGCAGTGCTTTTAGTCCCTCAATGCCTACATCTCAAAATTACCTTAAAAATTTAGCTAATTCTCCATATTGTATTGGGAATACTGAAGTTTTTCCTGTCTCTTCACGGGGCCTGGGGAGCGGGGGTGTGGATTTAATCCATGTAGTCACCCACTGTTGCTGATTGAAAGAATGGATCAAAGGGTCCCAGGACTTAGAGAAGAAGAAACAGAACCATAACATAGCCTGGATCATTAGTACGGTGTGCTTGTGTTATACCTGGCTATGTAAAACAAGGGCAGGAAAAGATGCTTTTTCTCTTCTCTGGTTTATGCAATAAGCTTTTCTATTCTTGTCTTTTCCCAGAGACAGAACCTCGCCTGTTTCCTCACAAACCCACACTGTGGCAGCCTTGTTAATGCAGATGGCCATGGTGAAGTGTGGACAGATTGGAATAATATGTCCAAGTTTTTCCAGTATGGATGGCGATGCACCACTAATGAGAATACCTATTCAAACCGTACCCTGATGGGCAACTGGAACCAGGAAAGATATGACCTGAGGAATATCGTGCAGCCCAAACCCTTGCCTTCCCAGGTAATCTAACTTTGTCTTTTTTGTTTGTTTGTTTCCTTCTGTTGGCAAAAGAAATGTAGTGGCCATTTGAAATGCAGGGATGTAATAACTTCTGGTGCAGTGATCTCTCAGTTTTCAGTGAAGTGGTTGGGGCAGAGGAACAGTCCGCAGCTGAACCACCTATGCTACTTTACTGTCAAGTTGAATATTTTATTATCTGTAAGGTTTCAAAAGGAAGGGCAGTCCTCTTTTTCTCTTACTTCTGTTTGGACTTTATCTCTTAGTCTACAGAAATTTATAATGTCTTCTGACTTAGACTAGCTTTTCCCCTGGTCCTTGCCTATCTAGACTTGTCATTTATCTGAGTCTTGCACTTAAATCGCTCCTAAACAAACAAACGTACAAAACATGTGAAAGTTAGAAGGATATAGACTAACACCATAGAACTCAGTCCATCTAAAATATGACAGTCCGTGAGAATTCATGTCATATTGATCTTTATTTCCTGATGTTAGCTGTAGACTTCCAGATTCTTAATCTGTTAATTTTTCTTTCCAGTTTGGACACTACTTTGAAACAACATATGATACAAGCTACAACAACAAAATGCCACTTTCAACACATAGTACGTGGACTGTTTTTTCAAATTCTTACATTTTCAGAACCTAACTCAGTGACCGGCACATAGAAGGAACTCAAATAAAAGTAAACTGAATAGGTGAATAAGTGAGGCTGGGCGCAGTGGCTCACACCTGTAACCCCAGCACTTTGTGAGGCTGAGGCAGGCAGATCACTTGAGGTCAGGAGTTTGAGACCAGCCTGGCCAGCGTGGTGAAACCCCATCTCTACTAAAAAAAATACAAAAATTAGCTGGGCTTGGTGGCGCATGCCTGTAGTCCCAGCTACTCAGGAGGCTGAGGCAGGAGAATCACCTGAACCCGAGAGGTGGAGGTTTCAGTGAGCAGAAATCAAGCCACTGCACTCCTGCCTGGGTGACAGAGTGAGACTCTATCTCAAAAAAAAAAAAGAAAAAAAAGGTGAATAACTACATGAATGAGTAAACAGGATTTTTTCTTCAATTTTAACAGGACTTACTGTCTATTCCCTAGAAATAAGAGCAAGATCAGTTACTAAAACTCCTTAGTGTTGACTGTTTTCATTTGTCTTTCCTTCCTTTTTTTTTCTTCCCTCAGGATTTAAGCGAGAGCCTCACTGGTTCCCAGGACATCAACCTGAACTGGATCCTCCCCGATACAAATGCACAGAAAAGTCAACTTACATGAATAGCTATTCAAAGCCTTAAATTGGGCATCACTCAGGATGTGTATAAGATCTTAATATTGACTAGTTTCACATCCAGGTTTCTAAGAAATGATAAGATACTTCACTTTTCCAGAGTGAAATGTAGGAGGGAGCACATTCTAAGTACAGCTAAAAATTTAGCTCACTGTAACACAGTTTCACTCTCTGAATAAATAAAGCAAAAAACACAGTAAATATTCTTTATCCCTTTTTTTGTTGTTGTTTTAACCAAGATTTAAATGTCAAATTTAATACAGCAACTCAGTTCTACATTTGGGGTGTTGTAGAAGGGCCTTAAAAAGAATTATTTTAGGCCAGGCACGGTGGCTCATGCCTGTAATCCCAGCACTTTGGGAGGCCGAGGCAGGTGGATCACGTGAGGTCAGGAGTTCGAGACCAGCCTGACCAACATGGTGAAACACTGTCTCTACTAAAAACACAAAAATTAGCTGAGCATGGTGGCTCACGCCTGTAATCCCAGCTACTCAGGAGGCTGAGGCAGGGGAATCGCTTGAACCTGAGAAGTGGAGGTTGTGGTGAGCTGAGATCATGCCACTGCACTTTAGCCTGGGTGACAGAGCGAGACTCTGTCTCAAAAAAAAAAAAAAAAAAAGAATTATTTCTCTGAAGTCTACAACCACTGTGGTCTTCCCTTCCTTCTGTCGTAGCAAGACCTCAGAATCTAGCATAACTTAGGCTAGGTTTGGCTAGATGCTTTCTGGGTATAAGCCAGAGTCGTATAGTGCAACTTTGCTGTGACCTTAGTGAACATCCCCTCTTGAGGACTACAAAAACAAACGTAACTTTTTAAAATTATTATGGAGAATTTTACGTAAAACAAAAGTAGACAGGCTAGTCTAATGAACTCCCATGTATCATTACCCAGCATCAACTATTTATGACTAATCTTACCTACTTCTACTTTGTCTTATTGAATTAATTTTGGAGCAGATCTTAGAAATAGAATTTAATCTATAAAAATCTTGGTGGGCTGGGTGCGGTGGCTCATGCCTGTAATCCCAGCACTTTGGGAGGCTGAGGTGGGTGGATCACCTGAGGTCAGGAGTCCAAGACCAGCCTGGCCAATGTGGTGAAACTCCATCTCTTCTAAAAATACAAAAATTAGCTGGTCTTGGTGGCGGGCGCCTGTAATCCCAGCTACTTGGGAGGCTGAGGCAGGAGAATTGCTTGAACCCAGGAAGCAGAGGTTGCAGTGAGCTGAGACGGTGCCATTGCTCTCCAGCCTGGGCGACAAGAGCGAAACTCCGTCTCAAAAAAAAAAAAGAAAAGAAAAAGAAAAAAAAAATCTTGGTATACTGGCTGGGCACAGTGGCTCACACCTAATCCCAGCACTTTGGGAGGCTGAGGCAGGAGGATAGCTTGAGGCTGGGAGTTCAAAACCAGCCTGGGCAACATAGCAAGACCCCATCTCTACCAAAAAAAATTTTTTTAAAGATTTCAGTATATTTCTCAAAAAGATAAGGACTGTCAATTGTCTACTCCCCCCCAACAAAGGTCACTAAGGAAACCTGTTGACTAAACAAAGCTCATTAAACCTATTGTAGTGTAGCAAAGGAGACCATCAACTTGACACAGAGTCTTGGTAATGATTCAAAGGGAGGATGTTAGAGTAAGGTATTTATAAGGATTTGAGATAAGGGTCCAACTGGTTTAAAATGAGTCAAAATAGGGAACTAGTAGAGACTGAGAAAGGGTTGTGAATAGCTTAGGTTTGGTAAACTTAGGAAATCAACAGTCTTAATTTTAATATGGTTAAACTGATTAGTATTTCCTATTTTTTTATCTACTGTGTAAGAAGACACTATAATATATGGGCATTACTGAGAGATACTGCCCATATGTTGTCCTCGTAAGCAAGGAGATATTTTTTATCTCCCATATATTACCTCTCAAACCTTTGTTACTTTAGTTTCGAGATATAGATCCAGAATTTATGTTGTTACTCAGTAGTGAGGAAGTTTCTTTTTTTTTTCTAAATGGCTATCAAGTTGTCCCACCATTAGTTATTGAAAAGACCATAATTTTTTCACTCCTATTCAATGCCATTTTTATTGTAAATAAACTATGTACATGTAGGTCTGTTTCTGGGCTACTATGTTCTATTAGTTTAATTGTCATTCCTTGTATTATCTTAGTTATGATGCCTTAATTGCACCATCTTAATTATGATAATTTTATTACATTATTATTATTTTATATCTTAATACCTAATAGATCAAATGCTTTCGTCTTGTTTTCTTCAAGAATATTAGCTATGTTTGAACTTTTGCATTTCCATATAAAATTTAGAATCAGCTTGCTCCATAAAATGACACTGTTAGGATATTGATTGAAACGGTATTGCATCATTAGGTCAGTTTTAGAATTTGAGTTCTCATTAATTCTAATAATTTATTTGTATGTTCTTACAATACAAATATTGTTTTATAGACACATATTTTAAGTTTACATATCGTATGTCTTATTCTATTTCCTATGTATCTAGCACATTTTTAAAATTGAGGTAAAATATACATAACATGGCTGGGCGCAGTGGCTCATGCCTGTACTCCCAACACTTTGGGAGGCCGAGGCTGGCGGATCACTTGAGGTCACGAGTTTGAGAGCAGTCTGGCCAATGTGGTGAAACTTTGTCTCTACTAAAAATACAAAAATTAGCTGGGCGTGGTGGCAGGCACCTGTAATCCCAGCTACTCCAGAGGCTGAGGCAGGAGAATCTCTTGAACCCAGGAGGCAGAGGTTGTAGTGAGTCAGTATCATGCTATTGCACTCCAGCCTGGGCGACAGAGCGAGACTGTCTCAAAAAAAAAAACCTATACATATATATATATATATATATATATATATATATATATATATATATATATGTATGTATATATATACACACACATAACATAAAATTTACCATTTTAGCTTTTTTGTTGTTGTTGTTCATAGAGACAGGGTTTCACCATATTGCCCAGGCTGGACTCAAACTCCTGACTTCAAGCAGTCCACCTGCCTCAGCCTCCCAAAGTGCTGGGATTACAAGCATAAGCCACCATGTGTGGCCCATTATAGCTATTTTTAAGTGTGTAATTTAGTGGCATTAAGTATTTTCACAATGTTGTGCAATGTTCACAATGTTGTGCAACCATCACCACTATCAATTTCCAGAACTTTCTCATCATCCCGAACTAAAACTCTGTACCTATAAAACAATAATGTCTCATTCCCCGACCCCCACTCCCTCAGCTCTTGGTAACCTGTATTCTACTTTCTGTCTCTATGAATTTACCTATTCTAGGTACCTCATTTAAGTGGAATTGTGTAATATTTGTCCTTCTGTGTCTGGCTTATTTTACTTAGCGTAATATTTTCAAGGCTCATGTATGTTATACCATGTATCTTCCTTTTTGTTTTGAGACAGCCTCTGTCACCCAGGTTGGAATGCAGTGGTGTGATCATAGCTCACTGCAACCTCAAACTTCTACACTCCAGGGATCCTCCCACCTCAGCCTCCCAAGTATCTGGGACTACAGGTGCATTCCACCACGCTCAGCTAATTTTTTAAAACAAATTTGGATACAGGGTCTCGTTTTGTTTCCCACGATGGTGTCAAATTCCTGGGTTCAAGCGATCCTCCCACCTCAGCCTCCTCTTCTTTAAGATTGAATAGGCTGGGCACAGCGGCTCACACCTGTAATCCCAAAACTCTGGGAGGCCAAGGCGGGCGGATCGTGAGGTCAAGAGATTGAGACCATCCTGGCCAACATGATGAAACCCTGTCTCTTAAAAAAATACAAAAATTAGCTGGGCATGGTGGTGTGCACCTGTAATCCCAGGTACTCAGGAGGCTGAGGCAGGAGAATCGCTTGAACCTGGGAGGAGGTGGTTGCAGTGAGCCGAGATTGCGCCACTGCACTCCAGCCTGGTGACAGAGCGATACTCTGTCTCAAAAAAAAAAAAAAAGATTGAATAATATTCCATGCATATATATACCACAGTTTGCTTCTCCATTATCTGTTAATGGACACTTGGGTTGTTTTCACCTTTTAGCTATTGTGAAATATGCTGTAATGAACATTGGTATACAAGTATCTGTTTGTGCCCTGCTTTCAATTCTTTGAGGTATACATTCAGAAATGGAATTACTGGATCATACCATAATTTCTATATGTTTTTGTTTTTTTTTTGTTTTTTTTTTTTTGAGACAGAGTCTTACTCTGTCACCCAGGCTGGAGTGCAGTGGCGTGATCTTGGCTTACTGCAACCTCTGTTTCATGGGTTCAAGCGGTTCTTCTGCCTCAGCCACCCAAGTAGCTGGGACTACAGGCACACACCACCAAGCCTCACCAAATTTTGTACTTTTAGTAGAGACAAAGTTTCGCCATGTTGGCCAACTGATCTCAAACTCGTGACTTTAAGTGATCGGCCTGCCTCGGCCTCCCGTAGTGCTGGGATTCCAAGCGTGAGCCACCACGCCTAGCCAATAATTCTAATTTAACAGTTTGAAAATGCCAAACTTTTCCATAATGGCTGTACCATTTTATATTCCTACCAGCAATACACAAGGGTTTCAGTTTCTCCATATTCTCATCAACGCTTATTTTGTTTTTGTTTATGTCTTATAATAGCCATATTAGTGGATATAAAGTGGTATTCCATGGTGGTTTTGATTCATATTTTCCCTAATGGCTAATGATTAAACACCTCTTTTTCCTTTTTTTTTTTTTTTTTTTTTTGAGCTGGAATCTCGCTCTATTGCCCTCTGTCGCCCAGGCTGGAGTACAGTGGCACCATCTCGGCTCGCTGCAACCTCTTGCCTCCTGGGTTCGAGCGATTCTCCTGCCTCAGCTTCCCAAGTAGCTGGGACTACAGGCGCGTGCCACTGTGCCCTGCTAATTTTCGTATTTTTAGTACAGACAGGGTTTCACCATGTTAGCTAGGCTGGTCTTGAACTCCTGACCTCAGGTGATCCAACCGCCTAGGCCTCCCAAAGTGCTGGGATTACAGACTTGACCTTGAGCATCTTTCTGTGTTCTTTTTGGCTATTTGTGTATCTTCTTTGGAGAAATGTTTTTTCAAGTTCCTTGCCCATTTGTGAATTGGTTTGTTGATTTATTTGTTGTTGAGTTGTAGGAGTTCTTTATACATCCTTACATGTTCCAGATACTAATTTCTAATCAGATATAAGATTTGCAAATATTTTCTCTGATTGTGTAGATTGTTGTTTCACTCTCTCTCTCTTTTTTTTTTTTTAACATAAATTAACCCATTTGTTATAGGCCAGAGATGTCTCAAAGAGTAGAGGAGCATCTACTGGTCTTTCAATTCCTTCAGTCTTCTGATGGCAGACTTCACCATGACAGCCGAAGTGGTGTTGTAGGTCCAGGCACTGCCAGCCACTGTCTTCATGCAGGAATTACAGTGCCTGATTTTCACAGCTCGTCTCTTCATCTTGGTTTTGCCACAGAAAGAGCAAGTGTACTTGGTGTGCTGGCTGATTTCAATTTCCTTCACCATTTTCCAGAGGGAGGCCCCATGGTGGGTCCTGTATTTACTGACTATTCCGACTTTCTTTTTTTTTTTTTTTTCTGAGATTGAGTCTTACTCTGTCGCCCAGGCTGGAGTTCAGTGGCACGATCTCGGCTCACTGCAACCTCTGCATCCCAGGTTCAAGCTATTCTCCTGCCTCTGCCTCCCCAGTAGCTGGGACTACAGGCGTGTGCCATCATGCCTGGCTAATTTTTGTATTTTGATTAGAGATGGGGTTTCGCCATGTTGGCCAGGCTGGTCTCGAGCTCCTGATCTCAAGTGATCCAGCCACCTTGGCCTCCCAAAGTGCTGGGATTACAGACGTGAGCCACCGTGTCCAGCCTCATTCCAACTTTCTTGGTGCATTTGGCCATGTCACCACAAACTAGGTCCAAGCCCAGAGAGGAAGATGTTGTTTCACTCTCTAGATACTGTCCCTTGATGCACAAAAGTTTTTAATGTTGATAAGTCCAATTTATCTATTTTTTGTTGGTGGTGCCTGTGCTTCTGGTGTTATATCCAAGAAACCATTGCTAAATACAGTGTTAAAAAGCTTTCCCCCTATTTTCTTCTAAGAGTTTTATAGTTTTAGTTCTGACAAAAGAGGTCTTTGGCTGGGCGCAGTGACTCATGCCTGTAATCCCAGCACTTTGGGAGGTCGAGGCAGGTGGATCACCTGAGGTCAGGATTTCAAGACCAGCCTGGCCAACACGGTGAAACCCATCTCTACTAAAAATTCAAAATTAGCCGGGTGTGGTGGTGCATGCCTGTAATCCCAGCTACTTGGGAGGCTGAAGCAGGAGAATTGCTTGAACCTCGGAGGTGGAGGTTGCAGTGAGCTGAGATCACACCATGCACTCCAGCCTTGGCAACAAGAGCAAAACCCTGTCTCAAAAAATAATAATAATAATAAATTAATTAAAAATAAATAAAATAGGTCTTTGATACTTTTGGAATTAATTTGTATCTATAGTATAAGGTATATATAAGGCATGGGTCCAACTTCATTCTTTTGCAAGTGAATATTCAGTTTTCCCAGCACCATTTGTTGAAAAGATTGTCCTTTCCCCATTAAATGGTCATGTCACCCTTGTTGGAAATCATTTGCCCATATGCACTAAGGTTTATTTCTGGACTCTATATTCTATTACATTGATCTACATTCTGCCTTTTTGCCAATATCACACCATTTTGATTACTGTAGTTTTGTAATAAGTTTTGAAATCAGAAAGTCTAAGTCTTCCCACTTTGTTCTTTTTCAAGATTGTTTCAGCTCTTCAGGGTCCCTTGAGATTCCATATGAATTTTAGGATAGATTTTTTTTTTCTGCAAAGTCATTGGAATTTTGATAGGGATTGCATTGAATCTGTAATCAGTATGGCTAATATTGATATCTTAATATTAAGTCTTCCAATTCATGAGCACAGATGTCTTTCCATTTATTTATGTCTTCTTAATTTCTTTCAGCAATACATTATAGTTTTCAGTGTATAAGTCTTACCTTCTTGGTTTATTCCTAAGTATTTTAGTCTTTTTGATGTTATTGTAAATAGTATTGTTGTCTTAATCTTTATTTCAGGTTACTAATTGTTAATGTATAGAAATGGAATTGATTTTTGTTTGTTGGTTTTGTGTCCTGCCACTTTGCTGAATTTGTATATTAGTTCTAATGGTGTGTGTGTGTGTGTGTGTGTGTGTGTGTGTGTGTGTAATCTTTAGGGTTTTCCACATGTAAGATCATGTCATCTGCAAACAGATAATTTTACTTCTTCCTTTCCAATGTGGATACTTTTATTTCTTTTTCTTACCTAATTGCTCTGAGCAGAACATCTAATAATATACTGAGTAGAAGTGGCAAAAGTGGGTATCCTTGTCTTGATCCTGATCTTAAAGGAAGACCTTTTATTTTTTTTCCAAGGACTGGCAATAGGCTAAAACTTTTAGTTTTGGTGGAATTTTTGTTTTTTGTTTTGTTTTTTATTTGTTGAGAGAGGGTCAAGTGCTAGAGTGTAGTGGCACGATCTTGGCTCACTGCAACCTCTGCTTCCCAGACTCAAGCTATACTCTCACCTCAGCCTCCCGAGTAGCTAGGACTACAGGTGCATGCCACCAGGCCATGCTAATTTTTGTAGTTTTTGTAGAGATGAGGTTTCGCCATACTGCCCAGGCTGGTCTCGAACTCCTGGGCCCAAGTGATCCTCCAGCCTCGGCCTCCCAAAGTGCTGAGATTACAGGTGTGAGCCCCCACACCTGGCCGAAACTTTTAATTTTTATCATTGAGTTTGGTGTTTGCTGTGGGTTTTTCATATATGGTCTTTATTATGTTGAGGTAGTTTCCTTCTACTCCTAGTTTGTTGAATGTTTTTATTGTATAAGGGTTTTGAATTCTGTCAAATGCTTTTTCTGCATTAACTGAGATGATCCTGTGGGATTTTTTCCCTCTATTTTGTAAATGCGGTGTATTGTATTGATTGATTTTAATATGTTGACTCAAACTTGCATTTCAGGAATATATTTATAATCCTTTTAATATCCTGCGAATTTGGTTTGCTAGTATTTTGTTGAAGATTTATGTGGTGTATTGGTCTGTAGTTTTCTTTTCTTGTAATGTCTTTGTCTAGCTTCGGTATCAGGGTAATGCTGGTCTCCCAGAATAAGTTAGGAAGTATTCCTCCTCTTTGTTTTTCTTTTAAAAAGTTTGAGGAGGACTGATGTTAATTCTTATATAAATATTTGGTAGAACTCATCAGTGAAGCCATCTGGTCCAGGGCTTTTCATTGTTGGGGTATTTTGATTACTAATTCAATTTCCTTACTCCAAATTATGGACCTACTCAGAGTTTCTATTTCTTCATGAGTCAGTTTTGGTAAAATATGTGTTTGTAGGAATTTATCTGTTTGACCTATGTTTCCAATTTGCTAGCAGATAATTGTTCATAGTATTCTCATATAATCTTTTTTATTTCTGTTTGCATCTGCAAAAATGTCCCCACTTTTTTCTGATTTTAGTAATTTGATTTTTCTCTCTTTTTTTCTTAGTCAATCTAGGTAAGGGTTGTCAATTTTGTTGATTTTTTCAAAGGAATAACTTTTGGTTTCATTGACTTCCTTTATTTTTCTGTTCTGTCTTTTATTTATCTCTGCTCTAACCTTTATTATTTTCTTTCTTCTTCTAGCTTTGGTTTGGATTTGCTTTTCTTTTTCTAGTTCCTTATGATGTAAAATCAGTTTTTTGATTTGCAATTTTTCTTTTTTTTCAATGTACAGCAGGTCTTCAAATAATGTTGTTTTATTTAGCATTGTATCATTATTAGGTTGATGAGAAAAACAAATTACTTCCCTGCTGGGACAGTGTCTGTGTGGAGTTTGCATGTTCTTCCCAAGTCTGCGTAGGTTTTCTTTGGGTACTCCAGGTTCCTCCTACATCCCAAAGATGCGCACATTAGGTGAACTGGCATTTCTAAATGGTCCCACAGTCTGAATGAGTGGGGGTGTGCATGTGAGTACACCCCATGATGGGATGGCATCCCATCCAGGGTCAGTTCCCTCTTTGTGCCCTAAGCTTCCAGGATAGGCTCCAACAACCTATGACCCTGAACTGGAATAAGTCAGTTGGAAAATGAATGAATGAATGAATGAATACAAAGTTTATAAAATAAAAATTCATAAAGTCTACAATAATCATACAGACGCACAACATAAGCAATGCTATAATAGAAAGCATTCAGCGAAGCCTCCAGATTTGTGACTGTTTGCCTTTGAACTGCATGGTGGTAGGAGACACTCCTTATAATTTTCACTTTGCAAACATTTATTCCTTGATTTAACTCACCACTGCTACAAATGCTGTCACTCACTGATTTACCAAAAATTGGGTAAATAATTACCTTACTTGTTTTTAGTAATCTTTTTTTTTTTTCTTCGAGATGGAGTTTCACTTTTCTTGCCCAGTGTGGAGTGCAGTGATGCAATCTCAGCTCGCTGCAACCTCCGCCTTCCGGTTTCAAGGGATTCTCCTGCCTCAGCCTCCCGAGTAGCTGGGATTACAGGCGCCTGCCACCACACCTGGCTAATTTTTGTATTTTTAGTAGAGATAGGGTTTCACCATGTTGGCCAGACTGGTCTCAAACTCCTGACCTTGTGATCTGCCCGCCTTGGCCTCCCAAAGTGCTGGGATTACAGGTGTGAGCCACCGTGCCTAGCCAGTAATCTTTCTTAAATGTATGTATACTTCATATTTATCTTGATGTTTAGTGTTAGAAGTATGGAGGAATCATATTACCTGACTTCAAATTGTACTAAAGAGCTATAGTAACCAAAGCAACATGATACTGGCATAGAAACAGACACATACACCAATGGAACAGAGTAAGGAACCCGGAAACAAATCCACACACCTACAGTGAACTCATTTTTGACAAAGGTGCCAAGAACATAAACTGGGGAAAAGACAGTCTCTTTAATAAATGGTGCTGGGAAATCAGGTTATCCATATGCATAAGAATGAAACTAGATTCCTATCTCTTGCCATATACAAAAATTAAATGAAAATCGATTAAAGACTTAAAGCTAAGACCTCAAACTATGAAACTACTACAAGAAAACATTGGGGAAACTCTTAGACATTGGCCTGGGTAAGTTTCTTGAGTCGTACCCTACAAACACAGGCAACCAAAGCAAAAATGGACAAATGGGATCACAAGTTAAAAATCTTCTGCACAGGCTGGGCGTGGTGGCTCACATCTGTAATCCCAGCACTTTGGGAGGCCGAGGCGGGCGGATCACCTGAGGTCAGGAGTTTGAGACCAGCCTGACCAACATGGAGTAACCCCGTCTCTACTGAAAAAATACAAAATAAGCTGGGTGTGGTGGCACATGCCTGTAATCCCAGCTACTCAGGAGGCTGAGGCAGGAGAATCGCTTGAACCCGGGAGGTGGAGATTGCGGTGACCAAGATCGTGCCATTGCACTCCAGCAGCCTGGGCAACAAGAGTGAAACTCTGTCTCAAGGAAAAAAAAAAAAAAGGCTTTGCACAGCAAAGGAAACAAAGTGAAGAGACAATCCACAGAATGGGAGAAAATATTTACAAACTACTCATCTGACAAGAGATTAATAACCAGAATACATAAGGAACTCAAACAACTCTATAAGAAAAATCTCATAATCTAATTTAAAATGGGCAAAAACTGAATAGACATTTCTCAAAAGACACAAATGGAAAACAAGCACATGAAAAGGTGCTCAACATCATTGATCATCAGAGAAGTGCAGATCAAAACTGCAATGAGGTATCTCACCCCAGTTAAAATGGCTTTTGTCCAAAACACAGGCAGTAACAAATGCTGGCAGGATGTGGATAAAAGGGAACCCTTGTACACTGTTGGTGGGAATATAAATTAGTACAACACTATAGATAACAGTTTTGAGGTTCCTCAAAAAACTAAAAATAGAGCTACCATAGGATCCAGCAATCCCACTGCTGGGTGTATATCCCAAAGAAAGGAAATCAGTATATGAAAGAGATATCTGCACTCCCAAGTTTGTGGTAGCTCTGTTCACAATAGCCAAGATTTGGAAGCAACCTAAATGTCTGTCAACAGATGAATGGATAAAGACAACATGTTACTTACACACAATGGAGTACTAGTCAGCCATAAGAAAGATTGAGATACTGTCATTTGCAACAACATGGATGGAACTCTGAAAGTCATTATGTTAAGTGAAATAAACCAGGCACAGAAAGAGAAACATCACATGTTCCTGCTTATTTGTGGCATCTGAAAATTGGAACAATTGAACTCATAGCAATAGAGTAGAAGGATTGTTACCAGAGGCTGAGAAGGGTAGTGTGGGTTGGGGGAAGGTGGGGATGGTTAAGGCGCTCAAAAAAAAAAAAACCAGAAAGAATGAATAAAACGATATGATAGCACAACAGGGTGACTATAGTCAATAATAATTTAACTGTACTTTTGTGTGTGTGCATGTGTGACAGGGTCTCACTCTGTCACCCAAGCTGGAGTGCAGTGGCCCAATCTCGGCTCACTGCAGCCTCTGCCTCCCGGGTTCAAGTGATTCTTCTGCCTCAGTCTCCCGAGTAGCTGGGACTACAGCCGCGCACCACCACGCCTGGCTAATTCTTGTCTTTTTAGTAGAGATGGGGTTTCGCCATGTTGGCCAGGCTGGTCACAAACTCCTGACCTCAAGTGATCTGCCAGCCTTGGCCTCCCAAAGTGCTGGGATTACAGGCATGAGCCACCACCCTGGCCCAACTGTACATTTTAAAATGACAAAAAGAGAATAATTGGATTGTTTGTAATACAAAGGATAAATGTTTGAGGAGATGGATACCCCATTGTCCATTATGTGATTATTATGCATTGTATGCCTGAATCAAAACAATTCATGTACCCCATAAATATATATATATATATATATATATATATATATGCCTACTATGTACCCACAAAAATTAAAAAAAAAAAATTAGAAGTGTTTTTGGTTTCTATTGAGAAGTTTGATGATATTTTCATGACCAGAAGTATGTTTTTGTTTAGCTATGTTTTCATGACCAGAAATATAGTTTTGTTTACATCAGCCTATGGTAAAATTGTTATTAAAGTCACAGTTTCCAAGAACCTATCAACAGTGTTAAGTAAGGACTTATTGTATGTGTTTACAGATATAAATTTCTGTTTAGTATTGCTTTTACTGCACCCCATAAGTTTTGGTATGTTGTATCCTCTTTTTCCTTTCTTTTTTATTTATTTATTTATTTTTGAGACAGTCTCACTCTGTTGCCCAGGCCAGAGTGCAGTGGTGCGATCTTGGCTCACTACAACCTCTGTCTCCAGGATTCAGGTCATTCTCCCGTCTCAGTCTCCTGAGTAGTTGGGATTACAGGTGCCCGCCACCGTGCCCAGCTAATTTTTGTATTTTTAGTGGAGATAGGGTTTCACCATGTGGACCAGGCTGGTCTGGGACTCCTGACCTCAAGTAATCCACCCGCCTCGGCCTCCCAAAGTTCTGGGGTTACAGGTGTAAGTCATCGCACCCAGCCTCTCTTTCTTTTCTTTTTTTGAGACAGGGTCTCTGTCTCTCTCTCTCTTTTTTTTTTTTTTTTTTTTTTTTGAGACAGGTGCAAACATGGCTCACTACTGTCTTGGCCTCCTGGATGCAAGGGGTCCTTTCACCTTAGCTCTCTAAATAGCTGGGACTTCAGGTACGCACCACCATGCATGGCTATTTTTTTGTATTTTTTGTTGAGACGGGGTTTCACCATTTTGCCTAGGCTGGTCTAGGACTCCTGAGCTAAAGTGATCCACCTGTCTTGGCCTCCCAAAGTATTGGGATTACAGGTGTGAGCCACGGCACCCAGCCGTGTTCTCTTTTTCATTTGTCTCAAGGTATTTTCCAATTTCCCTTGTGATTTCTTCTTCTTCTTCTCCTTTTTTTTTTTTTTTTTTTTTTTTTTTTTGAGACGGATCTTGCTCTGTCGCCCAGGCTGGTATGCAGTGGTGCAATCTCGGCTCACTGCAGGCTCCGCCTCCCGGGTTCACGCCATTCTCCTGCCTCAGCCTCCTGAGTAGCTGGGACTACAGGCACCTGCCACCATGCCTGGCTAATTTTTTTGTATTTTTAGTAGAGATGGGGTTTCACCAAGTTAGCCAGGGTGGTCTCGATCTCCTGACCTCGTGATCCACCCACCTTGGCTTCCCAAAGTGTTGGGATTACAGGTGTGAGCCACCATACCCGGCAGTGATTTCTTCTTTAATCCAGTAGTTGTTTAAGAGTGTATTGTTTAATTTGTGAATTTTCCATTTTTCCTTCTGTTATTGATTTCTAATTTTATTTCCTTGTGATCAGAAAAGATACTTTGTATGATTTCAGTCTTTTAAAATGTGTTAAAACTTGTTTTGTGGCCTAACTTGTGGTCTGTCCTGTAGAAGGTTTCATGTGCACTGAGAAAAATATATCTGCTATTATTGGACAGGATATTCTGCCACAACATTTTAATTTGCCTCTAACTCCCCAATACCAGACAAAGCTGCAGAGAATATCCTCATATATGTTCCTTTATGGACCTGTGTAAATTACCCATATGCTGAATTGGTGAGTCCCGAGGTATATCTTTATTTAATTTGACTATTGCTCTCAAGAATGGCTGTGCCACTCACATACCCATCAACAAGGCCTGAGGCTTCCTATGTTGCCATATCTCTGCTAACACTTAACATTAATGTGGTGCCTCACGCCTGTAATCCCAATACTTCGGGAAGCCAAGGCGGGTGGATCACCTGAGGTCAGGAGTTAGAGACCAGCCTGGCTAACATGGTGAAACCCCATCTGTACTAAAAATACAAAAATTAGCTGGGTGTGGTGGCACACGCCTGAAGTCCCAGCTGCTTGGAAGGCTGAGGCAGGAGAATCGCTTGAACCTGGGAAGCTGTGGTTGCAGTGAGCCAAGATCGTGCCATTGCACTCCAGCCTGGGGGACAGAGCAAGACTCCATCTCAAGAAAAAAACAAAACAAAACAAAACATTAACCAGCTCTCTATTTTTTGCCATGCTGATAGGTGTAAAGCAATGGTTCTCAACCTGGGACAATTTTATCCCCCAGGAGATAATTGGCAATTTCTAGAGACATTTTTTATTTTTACAAGGGGGATGTCTATTGGCAGCTAGTGGGTACAGGCCAGGGATGCTGCCAAACATCCTACAAGGCACAGACAAGCCCCCACAACAAAGACTTGTCTGGCCCAAAATATTGGTAATGCCAATATTGAGAAACACTGTTGTAAAGAGATAGCTTATTGTTACTTTGGTTTGCATTTCATTGACTACTAGTTATTTTCAGCATTCCTTTGTATGCATGTTGGCTTCTTGATTTCCACTTGTATAAATGTCCTATAGTCTTTGTCCTTTTTAAAGAAAATTGGAGTAGCTGTCCTTTTCTTGCTGATTCTTAGGAATTCCTTGTATATTATTGCTATTAACGCTATTATTCCTTGTGAATTTTAGAGATTTCATATACCTTCTCCCTCCCTGTAAGCTGCTGTGGAGGATTAAGTTTGGCTGGAAACTCTTTTACTCTCCCTCCACCAAGAGGTAGGGGGTCTGTGCCCTTCCCTTGGAATGTAGAAAGGCTTTGCAACTGCTTTGGTAAAAAAATTATGGCAAAAGAAACGCTGTGTAAATTTCCAGCCCAAGCCTTAAACTTGCAGCTCCCACTTTCTGTCTTTTGGAACACTCCTTGGATACCTGAACCACTGTATAAGAAATCTGACTATCTGCTGGAGAGATCTTGTAGAGAGATCCTGACACTATGTGGACAGGGAGAGAGGCCCAGCTGAGCCCACCTTTCCAACCATCCGTGCCAAGGCATCAGGAATGAGAGTTAAGTCACCTTAAAACCTATAGATGAGACCATCTACCAGCTGAATACCACCTGGTAAGGTTTAATAAAATGATCGTTGTTTTAAGCCACTAAATTTTCAGGTCGTTTGATATGCAGAAGTAGATAACCAGCACAGTATTCCATAATCTGACATTGTGTGCTGCAAGTTTGCTGAATTATCTTGTTAGTTCTAACAGTTTGTTGATTCTGATTTTTTGGGGGGTGGGGGAGGACAGGGTCTCACCCCCGCTTCCCCAGGCTGGAGTGCGGTGATGTGATCTTGGCTCGCTGCAGCCTTGAATCTCCAACTCCTGGGCTCAGGTGATTCTCCCACCTCAGCCTCCCAAGTACCTGGAACTACAGGTGTGCACCAATACGCCTGACTAATTTTTTTCTTTTTTTTTTTCAGTAGAGATGGAGTTTCACCATGTTGTCCAGCTGGTCTCAAACTCCTGGGCTAAAGTGATTCTCCCACCTCAGCATCCCAAAGTCCTGGGATTGCAGGCATGAACCACCGTGCCTGGCCTGTCTGTTGATTCTTTTGGGGTTGTTTTAGCAGATTATTATATCATTTATAACTAATAACAGTTTCATCTCTACCTTTCCAATTCTTACACCTCTTCTTTGTTTTTCTTCAGTTATGGCATTGGTCAGAACCTTTACTGCTATGTAAAATATTAGGAGTGACAATGGGCATCCTTGTCTTGCTCAGGATATTCAAAGGAATAGAATGAATTTAAATTTTCATTGGTAAGTATGTTTGCGCTAAGTTTTTGTTATATAATATTTACCAATTTGAGGAAATTTCTTTTATTTCTGATTTTCTAACAGAAGTTTCCCTCCATGTAAATAGAGAAGCTGAACCACACATTAGTTGGAATAATCATAAGATTTTATTTTCTTTTAGTCTATTAACATAGTGAATTTATATTGAGAGATTTTCCAATATTGAACCATAAAATATGCATTCCTGGCGTATTTTACTTTGAGTGATAACTTACCTAAAACTATGAGTTAACAGCTATTTCTACCCCACCAGTACTTTGAAGCCATTACTCTACTGTCTTTTGATTTTTACTGATGCTGAGAAGTCTGCTGTCAATCTAATCGTAACTCATTTGTAATTAACACATCTTTTTGTCCTCATATCTTTTAAGATTTTTCTCATCCTTATTGTTCTGGATTTTCACAGTCATATATTTAGGTGTATATTTAGTATTATTTATCCTGCCCAATATCTGAAGACCCACATCTTCAATTCTGAAAAATCTCTTCAAGTAATGCTTTATCATTTTCTCTATTAATTCTTAGAAGCACCTGTTTGGATACATATTGGTTTCTCATTTTCTCCTCCGTATATCCTAACTGTTCTTATTTTTTAAAATCTTTTCCCCCAATTTGCTGTATTCTGAGTGAATTCCTCAGCTTTCTTTCAATTTCTAAATGTGTAACTTTGTTCCTTATAGCATTCATAACATCAACTAGTTTCTAATACATCTAAATGGGTCTTTTTCATGTCCATCCACTTTTAAAATTCTGCTTGTTTTAATGTAATATTTCTTGCCCTTTCTAAATACAATTATTATGCCCCCCTCAACTTTTTTTTTTTTTTTTTGAGACAGAGTGTCACTCTGTTGCCCAGGCTGGAGTGCCCTGGCGCAATCTTAACTCGCTGCAATGTCTGCCTCCCAGGTTCAAGTGATTCTTTTGCCTCAGCCTCCCGAGTAGCTGGGACTACAGACGTGCGCCACCACGCTGGGCTAATATTTGTATTTTTAGTAGGGATAGTATGTCACCATGTTGGCAAGGCTGGTCTTGAATTCCTCACCTCAGGTGATCTGCCCATGCTAGCCTCCCAAAGTGCTGGGATTACAAGTGTGAGCCACTGCGCCCAGTCCCTCATTTTTATTTTTTAATTTTTATTTAATTTTTTTAATTTGGAAAAAGTGCTTCTTACAAAAAGGCAGCTGCAAAATATAGGAATGGAAAATACCTCTGCAACAATTACTTGTCTTTTTCTTAAAGTAAAAGAATGGGTGGGTTCTAAGGTTCTTCATTTTTCTTATTGTTGATTTTATTGTTGCCTATCTTTCTTACTACGAGATTTCTTCATGTGTTTGGAATTTTGATTTTCAATAGATTCTCAGTTTGCTTTTCCTTCTTTATTTCTCTGCTTCTATGCCCACCACTCCTTACTCTCTAGTGGTTTTGCAGTTGCCTTCATCGCACTTCTTACATCTCCTTCCCAGTTCTAAATAGGATTTTATAATGATGAGTGGGGCTACCATCCTGCTGTCATATTGGGTGCTATCACTGAACTGCAAGATATCATATATAGGCCGGACACAGTGGCTCACGCCTATAATCCCAGCACTTTGGGAGGCTGAGGTGGGTGAATCATTTGAGGTCAGGGGTTCAAGACCAGCCTGGCCAACATGATGAAACACCATTTCTACTAAGAATTTTAAAAAATTAGCCGGGTATGGTGAAGGGTTCCTGTAATCCCAGCTACTAGGAGGCTGAGGCAGAAGAATTGCTTGAACCCGGGAGGTGGACGTTGCAGTGAGCCGAGATCACACCACTGC
The DNA here is from genome assembly GCF_000001405.40 of Homo sapiens. NCBI lineage: Eukaryota > Metazoa > Chordata > Mammalia > Primates > Hominidae > Homo > Homo sapiens. The sequence continues at coordinate 111,901,397 of NC_000011.10, forward strand.
ACTCCAGCCTGGGCTACTGAGCAAGACTCTGTCTCAAAAAAAAAAAAAAAAAAGATATCATATATAAATTCTGAATCATGAGGCTATGTCTTGGTCTTTCCACCTCACTAAGCCCAGCTTCTATTCAACTATAATCCAGAAGGCAGATGGACAGGATTTTTCTGCCTTTCTTTCACGAGTGGGAAAATCCCACCACAGCCACTGGCATTAAATAATGAGCCAATTGCTTCATATGTCTTATTCTTCTGTCTTAGATTGAGAATTATTAGTCTCATTACCCTGTAGGAGTCGAACTCATCAGCTTCCACTGTCTTCTTCTAACTAGAGTCTAAAACGCCCAACCTCCTAAATTTTATTTATTTAAATATTTTGTAATTTAATTTGTCCATATTGTCATTTATCTTTTCTACTTTAAAAATTCTACCATTGCTATGTGTTTACAGTAGAGGGACTGCATCAAATATGAGCATACTGCTCTATCTTGTCAAGAAGTCTGTCCCCCATTTCCTCTTTGACCCACCACTTTCCTACAAGTGTTTCTATGACAGTGAAAATTTTACCAGATCTAATGGATACTTCAGCTCACATGTTATTTAACTTTTATATTCTGCATTTGGTAATCCACTTGACAACCCACTTTTTCCTTCTTGAAATCTTATTCCCTTGGTTTCTATGACATTGTGCTAAACATGTTTTTCCCTCACTTCTCTGATCATTACTAGGTCTCTTTTATGAGCTCATTTTTCTCTGCCAATACCTTAAGTTTGCCTTTTCAGTGATTCTGTGGCTGGCCCTTTTGCTCCTTTTTTTGCTAACCCTAGGTAGTACTATCCACTCCTATACCTTTAACTCCTATCTATATGCTTCCAAATTTTAAATCTACACTTCTATCCCAGATATGTGTTCAGAACAGTGGATATAAATATCCAACTATTTATTGAATATCTCCATTTGAATTCCCGAAGACCTCACGAACTCAACATATCTAAACTGCATTCATAATCTTTCATTTCAAAAAAATTTTCCCCCTGGTATATTCTGTATCTTGATGAATTTCATAGCTCTTTTTAACCATTCTTATTTTTAAAACTATATATTGTATAATAAGTTCACACAATTGTCAAAACCAGAAACCAGAGAATTATTTTGGTGTCCCCTTTCTCATCCTCCTTATCCAAATAGACACAAGCCCTATAAATTCTGTTTCCCTATTATCTCTTGATACGTCCTCCTTTTCCACATCTTTATTGCCTTTGTCATATTCCAGTGTTCCATTATTTCTCACCTAGTCTGCTGCAACACTTTTTTGGTTGATGTCTCCGTTCCCCATTTTGCTTCCTACTTATCAATTGCTATGTTTCTCCTAGAGTGAGTTTAAAATGCAAAGTTGATCGTGCCACTCTCTTGGCTAAATTCCTTTATTGGCTTCTATGATCTTCAAAATGCATTCCAAACTCCTTAGCGGAGCCACTTTCCAACCCTCTTGCCTCATTTCTCACACTCTTTCTGATACATCCAGTGCTCCAACTAAACCTAAATACCCAGGCACTTCATGCTGTTCTCTCTTCCTAGGTCTATTTTCCTTCTTTCTGTATCTTGCTAAGTACTATATACCATTACAAATTCAGTCAGACACCCACAAGGATGGCTAAAATAAAAAAGATAATAACAAGTGTTGGTGAGAATATGGAAAACTGGAATATTCATACACTGCTACTGGGAATGTAAAATGGTGCAGCCACTGTGGAAAATAGTTGGCATTCCTCAAAAAGTTAAACATAGAATTATTATGTGACCCAGCAATTATACCCCTAGGCATATAACCAAGAGAACTGGAAACAGGTATTTAAAAATAAAAACCGGGGCTGGGTGCAGTGGCTCATGCCTGTAATCCCAACACTTTGGAAGGGCAAGGCGGGTGGATCATCTGAGGTCAGGAGTTCGAGACCACCCTGACCAACATGGTGAAACCCAGTCTCTACTAAAAATACAAAAATTAGCTGGGCATGGTGGTGTGCACCTGTAATCCCAGCTACTCAGGAGGCTGAGGCAGGAGAATTGCTTGAACCTGGGAGGCAGAGGTTGCAGTGAGCTGAGATCGCGCCACTGCACTTGAGCCAGGGTGACAGAGCGGGACTCTATCTCAAAAAATAAATAAATAAATAAAATAAAAACCTGTGCATACATGTTCATAGCAGCAATATTCATAATAGCCAAAATGTGGAAACTCAAATATCCATCAACTGATGAATGAATAAATAAAATGTGGTATGCTTCTGCAATGAAATATTATTTGGCAACAAAAAGAATGAAGTACTGATACATGCAATGACATGGATGACTCTTGATTCTGCTAAGCAAAAGAAGCTAGTCACAAAGGGCCAGATATTGTATGATTCTATTTATAGGAAATGTCCAAAATGGGCAAATCAATAAAGAAGGAAAATAGATAAGTGGTTGCCTAGGGCAGAGGGGCAAGCATGGGAGGGTAATGGCAAAGGAGTGTAAGGAATCTTCTTGGGCTAACGAAATGTTCCAAAATTGATTGTGATGGATGTACAACTTTGTAATATTCTAAAGCCATCAAATTGTAGTTTGGGTGAATTATATATTACATGAATGATGTCTCAAAGAAGCTGTTTTAAAAATTCGGTCAGCAGGCCAAGTGTGGTGGCTCATACCTATAATCTCAGCACTTTGAAGGGCCAAGGCAGGGATATTGCTTGAGCTCAGGAATTCAAGACCAGTCTGGGCAACATGGTGAAACCCCATCTGTACAAAAAATATAAAAATTAGCTGGGTGTGGTGGTATGCATCTGCAGTCTCAGCTACTCAGAAGGCTGAGGTGGGAGAAGCACTTAAGCCTGGAAGGTCAAGGCTGCAGTGAGTTGTGATCATGTCACTGCATTTCAGCCTGGACGACAAAGTCAGACTTTGTCTAAAAAAAAAAAATATTTAATTAACAAAAATTCAGTCAGGAGGTCAGATGTGGTGGCTCATGCCTATAAATCCAGCACTTTGGGAGGCCAACGCAGGAGGCTTCCTTGAGCCCAGGAGTTCAAGAACAGCCTGGGCAACATAGTGAGACCTTGTCTCTAAAAAAAAAAAAAGCCCAGCATGGTGGCTCAGGCCTGTAGTCCCAGCTACTTGGGAAGCTGAGGCAGGAAGGTGGCTTGAGCCCAGGAGGTTGAAGCTGCCATGAGCTGTAATCATGTAATATTGTTTGGCTGTGTCCCCACCCAAATCTCATCTTGAATTGTAGCTCCCATAATTCCCATGTGTTGTGGGAGGGACCTGGTGGGAGATAATTGAATCATGGGGGAAGTTTCCCCCATACGGTTCTTTGGTAGTGAATAAGTCTCACAAGATTTGATGGTTTTATAAGGGGAGACCCTTTTCACTTGGTTCTCATTTCTCTCTTGTCTGCCACCATGTAAGATGTGCCTTTCACCCTCTGCCATGACTGTGAGGCCTCCCCAAACACGTGGAATTGTGAGTCCATTAAACCTCTTTTTGTTTATAAATTACCCAGCCTCAGGTATGTCTTTATCCGTAGCATAAAAACGGACTAATACATCATGCCACTGCAAACAACAACAACAACACAAAAACCAACCAACCAACCAAAATTCATCCAGGGTAACTGTCTCCAGGACTCCTTCTGTGTCCAGAATAGGTATTTCCCTTCAGGGTCCCCATAGCAGACATTTTGAATGGACATCTTAGGATCTTAAAAAGGTATCTCGGAATTATCTTTTTACTTGCCTGCTCTTCCACTCAATTCTTAATTCCTTAAGAAAACATGTCTTATTTTTGTAGCTAGCACATAGAAGGCACTCAAATAATCATTGAATGAACAGCAATTATAAATCTTCAGAACAACAATCGGACCCAGTGCAATCTTCAAAATAAAAATGTGAAGTAAAAAGTAGCATAGAATTTTTCGAAGCATAAAAATATGTATCATTCCAAAAGCATTAGGCAAAGATAACCATCTCATTTTCTAAGTATTACATCTTACTGAAATAACATATATATATTATACACACATTCCCCAGAATTCTTCTTTAAAAAATGATTGCTTTAAAAAGGTTAAAGCACTTAGCACAGTGCCTACCACACAGTAAGTGCTTGATATGGCTTGGCTCTGTGTCCCCACCTAAGTCTCATGCCAAATTGTAATCCTCAATGTTGGCAGAGGGGCCTGGTGGGAGGTGACTGGATCATGGGAGTGGACTTCATAGCTTTTCTCATGATAGTGAGTCGAGTTCTCATGAGACCTGGTTGTTTAAAAGTGTGTAGCACTTCCCCCTTCGGTCTCTCTTCTTCCTGCTCCAGCCATGTAAGATGTGCCTGCTTCCCCTTTGCCTTCCCACCATGATTGTAAGTTTCCTGAGGCCCCCCCAGCCATGCTTCCTGTGGAACTGTGAAATGATTAAACCTCTTTTTTTATAAATTACCCAGTCTCAGCCAGTTCTTTATAGCAATGTGAGAATGGACTAATACAGTGCTCAATAAATGTTAGCTAACATTAAAAGACAAAACAAATACTAATTAGAATTGTCTCAGTAAACTTCTGGTATAATTCAGATATAGGGAATGAAGTAGAATTGTGGATGAGTTAGCTATAAAGCTAAAAAAAAAAACCTCTCAAATATACTGTACTAGAATAGTCCTATACTAATATCGTAGCAGTGAATAGCCACAGCAAAGGGTGTGATCTAGGAAAGAATAACAATAAAGAACCAGTCTAACTTAGGCACTTATGGTGACAATAAACAAAAAAAGTGGCCCTGCACATTTTTGAAACAAATATCATTATATAATAGTCGAAGTTGTGATTTATTTAAAACCAAGTCCATAATTGCTTGGGAAATATACTAGTAATTAACTAAAATGATTAAAATTGACACATGGCTTCCAGGCATTCAGTTATTTTACACTATCTAATTCAGCCTTGATAATGTTAGATATTTTTGCCTACTAGTAACAGAAAACCCACGTCAAAACAGATTATTAACAAAAACAAGACATAATCAGACAGCCTGAAGTAGGGAAACTCTAGAGTTGGCTAATTCAGCAGTTCATTGACCCATTAAGGACCTGAGATTATTGTCTTTGTGCTCAGCATATCATGGATGCCCGCTTCACGTTTTCAAAATGGCTACAGTAATCCAGGCATCACATTCTCGTGCTCCAACATCCAGAGCAAGGAAAAAAAAAATCTCTCTCTCTCTCTCTCTGAATCTTTCTGAAATCTTTTCTTAGTTTAGAAACTTTTTCTAGAAGCATCTCCAACAGACTTCCCTCCTGTCTCATTTGCCATAATTGAGTCATAGCCCTTTCAAGAATAATCTTGAAAATCAAGAAGAGAATTTCCCTGCTTGATTTGGACTAATCAAGATAGACCTCCTATGGCTGGAGCTTGAGTTCACTTCTCTGAAGCACATGGCTAGGAAGAACATGGTGTATACCTAAACCAATCTGGGATACTGTTGGCAAGGCTGAAGGTGGTAAATAGCTGTTGGTTAGGCAACCAACAGTGTCTGCTACACAGCCACAAAAATTGGCTGTAAACTTCTGGCTAGATCACAGTATTTCAGACTATTAGGAAGTTGTTTTTTAAGAGAAAGCATTTTTGAACCGGTATAGATTTGCAATTTATATTGTCCTAGCTCCACACCCCTGCATCATGAATTTTTTTATTAAGTTTTAAATTTATTTATTTATATTTTTTGTTTTAGTTGGTATAGTCAATTTTTCATTTTAGTCATTCTAATAGGGGCTCAGTGATTCTCATTGTGATCTTTTTTTTCCTTTATTTTCTTACATAGGTAAATGCATGTCATAGGGGTTTGTTATACAGACTATTTCATAACTCAGGTATTAAGCCTAGTAACCATTAGGTATTTTTCCTGATTCTCACCCTTCTCTCACCTTCCATCCTCCGATAGGCTCCAGTGTGTGTTGTTTCCCTCTATGTCATAAAAAAATTTAGGCAATTGTTTCACGTAGAATATTTCAAAACGCTGGTCAGTCCCCAAACTGACTGACTTCTGATTTTGCATGAAATCAGAAATTAGCTAGAAGTTGCTAAAGAAAAAATAAGAGTTGTCAATAAACATTTATACCAGATCACCTACAGCAGTGCTGTTTATCAAGTGAATCAGAAGTTTTGTCCAGACCCACAGAAATGAAATGGAGGGTTGTTTTTTGTTTTGGGGAGGATTTTTCTGTACAGTGGTATGTCTTTAAGCTAAATAATAGAACCACTTATTGATTGGCTATTAGTTGTAATTCTAAAACTTAACTATTACGTGGTAGGACATTGAATTGGATATTCCCTGGCCTTAGGTTAGTAGGTGTTTGCTAGATAATTTAGACCAGGGGTCCCCAACCCCCAGGCCATGGACTGGTACTGGCCCGTGGCCTATTAGGAACCAGGCTGCACAGTAGGAGGTGAGTGAAGCTGAACTCCACCTCCTGTCACATCAGTGGTGGCATTAGATTTTCATATGAGCATGAATCCTATTGTGAACTGCACATGTGAGAGATCTAGGTTATGTACTCCTTATGAGAATCTAATGCTTGAATCATCCTGAAACCATCTCCTGCTCCCCCGGGGCCATGGAAAAATTGTCTTCCACAAAACCAGTCCCTGGTGCCAAAAAGGTTGGGGGCCACTGATTTAGCCTATACCTCAGAGCTTGTTAGGTGATAATCACCCAAGTCCTGTTTATTGCCCTTGTAAATCAGCTTAAGGCAATGCTTATCAATAGGAAAATGTCAAACAGTATTAGGGTCACCATGTCTTCCCTGGTGATGTAATTAATTTTAGAGATGCAGTAAGGCCTTTTATGTAGCGTTATCCAGAGTTCATTCAGATGTGTTCCAGTCCTTTAAACTGAGAGCTAAAATCAAAGAGGGCAGAGAGAGAGTAACTAATATTCCTTGAACTCTGCCAGCGGCTTTTCCTGCTTCTTCTCCTTAATTTACTTCCTATAATTCCTCTGTACAACTCAGTAACCCATGTTATAAATGGAAAACCTGAAGACCAGAAAGGTTAAGCAACTTGCCTACATTTATACCAGTAGTAAATGGTGAAGTCAGTCATTCTGACTCTAAAATCCTTGGAGCCCTCTAAATCATAATGCAATCATAAATAGATCTGTGGTATCTGTATATTTATTTAAAAGTGTGTGGAATATTCAAACACAAGACAGTTATCTGTTGCTGAATGATATTTTATTAGCTTGATAATTTGGGCCTGCCCTTAGCATTAATAAGCTTCAGCACTAGTCACAAGACTTTCATTCACTGGTGGGGAAACTTTCTTGTTTTAAAAAATGCAATTCAAGAAAGGGCATCTATTTCTTGGGGGCTGCGGTGACAGCAGGCTTCTCTTCACGGGTGATGGGAATGGTGCGCTCAGGGCCAGAGACCTGTTTCCTTGGTCCATTCACAGTGAGGACCCCATCAGATGACAGGGATGAAGTAATGGTGAGAGGGTCTACATCAGCTGGGATCCGGTATTTCCTGTGGAACTCCCTGGAGATGAAACCATGTTCATCCTAACCCAAAAGAATGAGGAAAGAGGCAGAGAGATAAGAACAGGAACTATTATCACCTGCCCAGAACTCAGGCATCCTGATTTCCCCTTAGGTGAGACCAAATGCCATGACAACATAGGAAAAATAAATAGAGCTTCGTTTCAGGGTTGCAGCTAAGATGAAATTGCCTAGGTAGTCACTCCTACCAGTGAGAATCTGAGAAGTCTGAAACAGTCCAACACTTCATTGTTTTTCAAACCCTGAGGCATAGATATGTTTAGGGGTATTTCCCAAAGGTTTAGATCAATGTTGGCTGGGCCTACAGAATTTGGAATCTCATTTAGAATCTGAGTCCCTGAGGAAGCCCTGAAATTGTCCTGACTCTTCAGGAATGTCCCAGAAGGTTCCAGAACAATAGGACTGCTGCTGAAATTAAAAAAAAAAAAAAATGACTCCATCCAAGGAGACTATGACCCAAACCTAAATCATATAAGCAAAATTGAAACAGCCTGAGGACATTACTGAGGACAAACTGTACTGGTTGACGCACAGGTTCTGAGCTATCGTTAAATGGTGAGAAGCAATTTTAAAGCCCTCTTATAAAGTCATAACAAGCTGTTCCATTTGTCAGAACTCCCCCAAAGAGTAGATGACCTTAACCCGTATGCCTGCTGACTCTCAAGCATGTAGCCAAACAGGCTCTCGTTAACTGATTACCACATGGGCTGTAGGGGATTAAAGACTGAGCACAGCTCTGAAATTTAGACAAACCAAGTAGTTCAGCATTAAGATGGGCTAAAGAAGAGACACGGATTCTTGCACAGCTAAAAGAGAAGTCACAACTCAAGTGCTTTTAGGGTACCTGTAGTTAATGTAATTATGCAAAGCAACTAGGTGTCTGACAGCCCTATACCTAATCAGTGGTTCTCAACCTTGACTGTAGATTAGAATTACCTTAAAAATTGCTGATGCCTGGGTCCCACCCTTAAAAATGCTGATTTAATTGGTCTGGAGTAGTGCTCGCTTCGGCAGCACATATGCTAATTGGTCTGGAGTATGCCCGAGCATTAGGTTTTTTGAAAGTTCCCCTGGTGATTCTAATGTGGCCCAGATTCAGAACCACTGGCTTAAATGGGGCATCAGCATCCCATCATCCCATCTAAGGCGATCAAATCAAAGGCCACATCTCTGGCCATAATAGTAACAACAGCAATATGTCTATCCTAACTTAGTCTTCTAGACATTGATTTGTAACCCCTGATCCCGACTGTTATGGCTTGGGACTGGAATGTAGCCAGCCTCCAAAGCTGATAGCACTACCTGGACTATTACAGTATGCACTGAATGAATGAGCAGAAAACAAAAAAACAAGCTACATACCTGGCGCTCTTCATGTTTTCCATGCACCTCAATCACATCTCCCAACACCTTAACTTTGAGTTCCTCTGGGGAGAAGTGCTTCACATCCAGGTTGACAGAGAACCTGTCCTTCTCCAGGCGCATCTAGAAATAGCAAGGTAAGGGAATGGGATGGGAGAAAGAGGGCAAAAATACTGATTACACAGGTGCTGTCTTATTCTGCAGAGCTGCTTTCTGTCCGGGTAATTCATCCTTCTCTTCTCTGCTTAAAAAATCTCCTTTTTAAATAAACATAGCTGTCTGCTTCAGGGAGCCACCACAGTGATACCTAAGGCTCATGGTGATCAGACCCAAACTTTATTTACAGGGACAGAGAAGAAGACAGATCACCCAGGGGACCAGTCGCAAGGATGGGTGCAAGCCTGGCATCTGCTGCCTCTCTGACTCCAATGCCTGGCTTTGTGGTTTGTCTGTGAGACAAAGGCCTCTTCTTCTGGCTCAGGTCTCTTTGCCAGTTTTCCACCCACCCAATCTGGAATGTTCTGCTGGTCCTGCTTGTCCTTCCAAAGCCCTTGCCCACTCAGCTCCTGTTTACTCACACTTGAATATTTTTAAACCAGAGTGTTATCTGTGACAGCTCTGTCAACCTTATTTGTTCACCCTGTTCTTCCACCCTCTTAGGACAAATGGGCGTCCCTATATTGTTTCCTCGTAGGGCTTGATTGGACCCAGGCCAGCGCCCTGTCGTAGCCCTGAGAAACCCAGAAAATCATAGAAGAGGGAATAGAAAGGCAGAAAATACCCATGGGGATGAACAGCTCAGGATGAGGCAGGGCTCTCTCCTGGCTCTGAAACCTGAGATGGTAAAATCGGTCAAGAGTCCAAGGTGTTGGAAGAGATAAGCAAAGGAGTTTGAAGGCAGCTCTTTCCCTGCAGATTGTCATGAACCAAACCAGAAAGGGGTATCCTGTAGAGAAGTTAGGGGACGGAGGATAAACTTGACAGTGCATGAAAAAATGTAATAAATGGGATACAGAGGACTATCAAATAGAAACAGGTGATGGGGGAGGAAGGCACTAGCAACCTCCTCATTTTTCTTCACATTTGGACACACATGTGCCTAAAATGGTTTAGGCAGGGTAGGAAAGGAAAATGGATGGAGAAGTTTCCAGGAGGTTCCAGTAAGGACTCTCCCGTCCTAGCTGTGGGGAGACTCACCTCTGAGAGTCCAGTGTCAAACCAGCTGGGTGCCCGCAGGAAGGAGGGTGGCCGAAGGTAGAAGGGACTCAGGGAAGTAGACGTCGGGAAAAGATCAGACTCCAACAGGTGCTCTCCGAAGAACTGGTCAAAGAGGCGGCTGGGGGAGTGGAAAGGAAAGAAGGGGCGGCGGATCCAGGGGTGGTGGATGGCGATGTCCATGGTGGCTAGGTGAGTGTGAGGGGTCAGCTGGCTGGTCAGCTCCTTCAGCTGCAGCTACAGCCAGCCCCTTATATATGCAGTCTTGTGAAGCTTCTGGAATGGTGATGTCAGGGGTTTTATTATCCTAGCTCACCAGCAGTTCATGGAGACTTGTGATCCGGGATTTGGCAATGTGACACATACCCAGTACTCACTGAGCTAAGAAAAGAGAGACACAAACACGTCTGAGCCGGCCAGTGACTTGTCATGGTCTTGTTTCACTAGCTTTCTGTCCACACCCAATGGCACCCACCCCCACCCCTGTTCTCTGAAGCTGGTACAGAGTCAGGAATCCCAAGCAGGCACGCGGGGTGGGGGGAGGATGGGAGCCGGCGTAGTGTGCCCCTCCTCCTCCTTTCCAGTCCTGAATGCCAGGGGAATCAGGCCAGCAACTATCTTGGGCCTGGGCAGGGACTGGAATCTTCCTAGGCTGAGCCCCAGGGACATTAACTCTTTGTGAGTCCTTGGAAGAGAGCAGTGATGGTCAACATGTCAGCACCAGCCATCTGCCTCGTGCCCTGGGTTGACCTGGGTTTAGGAGAGGATCCCACATCTGGGCAGAAAGACCCCACCCCCTGAAAAAAGAGCAAACAGATTTCTTGCATCTTTCGTTCTATGTGGCTCTCAGAACATTAAATCCAGGAGTGCTTTAGGAATTGGGTGCACAGTGCCTGCCACCGAAGAGGAGAAAATGAGGTGTGGAAACGTGCAAACCGTTTGTGAGGGTCTCAGCGAGGCCTCTTCATGCCCCAGGCACCACCAGCTCCCCCTCCCCAGCTCGTTCCCAGCCAGGACCCTCAGCTGTCCTCTCAGGCCCCCTGCGACAGCTGAAGAGTGTGCGGGGGAGGGGACTAGGGGTCCGGGCGGCGCTGGTCACACCCTCGTTGCTCTCACTCAGGGCCCCCACTCCCAGCCCCTCCCCCCCCAAGAGGCTCGGCACTATTTTGGGTGGTGTCGACCCCGCCCCCACCTCCTATCGAGCCCTGGCTCTCCGGGCAGCTGGAGGGGTCGCGCTGCGCCTGTTGGGGCTGCACCTCGGACCAGGGCTTCTGCTGCATCTGCAGCCATGTCGGGCCGCTCAGTGCCACATGCCCACCCGGCCACCGCCGAGTACGAATTTGCCAACCCGAGCCGCCTGGGTGAGCAGCGCTTCGGAGAAGGTATGGCACAGACACCACCCCCTTGCCCCCCACCCCCACCCCCTGAAATTCTGGGCTGACCTCCCAACGTTGCTGGCCTCCACCCCACTCTGGGCTTAACTGATCTCCTGGGACCAGCCACCCCCCACCCCAGACTACCCCTCATCCCCTCCAAGCAGAGATCTTTCCCATTCCTGCTGACCTCAAGACACACTTGGTGCTTGCAGTGCTGATACCTGCTCTTTGCCGGCCTGGGTGTGCCTCCTTGTCCCCCTTCTATCCACCCAGGCCGTTTGGTGCCTCCTCCTCCTCCCCCTCCTCCTCCTTCTCCTCCTCCTCCTCCCTTTCCTTTCCGTTCTCTTTCCCCTCTTCCGAGCTGCCTTCTCCTCCTAGCTACAGTGTGGCCTCCCTCCCGTTCCCTACTCCTCCTGACTCCCCTCTTGCTCTTCCCAATCCCTCCTCTCCAGATTTCCCATTTCGCCCCTGTGCCAGCCTCATCCTCCCTCATCCTGCCTCTTGCCTTCTCTCTGCCCTTTAGGCCTCCTGCCAGAAGAGATCCTGACCCCCACACTCTACCATGGCTACTATGTCCGGCCTCGGGCCGCCCCAGCTGGGGAGGGCAGCAGGGCAGGGGCCTCCGAGCTTAGGCTCAGTGAGGGCAAGTTCCAGGCATTTCTGGATGTGAGCCACTTTACCCCAGACGAGGTGACTGTGAGGACTGTGGATAACCTGCTGGAGGTGTCTGCCCGGCACCCCCAGCGCCTGGACCGCCACGGCTTCGTGTCCCGAGAGTTCTGCCGCACCTATGTCCTGCCTGCTGATGTCGACCCCTGGCGAGTCCGAGCTGCTCTCTCCCATGATGGCATCTTAAACCTGGAAGCACCTCGGGGTGGCCGACATTTGGACACAGAGGTCAATGAGGTCTACATCTCCCTGCTCCCTGCGCCTCCTGATCCAGAGGAAGAGGAGGAGGCAGCCATAGTTGAGCCCTGATTGCCACAGACCCAGCACCCAGCAAATCCCTCTCTACCTCCCAAGGTGATATGGGCAGCTGCCCACCACTCCAGAGGTAGCAGCATCCTTGGGGGAAGGGAAAGGTGCATGGTCCACAATGTATGGTTTGGTCCCATGGGACATGTCATAGCCTTGGTTTAGTTTTGGGTGGAGCTGAATAAACCCAAATCTCAGGGCCTTGTTTGTACTGCTCCCTATTCTGTGGCCGGGAAGCTGGGATGGGGAGGGAGGGAGGAGGTCACAGCCAGCTAGACAAAAAGCTCCTCAGTTTGATGTGCCCAACGTCATAGGACCCTGAGCTCGCACTTGGATGCTGAGATCACACCCGGAAGCTGACTCTGGCTCCAGATCAAATTCCTAGCCATAATTTTCTCACAATGCAACAAAAGAGAGAGTGATCCTGGGAGGGAAAAGGGATATGCCATCCAAACAGCCCAGAGGGCACTGTCTGAGCTGGTGATTAGAGACACAAAAACAAGGGTCTCCAGACTGTCTGGCCCTTTTTGGGTAGGGGCTGGGAAAATGGTTTTTGGCTGGTGAGAGTTGCCTAAAGTCCTGGAGTGAATACTTTGTTTTCATGTACTAAGGTCTGTCCACTTAAATGGTCACTGATTTTGAGAGCCTGAGTATGCATACACAGGGCACAGACACAAAGCCTCTCCAATTATCACGGAACCCCATTACCTTCCCATCCTCTGGGGGTACGGTGTATTCAGGAAAGCCTGAGGTCTGTCCCCTCAGTTATTCTCTGCAATCAAGAGAACATCCAGCTACATGATTTGGGGGAAGTGTCCAAAAGACCTTCCTGCCTCCAAATACATATTTCATTAGGCTGTGGTAGATACCTACAATTCTTCCATTAAAGCAGTTGTTTCTTGGCTGGGTGCAGCAGCTCACACCTGTAATCCCAGTACTTTGGGAGGCCGAGGCAGGAGGATCACTTGAGCCCAAGAGTAAGAGACCAGCCTGGGCAATAGAGTGCAACCTTGTCTCTACAAAAAAATAAAAATTAGCCAGGCATGGTGGTGCATGCCTGTAGTCCCAGCTACTTGGGAGGCTGAGGTGGGAGGATGAGCTAGGGAGGTTGAAGCTGCAGTGAGCTGAGATTGCGCCACTGCACTCCAGCCTGGGTGACAGAGTGAGACCCTGCCTCAAAAAAATTAAATTGAATTGAATTAAATTAAGTGGTTGTTTCTTAACTTTTGGGAGTTATAGACCCTTCTGAAAATCTGACAAAAGCTATAGCTGCTCTTACCAGAAAAATACATATGCTCCCAAATTTGGCAATACAATTTGAATAGGTTCCCACAACTCTTAAGACCCATTCACATACCCCCCTTAGGGATCTGTGGACCTCCAGGATAACAGAACTCACTTGAGGAATTCGACTTTTGGTTAAAAGATTGCTGTCTATTAAAAATGAAAGCATGCCCCAGAGAAATAACATTTGACATATTTAACTGTTCATTCATTCATTCAGTAAATATTTATCAAACCTCATGTAATACACCTTGGGGGATATACATTGTAAATATAAATTATAAAAACTATTAGCTTTTATTGTCAACTTTCCAGAATCTAGTTGAGAAGAAAAATAATAAGAAAAGGATTCTACTTAGACTTCAACCAAAATAGCTTCACATTGATATGTTTTGTAACTGAGCTTTATTTAAAGGAAAGGGTTTCCTAGCTATAAGAAATTTGAAAACTTCTGATTTAGTCCAAATCCCCTCTCCATTCAAATGCTTTTAAAGTTATTAATCAACTTATTCGGGGACATTCTGAATAACAGACAACTTAGAACTTCTCACGGTAGTCGTTTCCATGTTCTTTCTTTTCTTTTTTAGACAGGGTCTTGTTCTGTTGCTCAGGATGGAGTGCAGTGGCATGATCATGGCTCACTGCAGCCTCAACCTCCCTTGCTCAAGCAATCCTCCTGCCTCAGCCTCCTGAGTAGCTGGGACTACAGGTGTGTGCCACCACGCCTGGCTAATTTTTTACTTTTTCTGGAGATGAGGTCTCGCCTTGTTGTCCAGGCTGGTCTTGAACTCCTGGACTCAAGCAATCCTCTATCCTTGGTCTGCCACAGTACTGGGATTACAGGTGTGAGCCTCTGTACCTGGCCTTCCATTTTCTTTTTGGTCTTAACTGACTTAACCGTTATAAATTCCTCCTTTTGTTGAATCAAAATCTGCATTTCAGTAACTTCTCTGGAAAACAAACACAATGGTTTTTTCACTGAAAATCCTTCTGATATTTAAAGATAACCATCCTGTCTTCCTGAGGCTTCCCTTTCCCAGCTAAACATGCCTAGTTCTTTTTTTTTTTTTTAAGACAAAGTCTCTCTCTGTCACCGAGGCTGGGTGTACAGTGGTGTCATCTCCCCTCACTGCAACCTCCTCCTCCTGGGCTCAAGCAATCCTCCCACCTCAACCTCCTGAGTAACTGAGGCTACAGGCATGCGCCACAACACCTGGCTAATTTTTTGTAGAGACTGGGTTTCGCCATGTTGTCCAGGCTAGTCTTGAACTTCTGGCCTCAAGCAATCTGCCCACCTCGGCCTCCCAACACATTGGGGTTACAGGCGTGAGCCACCACACCCAGCCATGCCTTGTTCTTTCAACCATATCATACAGCACTTTCCACATCACATATTACCCAGATAACTTTATTTTGAACATACTGCCTTTTGACAACGTAACTTGAAATTCAACATCTAGACCTAAAATTATTATTCCAGTCATGGATTGACTGGTACAGACTTCAGTGGAATAATCAATATCCTTGTTTATCACTTCAGGCTTCTATTAATGCTGCTTTAGGCATATGAGGTTTTCTGGCTACCACAATGGTCTATTCCTCTATTGATTTCTTTGGAGTTTCTGGTCATCTAAAAATCCCTTAGGTGATTTCCTTTCCTTTTCTTTTCTTTTCCTTTTTTTCTTTTCTTTTTTTTTTTAGAGACAGAGTCTCACTCTGTCACCCAGGCTGGAGTAAAGTGGTGTGATCACAGCTCACTGCACCCTCAAACTTTCTTGCTCAACCCTCCTACCTCAGCCTTCTGAGTAGCTGGGACTACAGGCACACATCACCACACCTGGCTAATTTTTCAGTTTTTATACTTTGTAGAGATGATGGGTTGTTGCTATATTGCCCAGGTTGATCTTGAACTCCTGGGCTCAAGCGATCCTCTTGCCTCAGTCTCCCAAAGCAGTGGGATTACAGGCATGAGCCAAGCCACTGTGTAAACCCAGCTGCTTAGGTGCTTTTTAAAACATTACAGAAGGGGTGACTAAAAAGGAACCAGATTATGGAGGGCTTGGAGTGCCAGGCTAAGCAGTTTGAACTGTATCCTGTAGGTGATAGGAAATCATTAATGGCTTTTGAACTGGGAGGAGAAGGAGTGGGTAACAAGATGAAAAGGATACAGTTAATGGTAGAGTAGAGTACAGAATGGATTGCATGGAAGAAGCATGGCCATGAAATAGTGCAATGATTGGGGCACAAGAAAAGAAAGTAAGATGTGGGAACCAGGCGTGGTGGGAGGGTCACTTCAGGCCAGAAGTTCAAGTCCAGCAGGGGCAACATAGCAAGACCCTATCTTGGCCAGGTGTGGTGCCTCACACCTGTAACCCCAGCACTTTGGGAGGCTGAGATGGGAGGATTGCTTGAGGCCAGGAGTTCGAGACCAGCCTGGTCCACATAACAAGACCCCCATCTCACATTAATTTAAAAAAAAAAAAAAAGACCTTGTCTCTAAAAAGATTTTTTTTTTTTTAATTAGCTAGGCACAGTGGTGTGAGCCTGTAGTCCCAGCTACTCGAGAGGCTGAGGGGGGAGAATCTTTTGAGCGTAGGAGTTTGAGGTTGCAGTGAGCTAGCCACTCAACTCCAGCCTGGGTGACAGATTGAGACCCTGTCTTTAAAAATAAAAGAAAGAAAGAAAATAAGATGCTTTGTAATAATAACAACAATGCCTAACTCTTACTGAGTGTGTCCCATGTGCCAGGCCCTGCACTAGAGCTTTATTTTTCACCACAATCCTGTAAGATTGTCACTCTTACCCATGTTTCATAAGAGGAGGAGTTCAAAGTCCAGGGTATTCTCTGTGGAGTGCAGAGCTGAGTGGTGGGCCCTGAACATCCACTTAAAGGACAATAACCAGGCATCCGAGGAAAACACTAAAAATGGGGTGAGAGAACTGAACACAAGAATGATGGGTTTCACAGATTCTCGTAGAGCCCATATTTTCTACTGGTGAGTGCGGGTGAGTCTAACTTTGGGTTACTGGAAGGAGACGCAGAGTTGAGGGGTAAGTGGAGAATCAGTAGTTCTGAACTGTGGATAAGGAAATGAGTGGTTAAGAAGTGCTGAGGCCATCCTGATCATAGAATCATCTGATTTTATACCAGAAAGGGGATTAGATTCAGTTTTTTTCATTTCACAGCCCTAGAAACTTAGGCCCTATAAAGGTTAAGTGATTTGCCCACATCGATTTCAAATAGCAAGGGAGAATATATGAGGAACCCATTTCCCCAAACTTAAGTTTCCAAGAGACTCCAGTATCCCAACCCAGATTCTGTACAAAAATAATAAGAAACTGGTACCAATTGCCTCGAAAGTGAAACTCAGTTAAACCTGAGTGGTGCTGAGCAAACTACTACATTAGGCACTCATCTATTATAGAGGATATATTTCAAAGACAGAGTGATGTAATGGAGAAGCATTTCGTAAGGAAACCAAGAGCCCTTTTCTATCTCAGGTTTCTTTTTATTGAAGCTTGAAGCTCAAGTTCATGGCTTCATCAAAAGACGCTTCAAATCCTGAAGTTGAGATAGCTCTCACCTGGAGCCCGTGTGTTGTTCTACCCTTTGGCTGGGAACACAGTCACCTGGGAATCATTCCAGCAGGTGGCTTCAAAAGTCCAACCTGCTAGGTTGAAATCTGACACTGACACAGACTCCGGGAGCTGCCGCGGAAAGCTCAACCAGGAACCCGGAAATGCACAAGCCTCTTGATGCATAAAAACAGCTGGGCTCCCTTGGAGACAGAGCGCCATGGGAAACCGGGTCTGCTGCGGAGGAAGCTGGTGAGTAGGCTGGAAGGGCAAAGGGGAACATCTATCTCTGTTGGTGGATGTAGAGGCCCCGAAAATCAGAGGACCTGGAGATAGTTGTCTGCCAGCCTCCCACTGCCACCTTCCTCTGCCTGGTACCTCCTTGTTCCAACACCAGAGCAGCACCTCCTTTCAGGAGGCCTTAGAAGACAGAGCCAAGTGGCTGGGCGCGGTGGCTCACGCCTCTACTCCCAGCACTTTGGGAGGCCGAGGCCGGCGGATCACGAGGTCAGTAGATCGAGACCATCCTAGCCAACATGGTGAAACCCCGTCTCTACTGAAAATACAAAAATTAGCTGGGCATGGTGGCGCGCACCTGTAGTCCCAGCTACTCGGGAGGCTGAGGCAGGAGAATCGCTTGAATCCGGAAGGCGGAGGTTGCAGTGAGCCGAGATCGCGCCACTGCACTCCAGCCTGGCAACAGAGCGAGACTGTCTCAACAACAACAACAACAAAAAAAAACAGAGCCAAGCTAGCTGTCTGCGGAATGGCCAGAGCAGGGCAGGAATATTGAACCGGCATTGTTTTTCTGTGCCCTCTTCCTCCCTTTCCCCTTCTTTCCCTTTCTTCCTGGATGAGAGTAATAATTGTAGCACTTGAGAGCTTTCTATGTGCCAGACATTTTACAGTCTCATTTAATTTTTCCAATACTTTATGAGGTAAATGGTTTTGCCCCTCCTCCTATTTTACAGTCAGCTGAGAAACTGAGGCTCAGAGAAATTAACTAACTTGCCTAAGGTCACATGGCTGGTAAGCAAGTAAACCAAGATTCCAACTGAGGCCCACCTGACTTCAGAGGCCACCTTTTGAACCACTGCATAATATTGCCTCTTAGATCAAGCAAGTCAACTTTGAAGCAATGTTTATTTAAAAGGGCAGAAGTGCCAGGCGTGGTGGCTCACGCCTGTAATCCCAGAACTTTGGGAGGCCGAGGCGGGTGGATCACGAGGTCAGGAGATCGAGACCATCCTGGCTAACACGGTGAAACCCCATCTCTACTGAAAATACAAAAAATTAGCCGGGCGTGGTGGTGGGTGCCTGTAGTCCCAGCTACTCGGGAGGCTGAGTCAGGAGAATCCCTTGAACCCAGGAGACGGAGCTTGCAGTGAGCCGAGATTGCACCACTGCACTCCACCCTGGGTGACAGAGCAAGACTCCGTCTCAAAAATAAAATAAAATAAAATAGAATAAAATAAAATAAAATAAATTAAAGGGCAGAAGTGGTCGGATGCAGTGACTCACACCTGTAATCCTAGCACTTTGGGAGGCTGAGGCAGGCAGATGACTTGAGGCCAGGAGTTCAAGACCAGCCTGGCCAACATGGCAAAACACCATCTCTACTAAAAATACAAAAAAATTAGCCAGGCATGGTGGCACACGCCTGTAATCTGAGCTACTTGAGAAGCTAAGGCACGAGAATCCCTTAAGCTTGGGAGACAGAGGTTGCAGTGAGCTGAGATTGCGCCACTGCAGTCCAGACTGGGCAACAGAGCGAGACTATGTCTTGAAAAAAAAAAAGAAAAGGAGTTTGAGACCAGCCTGGGCAACATAGGGTGGCCCCATCTCTACAAAAAAATTAAAAATTAGCTAGGCGTGGTGGTGCGTGCTTGTAATCCCAGGTACTTGGGAGGCTGAGGCAGGAGGATCACCTGAGCCCTGGGGGTAGAGGCTGCAGTGAACCATGATCACACCACTGCACTCCAGTGTGGGTGACAGAATGAGACCCTGTCTCAAAAATGAAAATAAAAATAAAAGGGCAGAAGTAGGAAAAAGAAGAATATCCATGGAATATCTGAATATGACTTTCACACTTATTTACTATGTGACCATAGGTAATAAGTCCCTTAATTTCTCTGTATCCATCCTCACATGTAAAATGTAGATAATACATCCTACATTGTGTAGATCACAGGCTTATTTTGAAGAGCAAAGGATATAGCGTATGTGAAAACCTCATAATAAATTATCTGTGGGGTTGTTACTATTCTTTCCCAGAATTTTCATCACTGCCATGCCGTAAATTCCTGGTCCTGGTTTTATTCTGTCTACTGCCTTCCATGCCTGGGGCAGATCTGGAAGATGTCATGTTATAAATAAAGCATCATTATATTTAGATAGACAAGTGAAGTGCATTGGAAAACACACAGGTTTTGGAGTAGTACATTGGATTCAAGTCCTGCCCTACTACTCATTCATTTATCCATTCATTTATTAAACAGTGTTTATTGAACATGTACTACAGGCACAGTGATAGACACAGAAGACATAGTAATAAAAGGACATTTGGTCCCTGCCTTGTTGAGTAAGAAATACCCTGAAGGTCCAACATTTGGTAACTGTCTAAATACATGGCATATCCAATTAATGGGAAATACGTAGCCACTTCATAAAGAATGTTGGAAGAACACCTAACATCATGGAAAATTTTACTCTTTATTAAGTTAGTAAAAAAGGCCCTTCATTAACCCGTCTGTAAAATGGGAACAAAAATATGTGTTTCCTGGAATGTCAGGATTGAAAAAATAAAGCACCCTTTAAACTCTGAGGTGCCCTATAGACATAGGACATCTAGAAGCACAGAAAAGCTTCTAGAGAAGGAGATGTAACAGCTTCTTTTATTCTCTTTCTTCCCAAGTGTTGGTATTCTTTTTTCATTACTGATTAGTTCTCTGATGGTGATAGTCATTAGTGGTCAACTTTTACTCATGCTTATTATATGCTAGGAACCATGCTAAGTATTTTACATTTCCTGTTTTATTTAATCCTTACAATAATCCCATGAGGTCTGAATTATATTATCATACTCATTTTTTTTTTTTGAAACAGAGTTTTGCTTTATCTCCCAGTATGGAGTGCAGTGGCACAATCTTGGCTCGCTGCAACCTTAGCCTCCCAGGTGTAAGCGATTCTCATGCCTCAGTCTCCCTAGTAGCTGGCATTACAGGTGCGTGCCACCACGCCCAGCTAATTTTTGTATTTTTAGCAGAGACGGGGTTTCACCTGTTGGCCAGGCTGGTCTTGAACTCCTGACCTCAAATGATCCACTCACCTTGGCTTCCCAAAGTGTTGGCATTACAGGCGTGAGCCACCGCACCTGGCCTATCATACCTCATTTTATTAATAAGAAAACAGAAGCCCAGAGAAGTTAAAAATTTGCTGAAGTTCTCACAGCTATTCTGACCTCATCAGTCTGACTCTAGAGCCCATTCTAGAGACACTATACCAAATAGTCTAACCAAAATCTTTTTTTCCTCTTCAAATACTAGTAGGATTGAATAAAACTTTGTTCTCTATTTTTTGTTATCTCAATAAACCTCCAGAGGCTTAAAGATATTATGGCAATTGAAGATATTTTTATTTTAAAATATTCTTTATTGTTATTGTTTCTGATTACAAAGGTAATAATCATTCATTGCAGAAAATTTAACTTCTGCAACGAGCAGAAAATAAAAAGCACCATAAATAAAGCACCCAGAGATGATGGGAACATTTTAGTGTATTTCCATATATTTTTTAAATGTGCACAGTTTTTATTCCAAAACATACCTTTTTACTAACTTAATAAAAAGTAAAATTTTCCATGATGTTCGGTGTTCTTCCAACATTCTTTATGAAGTGGCTACATATTTTCCATTAATTGCATATGCCATTTCTTTAGTCAGTTACCAAATCATGGACCTTCAGAGTATTTCCTATTTTTTGCAATTTAAATAATGTTATAATGAATATCCATATTTGTACATGTATAATTATTTCTTAGGATATGGAATTGCTACATCAGAGGGTATACACATTTATGTTTAAGGATTTTTATACTTATTGCCAATTGCATTCTAGGAGGATTGCACAGATTTTTATTTCTATTACCACTGTAGAAGAATGCCCACTTAGTTTCCTTAAATCTAAAAATAAAATCCCATCGCCTGTGTATCTAAATGAATACTCACTCCATTTGGGTTGTGTCCAGGCATTGCACAATATCTAACTTGAGAACAGGCTCTGTTCACTAACACTGGATAGCCCTAGTCTATGTATTTTAGGACTAATATTTTCTGTATCCATTTAAATAAAAATAAGTAGGTAAAGAGTAGTAACAAGTGGCAAAGAATTAGAAGATTATCTCGTTCTTAGGATAAGGCTGACTGAGCAGCAGTAACATAAAGCAAGAGCTGAAGTGGCAGAAGAAGTAGAAAAACACAGGAGTAGTTTTTCTTCTGAACCACCTGTAGAGTTTGGCTGGAGACTCAACTGCTGTCAACTGAGCAAGCTGTAGCAAAACCAAAAATCACATCAAAACAGAAACCTCTGTCAAATATGTGTGGAAAAATCCTGACTTTTTCCCCACAGTAGTCCTCATGATTTAGAAGTCAGTCTTCTCTCTC
This sequence comes from Homo sapiens, assembly GCF_000001405.40. NCBI lineage: Eukaryota > Metazoa > Chordata > Mammalia > Primates > Hominidae > Homo > Homo sapiens. The sequence goes on from NC_000011.10 coordinate 111,923,414, forward strand.
TCGCCCTCTCAAATTAGCAAAGAAGGAAACCTCCCAGGAGATGAGAGATCAGGCAGACAAACAGGGTTGGTTCTGGCAAGAGTTGGAAATGTACTAGCAAGAAAGCAAGAAAAAGAATCCGGAGTAAGCCCCAAACTATTTAGCCTATTTCCTCAGTCAGTGTTGTCTCTCTGGCATCAAACAGTTAACAATCACGTAGACACACGGGCGCCATTGGGGACCCCAGGGGCTCAGAAATAAATATAAGAGGTCTGCCCTACAGTGAGGGCAGGATAGCTGAGTCACTCACCAAATTCAGTGCTCCCTGTTCTGTAGACAAAGTTCTCTAAAGGATGTTAAAGGTTAAACATCTCTCACTTTCTCTGTTAATTAAAAACAAGGACAAGGAAGCAGGGAGGGAGGTCACTTGTTAAGAAAGGGCCTTGAGGGGCTGTAATTAGTTAGCCCTGGTTGTGGCAACTTCCATGACTCCCAGAATAAAAGTCCCAGATTGGTAAAGACCCCAGGAAAAAAAAAAGCACTGAAGAAGAGGCAAGAGGGTCTCTGGATCCAAGAATATTCCATCATTTGACAGATTTCCCTCACCCTCTGCTGGGATTAGCCTGTTAGACAATCCCAGAATAGCTCTCAAGCCAGATACATCCCTGGCATGTAGTGCCTGGTTGCCTGAGGCTGTATTTTGGGTCTGGTTATGTCAGTTGTACTACTCCACCTTCCAGAACCATCCATGTGGGAGAGGTGTGGTACCCTTGACTAATGTTTTGGGACTGAACCTGGCTCAGGGTGAATCTTTGTTAGAGGGAGGTAGGGGAAGCTCATCAGAATGTTAAGGAGACCACAGAGCAAATGATGATGGAGGGAAGGCAGAGGCCAGGGCTCTTGCACATGGGTGATCTGTTTTTCCTATTACAGGAGCTGCCCATCAACTTTCCAGAAGAAAAAGAAAACAGGTAACTTTGGGGCTGGGGGAGGGAATCTGGGGGAGGCAAATTAGAGAAGACAATAGAACTCCAATCTTTGGAAAGGGCAGAAGGGTAGAAAAGGAATGAAAGGATAAAGGGAGACAGCACACCAAAGAGAATCCAGGTTGCTGCATTCAAGACTAGTTCTGAACCTCTGGATCTTATCCTTTCCATTATTTCAGAGTGGCAGGGTTGGTTGTTCATTCTTTCATTCATCTAGCAAATATTTACTCAGCACTTACATTCTACGTCAGGACCTGTGTGGGTCCCAAGGAGGCAGAGAGGCACAAGAGGAAAGACACATGATCTCAGCCCTGGAAGAGCTGAAAATCAAATTTAAGAGATAAATTCATATAAACAAACAGTTGTAATATCATCACTGGTGCTGTAATAGATGTGTACTCATGCTGTGGGAGAATTGAGAGAAGACACTGATGTCGAAATGTCAAAGAAATAATAGCAAAGGGCCAGGCGTAGTGCCTCACGTCTGTAATCCCAGCACTTTGGGAGGCCAAGGTGGGGCGGATCACTTGAGATCAGGAGTTTGGGACCAGCCTGGTCAACATGGTGAAACCCCATCTCTACTAAAAAGAGAAAAACTAGCTGGGCATAGTGGTATGCGCCTGTAGTACCAGCTACTTGGGAGGCCAAGGCACGAGAATTGCTTGAACCCAGGAGATGGAGGTTGCAGTGAGTCGAGATCGCGCCACTGCACTCCAGCCTAGGCAAGAGTGAGACTCTGTCTCTAAATAAATAAATAAAAGCAAAGTTCACAAGTCAGCAGAGGAGGGAGAAGGTGTTTTAGGCAGATAAATCAGCTCATGAAAAAAAAAAAAAGAGACTGACCTGATTCAAAGTGGCTGATTGGTATAGCTGAGCACTTCCCACCTTGCATTGTAAGTGTGTTTACTTATTTTTATTTATTTGTCTCCCCTAGCAGGCTGTAAGCCCCCTGAGGTAGAGGAAACAGCTTACTCATCCTTCTACCCCCAGAACATGGCACAGAGCCTGGCACACAATGGGTTCTCTTGTTGAACTTGTTAGGGGCTAGTGAAAAATGAGGATGGAAGATATTATGGCCAGATTGTGAAAGGGCCAGATTGTAAACCCTGCTAAGGAGTTTGGATTTAGCACTAGTAGACATGAAAGAAGTGAGAATGGAGGCAGGGGGATTAGACAGAAGCCTGCCGTTAATAGTTTAATAGTGATTTGAAGAAGGCAATCTCAGTAGAGACAGGGAAGAGAGAATAAACTTAAGTTGGATTTCTTCCCCTCAGGAAGCCAAACAAGACGGACACTGAAGCCGCAGCCACAACAGCTGCAGCAGAATCTCCCAAAGGTAATGACAGGTCTCTGTCCCCTCTCTGGGGCTGCTCGGACATGGGATCCCAGTAGTCAGCTCTTTTGCACTGCAACAGACACATTTCAGTCACCTGTAGAATTTGCTGGCTCTGTCTGTCCTCCTCTGTCTGTCCTTTGCTCAAAGGAGCAAAGCGAAGGGACATCAGTTGACCTGCCCCTGCATTGGAGGTGAGGGGCAAAACCAAGCCATGAATCTCCCTTAATGCTATCCATTCCTCGCAGGGCCATGAAACAACAGGACATACGTATGAACGGGTGTTACAGCAGCAAGGGTCTCAAGAGAGGAGTCCAGGCCTCATGTCGGAAGACAGCAACTTACATTATGCTGACATTCAAGTGTGCAGCCGTCCCCATGCCCGGGAAGTGAAACACGTGCATTTAGAAAACGCTACAGAGTATGCGACCCTTCGCTTCCCCCAGGCCACACCTCGCTATGACAGCAAGAACGGGACCCTGGTGTGAGCGCTTGGGAGGAAGGCCCAGTCCATCGTTAACCACTACACCTGTGGGGGAGAACCTACTGCTTTGGGGAATTGGGTGGCAACCCAGGGATGTTGTCCACGTTTTAAGCTTAAAGAACTCCAAAGCCCCTGGAATTGTGGGCGTCCCATTTTCTCCCCTGGCCTCTTACTTGCCACTGTTAGGTTGGAGTTAATAGTTGGTTTAGCTATGGGTGGATAGCTAAACTTAGCTATCCACATGAGGTTAGGTGGAGTGTGCAGGGAGGTAGGTCTTCGACCCCACCATTGTTGCTCCTGCTCTTGCAAAGTGCAGAAAGAGCAGGTAAAAAGTTAGCCCATAAGCACGTGGGCTGATCTTGTTGGACTTTAATTAATGGTATCCTTTTTCACACACCTTAAACTCCAAAGCTGAAGGGGAGGTGCTCCGGAAAAGCATTCTGAGCTTTTACATTCAGACACTAGGGCTGGCTTGGGCCATTTCCTCAGTGGCTGAGTCAGGTTCCAGACCTTAACAGACAAATGGGGGAAGGGGGCTGAGGCGTGGAGGAAACGCTTTCAGGACCTCAAGTCAGTGATAACCGACAGCACAGTGAGGCCTGGAAACTTCCCTCGGAGGGACTGTTGGCTCTCGCAGGTGCGGGGCCGCTAGGATCAATAAACGGCCTGAGAAACATGCCTGGCGCGTTTTCTGGGGCGGGGCCCCGAAGCTCCTTGCGAGGACAGCGGATCCCGCCCAGTTTTAAGGGCGGTTCGAAAGTCCAGCCAGTAGACAGGCCTTCCGGCCCCACCCCCAGGCCGCGGCTGGAGGCGGAGCTGGAGGGGGGTGGGGTTTAGGAGAAAGGGGGCGGGCTACCATTGGCAGAGGGCGCAGTTCCTGGGGCGGTGTGTCCATGCCGTGATTGGTTGTTTGTCGGATGCTCCTGGTGAGGCGGATCCGGAACGGCAGTTGGGGGGGATCTGGGTCCAGGGGGCGCGGTCTGGGCCTGCAGGAGGCGGGATCCGGCGGGCCAGAGGCGGGACCAAGGCCGGCAGGGGCTGGCTCTGGCTGGCTGGAGTCGGGCGGGGCTTGTGGCCGGCCCCCGCATCACCATGGCAGCGGGAAACCGCGGCAAAGCCAGAGCACTGGCAGGCCGAGCTCAGGAGGGCTGGGGACAGAGATGCTGAACCAGACGGACCCATCATTTAAGAGGTAGGTGCTGAAAGGTGGCGAGTAACAAAAATATTACCCAAGTTGATCATCCACATCGAAACTGGGGACACGCGGAGGTGGCGAGGATGAAGTGGGTTAGAGGAGGCTAAAATTTCAAAGACCAAACCGCCCTCAGCCTTGTACATTCTTAGTGTGCAGTTTTCTGCTTCAGACTTTCAGAGCTTAGAGAGGAGGGGTAACGCACTCCCCTTTCTCGATCTGTTCTCCGTTCTCCCCAGATACCGCTGCCTCTCTGCTGGTCCCTAAGAGGGATGATTAAAGACTGGTAGAGTACTGAAAATGAAATTGTAGCACACGCACACACAAAAGTTGGCAATAATAGTATTGGCCGGGCGCGGTGGCTCACGCCTGTAATCCCAGCACTTTGGGAGGCTGAGGCGGGCGGATCACTGAGGTCTGGAGTTCGAGACCAGCCTGGCGAACATGGTGAAACCCCGTCTCTACTAAAAATACAAAAATTAGCCAGGCATGGTGGCACGGGCCTGTAATCCCAGCTACTCAGGAGACTGAGGCAGGAGAATCGATTGAACCCGGGAGGCGGAGGTTGCAGTGAGCCGAGATCTCGCCAAAGCACTCCAGCCTGGGGGACACAGCAAGACTCCATCTCAAAAAAAAAAAAAAAAAAAAAAATAGTATTAGCCCCATAAAGTGTGAGAATTTAAAGCACTTGCGACAAGTACATATTTTGTAGTCAAATGTTGGCTGCTATTATATCATTACCATTATCACTTTTTCCCGGCCCGTTGTCTGGCAAAGACTCAATGCAGGCAGATTCAGAAAAGGTGGGTTGGAGGACTGACCCCCACCACTAATTGGTGGAGAAACTCTGTAGCCTATTTTCTATATATTAAATGAAGGTGGCCGGGCGTGGTGGCTCACGCCTGTAATCCCAGCACTTTGGGAGGCTGAGTCGGGCAGATCACCTGAGGTCAGGAGTTCGAGACCACCCTGGCCAACAATGCGAAACCCTGTCTCTACTAAAAATACAAAAATTAATGGCCATACCACCCTGAACACGCCCGATCTCGTTTGATCTTGGAAGCTAAGCAGGGTCAGGCCGGGATAATACTGGCGAGGCGCGGTGGCTCATGCCTATAATCACAGCACTTTGGGAGGCCGAGGTGGGTGGATCACCTGAGGTCAGGAGCTCGAGACCAGCATGCCCAACATGGCGAAACCCCGTCTCTACTAAAAATAAAAAAAAATTAGCCGGGCGTGGTGGCCGGGGCCTGTAATCCCAGCTACTCTGGAGGCTGAGGCAGGAGAATCGCTTGAACCCGAGAGGCGAGGCTGCGGTGAGCTGAGATTGCGCCACTGCACTCCAGCCTGGGCAGCAAAGCGAGACTGCGTCTCAAAAAAGTGGGAAAAAAAAAAGGTAGAATCATTAACTCTGTTTTCAAAGATTATTTACTGCAAAGGTCAAATAAGATGATGTAGATGATAGTACTTCGTAAGCTTAAAGTGCTATATACAAATTTCTGTCTTTGGATTATACATGCCGGGCCATGCGCGGTGGCTCACGCCTGTAATCCTAGCACTTAGGAGGCCACCCGAGGTCAGGAGTTGAGACCAGCCTGGCCAACATGGTGAAACCCCATCTCTACTAAAAAAGTACCAAAAATTAGCTGGGCATGGTGGCACGTGCCTGTAGTTCCAGCTACTCGGGAGGCTGAGGCAGGAGAATCGCTTGAACCTGGGAGGCAGAGGTTGCTGTGAGCCGAGCTCGTGCCACCGCACTCCAGCCTGGGCGACAGAGCAAGATTCTGTCCCCCCAACAAAAAAAAGAATTACACATGTTGCCTCTCTGGGTTAAAACTCAGTTTCTGAGGATAGAAGGAAGTAAATGCCAGTAGCAGAGCTTCCAGTATTTCTCCTGATTATCTTCAGAATACTTCCTGTGGTCCTTGACTAATAAATATAGGAAGAAAGGAAAATGCATTGTTGCTTGACTAACGATAGGGGAGTATTACTCTTCACTTTATTAGTATTAATACCTAAGCAACTAGGTTTAAAAATGCCACTGGGTTAGCTGGGTGTGGTGGTGCACACCTGTGGTCCTGGATACTTGAGAGGCTGAGGTGGGAGGATCACTTGAACCCAGGAGTTAAAGGCTGCAGTGAGTTATGACAGTGCCAGTGCACTCCAGCCTGAGTGCCGGAGTGAGACCTTATCTCTAAAAAAAAAAAAAAAAAAAAAAGTAAATTTTAAAATGCCACTGGGATAGCCCTGTTGTGCTTGTAATATCTTCAGCTGGACTTCCTGCTAACTAGGGTCCTATTTCTGATACTTCAAGATGACTTAAGTTGGTAGGTTTTGGGGAGGGGTCTGGCCCCAACTCGGTTAGTTGAGCTTTAAATTTTTTTTTTCCTGGCTTGTTATTTTGTACATTTCTTATTCTTCCTGTTTTAGATGGCCCTGATTCGTCTCTTCTAGGGACTCTTGAAGATGGGGACCCAAGTGGTTATGAGATTCAATAACTCCTTGCTGCCAACAGAGCCTTCTGTAAGTTTTTGGTGTACTATTGTGAAAAGCGTGATGATGTTACTGGAATTTCAATACAGTTCTACTTCTGGGGATTTCTCCATCAGGACTCAGATCCTGGAACAGAATTTTAATATATTTGTCTTTTTTTTTGCTTTTCCTTCTTGTGGAAATTCTATTAATAGCTCTCTTGGACCTCGAGTCATCTTTTTCTGGAATTAATAAAATAAGGCAGAGGTTGAGAAATTCTAGCAATTAATCAGAATGTATGCGTTTTTAAAAGATTTAAAGTTTGTTATAGCAATAATGTATGTTAATTACAGAGCATTGGAAAAATATTGCAAACTATGATTTTAAAAAATGCAAACCGTAATTCTCCCACCCAGAAGCACACTGTTAATATTCTGGAAAATATTCTTGCAGTCACTATATATACATATATATATAGTGAGCAATCTCAGCTCACTGCAACCTCTGCCTCCCGGGTTCAAGCAATTCTCCTGCCCCAGCCTTCTGAGTAGCTGGGACTACAGGCACGTGCCATCACACCCAGCTAATTTTTTGTATTTTTAGTAGAGATGGGGTTTCACTGTGTTAGTAAATTTTTAACATGCGATCATATGCTGCACAAACTTTTTAACTTGCTTTGTTTCACTTAACGTTAACATAAAATTGTTAAAATGTTTGTTTTAATGTGGGCACGTTTGGTAAACATTATAATGGCTGTAATTTTCTTAACCACTTCTCTGTTGTTGGACTTTTAGGTTCGCTCACCCCTGCCCCCCACATTGTAAATAATTAATTTCCTTATTTAGGACTATGTCAGGCCAGGTGAGGTAGTGGCTTATGCCTGTAATCCCAGGACTTTGGGAGGCTGATGCCAGGATTGCTTGAGGCCAGGAGTTCAAGACCAGCCTGAGCAACATAGTGAGACCCTCCTTTCTTTCTTTCTTTCTTTCCTTTTTTTTTTTTTTTTTTTTTGAGATGGAGTTTCATTCTTATTGCCCAGGCTGGAGTTCAGTGGCACCATCTTGGCTCACTGCAACCTCCGCCTCCTGGGTTCAAGCGATTCTCCTGCCTCAGCCTCCCGAGCAGCTGGGATTACCGGTGCCCACCACCATGCCCAGCTAATTCCTGTATTTTTAGTAGAGATGGGGTTTTACCATGTTGATCAGGCTGGTCTCGAACTCCTGACCTCAAATGATCTACCTGCCTCGGCCTCCCAAAGTGCTGGGATTACAGGTGTGAGCCATCGTGACTGGCCGAGACCCCCCCTTTCTACAAAAAATTTAAAAATTTGCTGGGTGTGGTGGCATGTACCTGTAGTCCCAACTACTCAGGAGGCTGAATGAGGTGGGAGGATTGCTTGAGCCTGGGAGGTCGAGGCTGCAGTGAGCTGTGATTGTGCCTCTGCACTCTAGCCTGGGCAATAGAGTGAGACACTGTCTCAAAAAAAATTTTTTTAAAGACTGATGTCAGGCCAGGTGCGGTGGCTCACGCCTGTAATCCCAGCACTTTGGGAGGCTGAGGGGGGTGGATCACCTGAGGTCTGAGACCAGCCTGGCCAACATAGTGAAACCCCATCTTTACTAAAAAAACAAAAATTAGCTGGACGTGGTGGCGGACGCCTGTAATCCCAGCTGCTCGAGAGGCTGAGGCAGGAGAATCACTTGAACCCGGGAGGCAGAGGTTGCAGTCAGCTGAGATCGTGCCAATGCACTCCAGCCTGGGTGACAGATTGAGACTCCATCCCAAAATAAATAAATAAATAAATAATTAAAAAAAGACTACATCAAAGACTGTCAACATTTAAAATAATAAATTACCTCGTACAACAATTGTAGCGTCAGATTTTGTATACATCTTTCAGAAGGCAGCTGGACATCAGTTAGGAGTTAGGTCCTTGATAGAAATCAGGCTACCTGTTGCAATGAGACCTTGAATCTTGCAGAAAGATGATTTGATGTTAGTGTAATTACTGATGTGGAGCTCTGACACCTGATCAACTGATAGCCCAGAGGCATAGGGGTGCATTTTCAGTGCAGTCGTAGAGAAACTCAAGTGTCACTTCCAAAATATCCACCAGATGTCGCTAGTCTTAATATAATACTCACCCACAGGCTAGCTGGCAGATAACCTTTTTTTTTTTTTTTTTTTTTTGAGACAGAGTCTCACTCTGTTCCCAGGCTGGAGTGCAGTGGCACGATCTCAGCTCACTGCAACCTCTGCCTCCCGGGTTTGAGTGATTTTCCCACCTCAGCCTCCAGAGCAGCTGGGACTACAGGCGTAGGACACCACGCCTGGCTAATTTTTTTATTTTTTATTTTGGTAGAGATGGGGTTTCACCATGTTGGCCAGACTGGTCTCTCAACTCCTGACTTCAAGTGATCCTCCTGCCTCGGCCTCCCAAAGTGTTGGGATTACAGGCGTGAGCCACCACGCCTGGCCACTGGCAGATAACTTTTGAAATGTGAATTTTAAAACTTCATGTGAAAAAAGAAAAAAAATCCATAACCCAGGAATAGGTTAAAAAAATCATGTAGAAAATTAGCCGGGCGTGGTGGCGGACGCCTGTAGTCCCAGCTACTTGGGAGGCTGAGGCAGGAGAATGGCGTGAACCTGGGAGGTGGAGCTTGCAGTGAGCCGAGATCGCTCCACTGCACTCCAGCTTGGGCGACAGAAGCGAGACTCCGTCTCAAAAAAAAAAAAAAAAGAAAAAATCATGTAGAATATTTTCACATATCTGCTTTGGTGTGGTTTATATTAAGCACTAGCATCTGGTGATTACTTTGGCGACATCCTACTCTAGTCTTTCACCATTCTGTCTTTCTCCCTTCTTCTGCCCACTCAGTCTGTCACATTCATCATGTATACTCTTTCCTCACATACTAGTCATCGGATTCTCAGTTTTACTAGTCTTCCTTTTACTATTCTTCCCTCCAGTCTTGTTTCTTGCCCCATGTGTTATGTGTATATTTATGTGTAACTGTCAGTTATTCAAGTTTTTGCTAAAAGAATAAGACCTGGCATATAATGACTCATAAGAGGTGCTCAGTATCTATTTAATGGATGTTTAATGAAACAATGTATGAATGAATGAGAGGAAAATACAGGATACTAAAAATTATTTATATTTGGCTTGAGAATACAGTAAAAGAGATAAAGATTCACATTCCTAAATTACGTATAATTAAGTACTAAATGACACAGTATAGAACAAGCTAGACCATTTAGAGTTTTCTTTTGGTTTTTTTTTGAGACGGAGTTACGCTCTTGTTGCCCAGGCTGGTGTGCGATGGTGTGATCTCGGCTCACCTCAACCTCCACCTCCCAGGTTCAAGCGATTCTTCTGCCTCAGCCTCCAGATTAGCTGGGATTACAGGCATGCGCCACCATGCTCGGCTAATTCTGTATTTTTAGTAGGGAGGGGGTTTCTCCATGTTGGTCAGGCTGGTCTCGGACTCCTGACCTCAGGTGATCTGCCCGCCTTCCGCCTTGGCCTTCCAATATACTGGGATTACAGGCGTGAGCCACCGCTCCCGGACCTTTTCTCTTTTTTTGAGGCAGTGTCTCACTCTTGCCCAGGCTGAAGTGGAGTGGTGCAGTCACGGCTCACTGTAGCCTCAACCTCCCGGGCTCAAGCGATCCTCCCACCTCAGCCTCCTGAGTAGCTGGGACTATGGGCACATACCACCATGAGTGGCTAATTTTTGTATTTTTTTGTATTAATTTTGTAATTTTTTTGTGCCACTGCATTCTAGCTTGGGCAGCAGAGTGAGATGATCTTGTCTCTCTCTCTCTCAAAAAAAAAAAAAAAAAAAAGACATTATTCCAAGGGTCATTTAAAATATTTTTATTGACAATTGTAATTATTTGTTTATTCAAACTGCCTTTCTGTTTCTTTATAGTCATGAATTATTGGCCATAATAGTTGTGTTACATTTTATATAGATTTGAATTTCACACTTCTTATTTTTATGCAGAGAGAAGTCACAGGCAATATTTTCACCAAATGATGGTTTTATTTTAAGGCTCAAAGTCTTACTTAGGCTAACATCTTACTCTATTTATTAACAGACGTGATTAATGTTTCTCCCACTGGCTCATTCATTCCTTCAAGTAAAAATAGATTTACATTTTTGTAATGTAATCTTGCATTCTTATGTAATGTAATGTTGCATTCTTCATATGACAGTATTGCATAATGGTTAAGAACCTGGACTTTGGCTTCACCATTTAGTAGCTATTGGGTCTGTGACAAATTACTTCTCCAAACCTCTCTTTCTTTATATGTAAAAATCCTACTGTTTATGGTAATTGTGACAGTCAAATGAGCTAATACTAAGTGCTGAGTACAGGGTTTGGCACACAGTAAAAGCTCAATTTTGCTATTATTACTGTTATATATAGATATTTGGGTAGCTTTTAGTTTGTGGGGGAAATGTCTGCCATTATTGTCAAAATAATGCAGGACTGAGGAAGCCAGGTATAAGTTCAGAAATCAGGCAGCATGGCAGGGATATGCAGAAAGCAGTTTGCTGGGTTTCTTTGCCTCTGCTTCCAGGCAGAGTGAATGACAGCCCTGCAGCAGCAGAAGTGGTTCCAGCTACCCAGATGGCTTGCAGTTTTCCCACATACAAACACTATGGGATGCCTGATCATTGTCCCAGTTATTCCTAGTTCTTGTAGCTAGCCCTCATACTCTCCCAGCTCTTATGTTGATATTACAACATGGTGGGATCGGGAGGATGGAAGGAATACTAAATGTTAGTGTTGTTTGGAGCTAAAGCTCAGTTCTTCATCTGAGCCACTTTGTAAGGCCAACTAAGATAACTGTGGTGAACATCTCTTCTGAGCAAAAAAAAAAATGGACATTATATGGTCTGACAGGAATTTTGTGCTTTTTCCAAATGTGAGAGGCAGACTATGTAAAATAGTATAATTTTTGGAACACATCTTAATAGTCATATGGGAACAATAGAATGAATATTTTGAAATTGTACTATTTAAATCAAAATTAGATGCCATTAAAATTTTGGTTCCACAGTTGCATTAGCTGTAGTTCAAGTGCTCAGTAGCCACGTATGGCCACTATATTGTACAGCATAGATATAGAACATTTCCATCTTCACAGACAGTCCTAGTGAACACCATTGCTCTAGAATATGTGGTTTGTATAGTTATAGACTTTTAGGGAATAGTGCAATATTGGACCATATGCCTTATAATACATTTTAAAAAATCAATTCACTACAATTCTCTCTTAATTCCTCCAGCATGCTGTGATGGGCAGTGCAAAGAGCACAGGATCAGACCTCAGAGCCCTCTGGTTCAGATCTTAGTTTCCATACTGACTTGCTGAGTGACTGTGAGCACCTCTCCTAGCCTTGGTTGCTTTTTCTATGATATAAGGGACTTGGGCCAAGTAAGGAAGTTGGGCCAAAATGTTTTGGAGCTTTAAAATTCAGTGATTTCATAAGTCTTTTTCCAGAAACACTGAGCTCACAGATCCTACTTTGATCAAAGACTTGTTTGAGAAACGCTGACCTCTGGCATAGATAACTGTCAGCAGGATCTCCCTCTGATGTCTCAATATTTTCTGCTCTGTGTACAAAGCATGAGGGGCTCTCAACCAATCAGGATCCTCTACCCAGGGATCCACCAAGTAGGTACTTTGGTTTTGCATCATTATGCACGTAGATGTATTGCATGCAAGTCTGTGCTGTTGGAAATTTCATGCTTCTCTTTATAAAGGAACTTGTTGAATTGACATGGGTTAGTGACTCTCCGGGGGTGTTACACCACGAAGTGTGGTAGTGTCAAAGGGAGTTCTTGGCAGTTAAATTCCTCAGCTAGATTATGAAGGACAGTGGTCTTTGGACTTGTGGGCTGCTCAGGTTTAGAATGATTTGGTGTCTTAGCTTTTCCCCAGCATTAGCCAGAATTGAACCCACTACATTCAACCAGCAGCTGCCACTCAACACCTGTGCTGGCCCTCTGCCCCCTGCCTGTTGTGGTCAGGGAGATGTGTTCTTTTTCAGAAACATCTTTGTGTTTAGCAGCTTTAGACATTCAGACAAGATATTGCTAGCCTGGCTGCTCTTGGTGGATTTTCTTTTTCTCTAAGGACCTGAAGAGGTCATTAGGTTGAATAAGAGCCATTACTGACTTTTCTGGCTAAGGTACTAATCAGGATTTGAGGAGGAATCTGGGTCTTCCAGAAAATCATAAGTGTAGACTCCTAGATCCTTGAGCTGCCTGTCACTGATTGGCTGCGTCCTTGGACAAGGCCCTGACCTTCTCTGAGCCCTAATGCTCTGTAAACCCTTCCTCTCCATCTGGGATCACGAGGTGGAATGTAAAATGAATGTTTTTTCAGCTTCGAGTTTTCCTATAGAAACAAGAGTTTGCACTGAGTTGCAAATGACTAGTATTCCTAAAAATAAATAATCAAGGCTATGACTTGAATAGCTAGAAACAGCCTAGAATAGCTTTCTGTTTCACTTGAGGAAGCTTTTTACCTCTTTCAAATGCACCAGGACATTTTTGCAGTCTTTATTTTAATTAAAGCCCATTTATTTTAAAACACATTAAAATATGGGTTGTATATTTTAGCAGTTATTTTATAAAGAATGAAATAGGAAAATTTTGGAAAAGGCTTGGTCATCCTTGATGTTTCTGTTGCGATCCTGCGTGATGTTTAGCACTGTTCTATTGAATGTGTTCTGATACCATCAATAACTAAAGTTCTTTTTATCCTCTTTTCCCCCTTTCTTCCTCTGCTCTTTCTCTTTCTTATTTCTTTCCCTTCTGCTTCCTCTTCTTTAGCTTGACCTCACTGTCCAGGGCCCATGTGGAAAAAGGTTGCTGTTTTCGGTTAGTCTGGGGGAAAATCCTATGATTCACTCCCTTTCCCACCCACCTTCTGGTGGGCCGTTTGTGGCCTTAAGTTAGCAGTGTGTGTGTGTGTGTGTGTGTGTGTGTGTGTGTGTTGCGCACCCTCCCCACGGGCACACCCGCCTGCAAGCCTGGTGTGTGTGTGCGCGCGCGCGGCTGCAAGCGCATGCATACGCCAGCCGGGCCGCCTGTTTGTCAACGTGTGTGTGTGTATGTGTGTATGTGTGTATGTGTGTGTGTGTGTGTATGCACACAGCGCGCACATACAGCAGCACGTTTGCCTAAAAGCCGTGTGAGTGTGTGTGTGTGTAGCGCACGCACACACGCCCGTGCTGCGGCCCGGGCGGGGGGGGGGTGTGCGCGTGCGTGCGGGCGTGCAGCGCGCGCCCTCGCCAGCCCGCCTGGCCGTGCGGCTTTCCCGCAGGAAAGCGGGGCTGGGGGCAGCCCGGCAGCGCCGCTCAACCTAGTGCGCGCCCAGTTGTTTCCATAGGAACCGCGACCGCGCCGGGCCCCTCCAGCGGAGGCCCCCGTGCGAGCATGCCCAGTGCAAGCCGCTAGTTTGGCTCCAGTCTAGGTTTCCAGTAAGTGGCATGCGGGACTCCGGAGGGATCCCAATGAGCTGAGCCGAGAGCCTTTGTGTGCAGAGGGAGGAGGAGGAGGCGGCGGCGGCCGCCGGGCTGGAGACCCCGCCCGGGGAGCCCCCAGCAGGAACAATGCTAGCCTGCCTGACCCGAGGGAACTTACTGGACGTCCTGCAGGAGGGCTTCAATGAGGTAACTGTCCTGCTCCTCCCACTCCTCAGCTCCCCTCCCCCAGCGTCTCCCGCCCAGTCTCCGGAAGGGGTCCTCCTCCTCCTCCATCCTTTGGGGACCCCAGAGCAAATCGCCCCCAGAACCCCAAAGGGGCTAAGGTGGTACTTACGGTGCAGATGGGTGAACCAGGAGAAATCAGAAGGGCTGCCTGCCCACAGCTAAGCTGGGCCATGACCTTCCCTGGTAGCTTACCTGAGCCCAAGAGGACAGGACCACAAATTCAGAAATCACCTCCTTCCAGAAGAGGGGGTCTCCATCCTCCCTAGAGCTTCTCTCTCCAAGGAAATCCTCAGGGAATCCCTGGATATTTGGCAAAAGTGCTCATCTATATCAGGAGCTAACCAGCGGAGCCAAGGGAGGGTGGAGTGGTACTGCATTGGTAGAAAGTTTGAGAGGGCAGGGGACTGTAGATGGTCCATGTGAAGTGCCCTCTTCATGTCTGAATCTCTTTCTGAGTGCGGGGCAGTAGATTTCTCTGCAATCAAGGACATGGTTGTCTGAGAGGAGCTACTGAGCGAGAGGGGACCTGGGTCCTGGGTCCAGGGAGCCAGCGCGTGCACCGGTCCATGTGAGAGCAGAGGAACTGGGGCCTCACTCTGACAGGCAAGATGGGCTAGGGCCGACAAGGGGTCATTTCCTCCCCACTTGTTTCTCTTACAATTCTGTTTATTGCATTTGCTTTTCTTGTGACCCAGGAAATTCTGGTTTGGGATGCTTCCCCCTCAAGATTTGCTCCATACGTCTTCGACTGCAGCTAAGCCCTACTCTTGCGGGTTGTCTTAGCCCAGCATCCAGGGAAACCTAGGCTGTTAGTTGTGTCTTTCTTCATTTCTCTCTCGCTCCTTTTCCTTCCATCTCTCTCTTTCTTCTCTCTGTGACTCTCTGAAATTTAAGATTTTTAAAATCAGTTTTTACTCAACATATGAATACATTGTCTTCTTAAATATGAGCATTTGATAGGCAAGACTGAAGTGCCTTTGGCTCCCCCCACCCATTCCAGCCTTTTCTCCAGAAATAACCATTCTCATGAATTCGTGTATAAGATTTTATTTCTCCAGCTGCACTACAGACTCCTTCCTTAATTCCTGTTTCTAATTAAGAAGCTCTGCAGCCTGACCTGCCACAGAACCCTCCCCTGGTCTGGCCCCCGTGCCCTAGCGTTGTTCCTAACACAGAGGAAAACTGCAGAAATGCTGTCCCAACCTAACCGAGTTGGAATTTTCCTTTGGCCAAGGGGTGTCACAACCTTCACTGAAGGGCGGAGCTTGCATCCTGTCTGCACTGCAGGGCACCTCATCTTTGCATCCTTCCTGTCTGAACACACGTAAGGGGATTGTTAACAAAGAGCTGTAGTCTAAGAGTTGAAACACAGAAGAGCCGGGAAGCCTACCTCTGAGTGATTCCAATATTCTGGTTCCTCTTTTCTCACTCTCTGCCTTTGGGCTGCCCCTGGTCTTTAGCTGCGTAAGTCTGACTCATTCACCAACTGTGGCAGAAGCTCTTTTAGTTGTCTTATACCTCCTGCCCCAACTTAACAACAACAACAAAACTCAGCTCTTGATGGTCCCACTGTCTGTTTAAGAGGAGGAAACCAGCACAGAGCTGGTCCTAATCTTAGTTTTCTGCTCATTTTCACTTCGAAACCTTTCGACTGAAGAGCCACCTAAACTAAGAGGCTTGGCCGTGTGTTTCATGCTTTGGTGCTTCCATAAATATCCCCTGACCTCCAATTCTTGAAAAACATAAGGGCATAAGGGAAAAGGGGAATGGGAGAGTGGTCTTTTTGTGGTGGTAATGGAATCTTCATAAAAACAACAGATGCATAACTTTTTAATTAATTGATCCCTAGAATAATGCAGTAGTGCCTCTTTTCCTTCTCTGATATTTGATTTTTCTACCCATTCTGTAAACTTCCCTCCATCCCCTCCACAAGCTAGTGTACGTCTGTTCCTCTCTGTTAGATTTGAACTCTGACAGCCAATGAGTACTTTTGATTTCTCTGAAAAATTGACATCATCTAAATAACAATGACAGTAATATGTTAAATTTGAATGGTTCCTTACAGTTTAAATAATTCTTTCACATTCTATATTAAATAATTCATTTTACATACAATATTACATTTAGTGCTACTGAATAATAGTGTAATTGGTTATTTTAGAGTCCATGGGGCCCTATTTGACCTATTCCAGCCTCCAGGGTTGCTTAATCGATCCAGTAATATCAATTTATTTTTTTAGAGTCCTTGAGATAAGGATGTAAACAGTGATTTAAAAGCTAGTGTCAGAATACGCTTTAATTCTTCTGAGAATTCCTACTGAGTCTACAAATACCACACATGTATCCAGTCACCTCCTGGGAATGATCCAAGTACATCTAAAGCTATTCTTCATCACCCAGATGCCTTATAGGTCTGTGTAGTTAGGGCTGTGACCTCATTCTCTATGGCAGAGAAAACTGCCACAGGGAATGGAGCTTTGGCCTTAATTGGTTAATTATAAGGGAACCCTGCAGCAGAGAGAAACCCTGCCCTCTGAATCCTGGCTTCCCTCTACCCACTGTTGGCTTCTGTTCTCAATCCTTTGCCACTATGTATAGCCATGCATGACAGAGTTTTCTCTTACCGCATTTCCTACACAGAGCCCTGGCCTCAACATGTCTGGCAAATAACTCACGGAATTGATCCTTGTCAGTGCTTTCAATGCAATGCCTTTGAATGGCATGGTTAATTTGGATGGCAAATTATCCACAGGTTTTGGCTACTGCCACCCTGGCTGTCATCCCCCATTTCCTATGGCTTGGCCAGGCTTCCTATAGATCACAATCTCCCCAATCTGCATCTGCCTCAAAGCTATTTGTTTTCTCTGCTGCTTGATATTGGTGTTGTCCTATGAATGTTGTAAATGTGCCAATATGGATTTCTGCAAGTGTTTTTTGGGGGGCTGAACTTTCTTTAAAAACAACTTTGGTGCTTGTGTTGGGAGGTTTTGAGCGACTTGAGATTATAATACGGTTTGGGTAATATGCATTCATTTATTCAGTTATTCATTAGTTATTCATAAATCAGTAGTTTATTGAAAGGGGATGGATAAAAGAATTGAAAAACATTCAGTTCCTGCTTCCAAGGAGTTTATAGGGAGAGATAGGGTGTACTGATATGAAAAGGACTGAACATTTACCAATCCATCTGCTCATTGAGGCCAGATTTTTTCCCTGCTCGTCTGGTACATGCATGCAAGCAGTCATTCACTGGACATTCTCTGAATTACTGTGTTTGCCAGTCACTGTGCCAGGCTCTGGAAATACATAGAAGTCCAATAACATAGAGTCTGTGCCCTACTGGAGCTCACAGACCAGTGAAGAGGAAGTAGCCAGGCACGGTGGTGCATGCCTGTCGTTTCAGCTCCCTGAGAAGCTGAGGCAAGAGGACCACTGGAGCCTAGGAGTTAGAGGCTGCAGTGTGCTGTGACCGCACGTGACTGGTGACCGCACTCCGGCTTAGATGACAGAGACCCATCTCTTAAAAAAAGAGACAGGCTGGGTGCTGTGGTTCACGCCTGTAATCCCAGCTACTCGGGAGGCTGAGGCAGGAGAATCGCTTGAACCTGGGAGGTTGAGATTGCAGTGAGCTAAGATCGTGCCACAGTAGATGTTCAGAGTGTCAAACTTGGGAAAATTGAGGTGATACAGAAATCTTACTTGTGGGGAAGAGTGAACGTAGGCCCAGCTGTGGTGTGCATGGCCTGGGGGCTGAAAGTTGGGGGAATGGTTTATGAAAATGATGGTTGACAGGAAATCACTTGTCCGAACCTTAAGCTTTTGAACATAAGTTCTGGCAGACTTTCCCTACCAGTTTTCCTCCAAGTAGAAAAGTAGAAATTGAAATTTCACATTAAGATTCATCCGCTTGGCAGTCCCTTAGAAATATAGGAATAGGCCAGGCACAGTGGCTCATACCTATAATCCCAGCACTTTGAGAGGCCGAGGCAGGAGGATGGCTTGAGCCCGGGAGTTCAAGACCAGCCTGGGCAACGTGGTGAGACCCTGTCTCTACAGTTAAAAAAAAAATGAGCTGGGCATGGTGGCATGCATACCTGGGATCCCAGCTACTTGGGAGGCTGAAGTGGGTAGATCACTTGAGCCCAGGAGGTTGAGGCTGCAATGAGCCATGTTCCTGCTACTGTTCTCCAGCCTGGGCAACAGGGTGAGATTCTGTCTCAAAACAAAACGAAACAAAATACACACACACACACACACACACACACACACACACACCCACGAAGAGTTTTAGTCTGGTCTCATCTCCATAAGGGGGACATAGAGTGAGTGAGGAAGAAGATTGGAAAGTGAAACATTGCTCCTAAAGGCCTTGTGCCCTCCATAGAGTAGCGGTGGCGTCAACACTGGGCCAATTAGAGGCTTCCAGACATTTTCACAATGAACTCCTCTGTGCTTTGCTGTAGAAATTAAAGGCTTGTTAAGTCTACAGAGCAACTCAGCACCAGATTCCCCAACCTTCTTTTTTCTATCCTGCCTGATTTCTCCTCTCCCCACCCAGGCTCATTGGCTTCATTCCCACAGGAGGCAATGCCAGCTAAACAGATGCACCCTGGCAGCAGGCTATCAGGCAGCTTTATGTTCCTCGTGGTGAGTGATGAGTTGGCCAGGCATGTGGAGCAGTGATAGGGCACTGTTAGCCAGGTGCCACTCCCCGAGGCGGTTCAGAGGATCTAGGGAACACTAGAAAGGCTTCATCTGCCATGATTGGCCTTGTTGTCTAGGCTGTAAGGACCAAAGGCTAAAACTGACACTTTCCTGAATGCATTTTCTTGTTTGTTATTCCCCCAAACCAAGCTCCATTAAAGTGGTCATGGATATTAGCTAGATGTGGTAAGGCAATAGAGAACCAATTCCACAGGCCCTGAGGGTGGGCTCTTATCTCCTGTTTCTAGGATGAGGGACACCCCTAGACCATAGAGTGATACTTCATTCATCCATTCATTCACATGCATTTATTGAGCACTTACCTTGTAACATGTACTTGTGAAGGAGCAGAGAGTGTTTGGGGACTCATAACTGATGGAAATTTAAAAATAAGTTTAGGAGATGATATCTTTCAGAAAATCTTTAGCTCTTTACTTTCTGATATATTATCTTTTGACCACTGGGCTGAATACTAATATATTAATCTTCCCTTATCCAAGGGACATCCATCTCAAGACCCCCAGTGGATGCCTGAAACCGTGGATGGTACTGAACCTGACTGCCATCAGTCGGAGCCTGTTTCTCTTCATGTTTTCTACCCACAAATTTAATTTACTTTGAGGCCATTATAGAGTAAAACAAGGGCAACTTGAACACAAGCACTGCGATACCTTGGCAGTCGTTCCAATAAGAAGATGACGGGTAGCACAGACAGCTTGAATATGCTGGACAAAGGGATGAGTCACGTCTTGGGTGAAACAGAGTGGGATGGCACAAGATTTCATCACACTACTCAGAGTGTTGGACAATTTATTTATTTTTTAAATTTTGATTTCAATTTATTTATTTTTTGAGACAGTGTCTCACTCTGTCACCCAGGCTGGAGTGCAGTGATGTGATCTCAGCTCACTGCAACCTCCACCTCGCACCTCTTGGGCTCAAGCGATTCTCCTGCCTCAGTCTCCCCAGTAGCTGGGACTATAGGCATGTGCTACCACACCCGGCTAATTTTTGTAGTTTTAGTAGAGACAGGGTTTCACCATGTTGGCCAGGCTGGTCTCGAGCTCCTGACCTCAGGTGATCCACCTGCCTCAGCCTCCCAAAATGCTGGGATTACAGGCATGAACCACCGCGCCCGGCTACGATTTAAAGCTTAGGAATTATTTTTGGAATTTTCTTTCTCTCTTTTTTTTTTTTTTTTTTTTTTTGTTTTTTGAGACGGAGGCTTGCTCTGTCCCCTAGGCTGGAGTGCAGTGGCGCAATCTTGGCTCACTGCAACCTCCGCCTCCCGGGTTCAAGCAATTCTCCTGCCTCAGCCTCCCGAGTAGCTGGGACTATAGATGCGTGCCACCACGCCTGGCTAAATTTTTTGTATTTTCAGTAGAGATGGGATTTCACCGTGTTATCCAGGATGGTCTCGATCTCCTGACTTCGTGATCCGCCCACCTCAGCCTCCCAAAGTGCTGGGATTACAGGCATGAGCCACTGCGCCTGGCCCATTTCTGGAATTTTCTATTTAATATATTCAGACGGTGGTTGACCATGGGTGGTTGAAACTGTGGAAAGAAAAACTATGGGTAAGGGAGACTTCTGTACAAAGAACCTGTCCATGAAAGGAAGAAGAAATTCAAGGATATTTTTACTTGTGAACTTTATTTGTACCCAATTAGCCATCAAATTCAATGAACAAATAGCTTTTGCAGGTTCAGTAAAGGGCTGAAAGAGTTAATAGAAAAGAAATACAATAGGGTGTTTACTGGCAGAATTTAGGCCAATAATAACATAAGGTTTTTAAATCTCTAGCCTTGCTCTTAGTTTCTCAGCAACTTCCCCACCCTCATCTCCTCATCTTCTGCTGCTGGAGGGTCTCAGAGTTCTAAACAGGTATCTGGTTTCACTGTAAAACTAATTTCCTTCCTGAGCCATTCATGTCTCCTCCTGAACTGTCTCTCTAGCATACCACAAAAGCTCTCTGCTTTTCTTGTTTGCTTTTCTTGTTGCCAGCAGGAAAACATAGAGTCGCCTCCTTGGCTGTTTCTGCTCTAAGAACAGTAGATACCACATACTTCCCTGGTGAAGCCCCATTGGTGCTTTCGCAACTCTAGCAAATAAGTCCCCTGCAGGAATTCTGTGAGCTTGAGTCTTGGAGGAGATAGAGAACTGAGGCTCGGCTTACAAACCTGTTTGGAAGGAAGGGCAGGTCCCAAAGAAAAACAGGAAGAAGGTTACATTTGGTGGCAAGAAAGCTTTCAAGGTCAAGATTTCCTGCACAAATGAAGATTTTGGATGGAATTGTGTATACTAGAAGACTTTTACCTAAAATCATAGGGTTATTTGGAGTGTCTTGGAGGAAGCTGATGGAGATTATGGGATTGCTAAAGCCTCCTTCCACCGGCCACCTCGTGGTACTATCACTGCTCTCACAACTTTAGAGGGGTCCAGTCTCATCAAGCCAAAATCCTTCTCAGACAGTTTTAACTCTTGTTATGTCTACTGACTGACTTCTTCTGAGGCCTGACTCAGAGGGTGGTTACCATGAAAACCTTCAGTTGTTCTAGACATTTATTACACTGGCATCCTTTTAGCTTCCTTAGAACAAATTAGTCATGAAACTCCAGACTGAGATTAGTTCAACACTGTTACACACGTAGTATGTACCAACTGTCTTGGTCTTTTTTAAAAAATTAGTTCGGTTACAAGTGCCAAAAACCCAACTTGAACTAGCAGGGATAGGAAGTGGACGTTATTGACTCATGGAATCCAAGGAAAGGCAGAAAAACTAAACCATGGAAAGGGCAGGGATGCAGCAGAAACAATGAAATCAAGAACTCTGACACTGGCAGGATCTCTTCCTCTGTTCTCTGCCTCTTGTCTGCTTCTTTCTATGCTGGCTTTATTCCCATTTACTAGAGCTGGTTTTTCCTTCTCAGGTGGGCAGCATGGCCTATGGCAACGTCTAAGTTTTATATCTTACAACTTTGAGAGAGATGAGGGAGGAGGAGGAAGACTGATTCTATTCCTAAATGCCAGTTCAGAAAGTTCCAGGGATTGGCTGGCTTTCACCAATCAACTTTGGCAGACCAATCAAGTGTGACCAGTGGAGGGGGTGATACAATACCAACCTGGTCATAGGACCCACCACTGTGTGCACAGAGGAGGGTTCTTAAAGAAGAGGGAATCATTGTGGGCTGGGCAGCTACCCCAGGAGCTGTTAGCTACACTATCACTGTAAGCCTAGCTGGAATCTGATCATTCCTACTTTGCCTCTCTTGACCAAGATCCAGGGTCATAATCAAAATATAATTCTTTTTTTTTTTAATTGTTATGCGAAAGAGCTTCATTTATTTGTTTAGTTTTCTGACTTTGTGCTGGTGTGTTCAATACTTTTTCTTTTCCTGAATAAGGAAGGCACGCTTGGTTCTGTCACAGACACATTTAGTACACATAGAACAACCACAGGCCTTGCTGACATGGATTTTTTTTTGAGACAGAGTCTTGCTCTGTTGCCCAGGCTGGAGTGCAGTGGCACGATCTCAGCTCCCTGCAACCTCTGCATCCTGGGGTCAAAGGATTCTTGTGCCTCAGCCTCCCAAGTAGCTGGAATTACAGGCATACACCACCAGCCCGGTTAATTTTTTTTTTTTTTTTTTTTGAGATGGAGTCTCGTTCTGTCGCTCAGGCTGAAGTGCAGTGGCACGATCTTGGGTCACTGCAAACTCCGCCTCCTGGGTTCAAGTGATTCTCCTGCCTTAGCCTCCCAAGTAGCTGGGATTATAGGCGCCTGCCACCACGCCCGGCTAATTTTTGTATTTTTTTTTTTTTTTGAGATGGAGTCTTGCTCTTTCGCCTAGGCCGGACTGCAGTGGTGCGATCTCGGCTCACTGCAAGCTCCGCCTCCTGGGTTCCCGCCATTCTCCTGCCTCAGCCTCCCTAGTAGCTGGGACCACAGGCGCCTACCACTGTGCCCGGCTAATTTTTTGTATTTTTAGTAGAGACGGGGTTTCACCGTGTTAGCCAGGATGGTCTCGATCTCCTGACCTCATGATCCGCCCGCCTTGGCCTCCCAAAGTGCTGGGATTACAGGCTAATTTTTGTATTTTTATTAGAAATGGGGCTTTGCCATGTTGGCCAGGCTGGTCTCGAACTCCTGACCTCAAGCTATCTGCCCACCTTGGCCTCCCAAAGTGCTGGGATTACAGGTGTGAGCCACTGCACCTGGTCAGTTTTTTTGTATTTTTAGTAGAGACGGAGTTTTGCCATGCTGGCCAAGCTAGTCTGTAATTGCTGGCCTCAAGTGATCTGCCTACCTCAGCCTCCCAAAGTGCTAGAATTACAGGCATGAGCCACTGCACCCAGCCAACATGTTTTTTTTCCTTTGTTTATTTTGGAGAACCTCTTAAGAACTTTAGGTGTCACAGCAGGAACTCATTGAAGTCGGCCTGGGCACACGCCACATGCAGATTTTGGTGTTTTCCCAACCTTCTTGGTATGAAGGTAAACAGTTCTGTGAACAGGGATTTGGGACAGCCTAATTTTGTTAGAGGCTGTATTGCAGAAAAGCCTACAATGGTATGCCAAATGCTGGACCATTCTGAGTGCCTATGGACACTGTCCCCAGAATAAGCAAGATCTATTTCTCAATATTCCAGATATTTCCATTTTGCTGAGCCTGTTGTATCTTTTTGTCACTGAATAATAGACTTGTAAAATGATAGTGTTAGAAGGAAACAAAATGCAGTTTTTTTTTTCTTTTGGTGTTTATATTTGTTTTGGTTCTTGTTTTCAGCTGCTGTGTGAAGCCCTTAAATTACTTTAGATGGCTGGAGAGTAGGGGTGGGGGCTTGAGGGTGGAGAAACACAGGAAGAGTGAGCTGGGTTTTGGACTCCTGACCCTGGCCTAATCAGAGAAGCACTGCTTTTCCCTATTTTACATATCTGCTTCTTACACAAGTTATAATTTTAAAAAATAATGAGGCCAAAAAAAATGAAGAAATGAAACTACTAGTCCACCTTTCAGAGAGTAACAGCCTCCTGTAAAAGGCATATGGTATTTCATCTGCTACAGAAAGAGAAGCCCTAATATATTGTTCAAATCAAGCAGCAGAGCCACTCAGGGCCCAGGCTTGCCCCACAGGCCTCTTTGAAGACAAAACTGCTTTGTGGGAGAAGTGGATGGCATGGCTGGCCTTCACAAGTGTCTACTTTGTCCTTAAGTCAGTTTCTTCAGAGCTGGCAGTGGGCATTTATAGGAAGAACAGGGTCTTGCCTGCCCCTTGGATGAGAAGTACAGATATCTTCAGGTCAAAGAGAGACAGACAGTTTAGTGCTTGTCTCCCTAAATTAGACATAAAGGGAGAGGCAGCAGCCTAAAGAAGGATAGTATAACCCTTCACCTGTGGATAAGACTAGCCCTATTCACTTGTGAAGCTCTGATCGCTGTTAGATGCCATTGAACAGATTCACGTCAGCATGCAAACATAGTGATGACATGCCAAAGGCTTATCTTCAACTAAATTTTTTTCATCAATGATTTAATTGAAGACAAACTAGTTTTTAAAGTTACATGAAGGCCAGGTATGGTGGCTCACACCTATAATTTCAGTATTTTGGGAGGCCAAGGCAGGAGGATGGCTTGAGGCCAGGAGTTCGAGACTAGCCTGGGCAACATAGCAAGGACTCCATCTCTACAAAAATCAAAAATTTAAAAAAAGAGAAAAGAATGAAGTAACTTGGATCTGGACAGAATGCCAAATAGCCTCAGCACCTTAGTCTCTAACACTCTCTAGACAGGACTTCAGGATCCACAGTCTAGCCTCCCAGTTCCTGGACTGTCCCCACTGTAATGATTGTCCCCCTCCATGCCACTTCTACAAGGCCACATACCGAGGCCACACTTGAAACTTACTCTACAGAATTTTCCCATCCCTGAAATCTTGAACTCTGAAACTCTACTCTGCTCAAAACCCCAGTTTTCACGGTCCTACATTCCCATTAAAATTATTTTTTTCATTCCATCAAGTTCTCCTTTCCTTCCTGTCCTCTACCTTCTTAAGGCTTATCCACTGTCTCTTAATTTCTTCTCCCTGGCCCAGACTTTACCGTCAGTCACTTCAAGCACTTTCAACACCACGCTTACTTCCTTTGCCCTGGTGGTCACTGCCTCTCCTCTGATGATTTTCAGTCCTAGATTAGCCCATCCTTGGTTTCCCCTGCTCATGGCCCAGTCCTGCTGAGCAGGTCTAGAGCAAATCATACAACCTTGCTGATTGATTCAATTACAAAATGATGATTTCCAGTCCTAGCTGAGTGCTTGGTGCTGCCAGGAATCTTTAGCAGTCAGTGTTCTTTCCATCTTCTCACAGGGTCTGCCGCAAGTCTCTGACCCTTTCCTGAAGCCTCCTTCATTCTCCCCGTCCCTTTCACCCTCAGCAGATAAACTGGCCTACTTCATAGGAAGGAATGACTTGAGGGACAGCTGCATTTGAACTCCTTCAGCTTCCCTCTTCCCACCTCCGCACTTCCCCACACTCCTGATCAGAGGACGCAGCTCTTTTCCTCTTCTCTGAAACTTTGATGCATCATGATACCTCCCATTTCCTCATCTGCCAAATAACTCTTAGAGCTCACCTTACCTTTTGGGATGCTGTAGAGCCCAGGATTTAGCGTCATCACTGAATTCAAACCCTTGTTCTGTCACTGAGCAGCCCTGCAACTGTGGGCATATTCCTCTGAACCTTGGTTTCCACATCTGTAAAATGGGAAAAATATTTCCTCGCAGGGTCAATGTGAAGGGAAAAATATATGTATAAGGGATGTAGCAAAGTGCTTAGCACAATACCTGGCATGTAGTAAGTGCTTGGTAGATGGCACTTATCTCACTGGCAAACTTATCTAGATACTCTCAAACATGGATCTCCCACCCCGCCCCCAGCTCTTGGGCTCTAGACCTGTGTTTTGCCAACTGGCTGTGGAACATCTATACTCTGGTGTTCTACAAATAGCTCAGACTCTCTCAAAACCGAGCCATTGACTTTTCCCAGTGCTTGTTCTTCATGTCTTCTCCATCCCAGTTAAAGCATCACCAGCCAGCCAGTCATTCGGGTCCAACATTTTGGACCCTCTTTTTGTCGCTCCCTACATCCTATCAGTCATCTCTGGCTTGTTTCTGGAGTTTGTCCTTTGCTCACTGGTGCTGCTTCAGTTTAGGTGCTTATCTTCTCTTGCTTGAATTATTGCCTGGGCTCCTCGTTGGCTTCTTCAATCTGTATGCTGTTCTTTCTATTCCAAGATGCCAGTCACACAGTTTCACTCTCCTGTTTCACAACTTCACACTTCCTGTTGAAGGTCATTAAGCCTTAGTCTAAGTGCTGGTGGTCGTGGGCAGACCTGTTTCTCCAACATTATCACCTGCTCCGCCCACACGCTACCCCCTCAACTGGCTGTTCCTCTAAGATAGTATGTGTCTTCTGACCCTTCCTCCTTCCATCACCTCTGCCCTTGTCCTCTCTGCAATTGGCAGACATCCGTAAAGAACCAGCCAGATGTCTCCTTCCCTGTTGACCTTTTCCTGATTCCTCCAGCCTTCCATCCTGTTGCTCCTTCTCTGCATAAATAGCTTTTTTTTTTAAACGTTTCTCTCTTGTAGCAGCAATCACTTTGTGTCCGTTATTTATGTGCCTGTAAGCACTGACCTTGGCACAATGCCTGGCAGATAGTAGGGACTCAAGAATATGTTGACTTGAATAAATGAATGCATGGAATGACAGGATCTCTTGAGACACAATCTAGCAAGGTGAAATTTATTAAAGGCAAATGTGGATCAAGAAAACCAATTTTACAAGCTCAAAGATGGAAGGGATATGGTTTAACAGCAAAATGTGTTAAAAATTATTTAGGGGTTTTGGTTGACAGTTTAGTATGAGTCACCAATGTGACCCAAAAAAAGAAAAAGAAAAGAATATGAAATATCTTGAATGAAGAAGCTGAGTATCTGGTTTTATACCTAGAGTGTTGTGCTTGGTTCTAGGTATTACAGTTTTAGAGAGACTTAGATTGAATAGCAATATTTCTTATTTTATTTTTTTTTATTTTTGTGGGTACAAAGTAGGTATATATATATATATATATATATATATATTTTTTTTTTTTTTTTTTTTTTTTTTTTTTTTTTGAGACAGAGTTTCACTCTTGTCGCCCAGGCTGGAGTGCAATGGCATGATCTTGGCTCACTGCAACCTCTGCCTCTCAGGTTCAAGCGATTCTCCTGCCTCAGCCTCCCGAGTAGCTGGGATTACAGGCGTGTGCCACCATGCCCAGCTAATTTTTGTATTTTTAGTAGAGACAGGGTTTCACCATGTTGGCCAGACTGGTCTTGAACTCCTGACCTCAGCTTATCCACCTGCCTCAGCCTCCCAAAGTGCTGGGATCATAGGCGTGAGCCACTGTGCCCAACCAGTAGGTGTATATATTTATGGGGTACATGAGGTATTGTGATATAGGCTTATGATGTATAATAATCATATCAGTGTAAATGGGGTATCCATCACCACAAACATTTATCCTTTCTTTGTGTTACAAATAACCTAATTATACTTTTAGTTACTTTAAAATGTACAATATTATTGCTGCCTATAGTCACCCTTCTGTGGAATAGCAGTAATTCTTCAAACCAGTTTGCTTTTAAGGTTTTTTAAAATAAATTACCAAAATAGACAAACTACTAGCTAGCATAAATAAGAAAAAAAAGGGAGAAATACAAATACACAAAATAAGAAATGACAATAGAAAAATAGCCACTGAAACAGAAAAAGTAATTACAACAGACTTTGCAGTCCTCTGTGCAAATACATTCAAAAACTTTGATGAAATGGATAATTTCTTAGGTAAATACTGATTACCAAAATTGATAGAAAATGGAAGTTTAAACAAACCAATTTCTATAGAAGAATTAGAGAACCCTATTAAGGAATTATTCCTCAAAAAAGTACAGGCCCAGATTATCTCATGGGTAATTCTACTAAACCTTCAAATATCAGATGGACACAATGTTGTGTAAATTATTTCAGAGCATTGACAATGAAGGAAAACCCATAAATATGTACACCTACTGTATACCTATAAAAATCAAAAATTAAAAAAAGAAAATGAAGACTTTCCTAAAAGTTTTTATGAAATGTAATATTTATATCTAAACATTATAGAGATGGTGCAAAAAAAAACTACAGACTAATATTATTTATGAATATCCATGAGATTTGGGAGTGGCCAGGGGCCCCAAAATCATATAGTTTGGCTATGTCCCCACCCAAATCTCTTCTTGAATTCCCACGTGTTGTGGGACCCAATGGGAGGTAATTGAATCATGGGGGCAGGTCTTTCCTATGCTGTTCTCATGATAGTGAATAAACCTCACGATATCTGATGGCTTATGAGGCAGAGTTTCCCTGCACAAACTCTGTCTCTCTTTTTGTCTGCTGCCATCCATGTAAAATGTGACTTGCTCCTCCTTGCCTTCTGCCATGATTGTGAGGCTTCCTTAGTGATGTGGAACTATAAGTCCATTAAAACTTTTTTTTTTTTTTGTGATGGAGTCTCACTCTGTCACCCAGGTTGGAGTATAGTAGCATGATCTTGGCTTGCTGCGATTTCCACCTCCTAGGTTCAAGCGGTTCTCCTACCTCAGCCTCCTGAGAAGATGGGATTACAAGTGTGTGCCACCACACCTGGCTAATTTTTGTATTTTTAGTACAGATGGGGTTTCACCATGTTGGGCAGGCTGGTCTTGAACTCCTGACCTCAAGTGATCTGCCCGCCTCAGCCTCCCAAAGTGCTGGGATTATAGGCATGAGCCACCATGCCCGTCTTAAAATCTCTTTTTCTTCCCAGTCTCGGGTATGTCTTTATCAGCAGCGTGAACACAGACTAATACAATGTTCTTGAGTAGGATGATTCAACATCATAAATATGTCAATTTTCTCTAAATTAATTTATAAGTTTAATACAATCCCAGTAAAAATTCCAAGAAGCTTTTTTAGGAAGTTAGACAAATTGACACTAAAGTTCATATGGTGAAATAAATACACAAGAACAGTCAAGAAAACACTAAGGCAATGGTTTACAGGCAGTAGTTTACCTGTAATCCCAGACTTTGGGAGGCCAAGGTGGGAGGAAGGTGAGGCCAGAAGTTCTAGCCTGAGCAACAAAGTGAGACCCTGTCTCTACAAAAAAATCCAAAAATTGGCCAGGCCTGGTGGCTCACACCTGTAATCCCAGCACTTTGGGAGACCAAGTCAGGCAGATCATGAGGTGAGGAGTTCGAGACCAGCCTGACCAACATGGTGAAACCCCATTTGTACTAAAAATACAAAGTTAGCCGGCTGTGGTGGTGCGTGCCTGTAATCCCAGCTACTTAGGAGGCCGAGGCAGGAGAATTGCTTGAACCCAGGAGGCGGTGGTTGCAATGAGCCGAGATCACACCACTACACTCCAGCCTGGGTGACAGCGTGAGACTTTGTCTCAAAAAAAAAAAAAAAAATCCAAAAATTAGCTGTGGTGGCGTGTGACTATGGCCTTAGCTACTCTGGAGGATGGGACTAGAGGATGGATTGAACTTGGGAGGTTGAGGCTGCAGTGAGCTGTGATCATGCCACTGAACTCCAGCCTGGGCAACAGAGCAAGACCCTGTCTCCAAAAACCAAACAAAGAAAAAACAAATGGGGCAGATTTCTATAAACCACTTTGGAGTGATTTTCAGAATTAAATCAAGTGAATCAAATGAAGTGAAGTTAGAAAGAAAAGTACAAATTAGTATCAATACTATCAGGTTTTTCACAAAAGAAAGAAAGAGAAATAAAGGAACATACATGTATCTGTTATTTTCCATATAAACTGGAAACTAATGAGCTTGGTTATGTGGGATAGGGTGCGGAGAGGTACATGGGAATGCGGTGGAAAGAATGATGTGGGAGTGACACTTTTTATGTTTTTGAATAGCTCTTTCAGGACCTTATTAATTTTTCATCTATCCAAAAAATAAATAATTAAAATCAACCAGGCCGGGCACAGTGGCTCACTCCTGTAATCCCAGCACTTTGGGAGGCCGAGGTGGGCGGATCACCTGAGGTCAGGAGTTTGAGACCAGCCTGGCCAACATGGTGAAACCCCGTCTCTACTAAAAATATAAAAAATTAGCCAGGCATGGTGGCACGTGCCTGTAATCCCAGCTACTCAGGAGGCTGAGGCAGGAGAATTGCTTGAACCCGGGAGGTGGAGGTTGTAGTGAGCCAAGATCACACCATTGCACTCCAGCTTGGAGACAGAGCGATACTCCATATCAATCAATCAATAAATAAAATCAACCAGAATTTGGGGCTAACCAAAAATGAACTACAAAGAGTAACAGATGAACCTAACTGTATTATAAATGAATAATATAACCACAGTGGAAGGAGTGGAAAAGGAAAGAACTAACCCAAGTAACTTTGGAAGCAGTATTTTGGCTGTGTACTGTAAGGCTAAAGACAAAAAGTATTGTACAGTAAGCTGTCTCTATCCATGCGTTCTGTATCCATGGCTTCAGCATCTGTGGATTCAACAAACTGCAGATCAGAAATATTTGACAAAAGAAACGCGTCTGTACTGAGTAGCTACAGACTTTTTTTTTTTGTCATTATTCCCTAAACCAGAGGTCCCCAACCTTTCTGGCACCAGGGACCGGTTTCATGGAAGACAGTTTTTCCATGGACCAGGTGGGGGATGGTTTTGAGGTGATTCACACACATTACATTTATTGTGCACTTTATTTTTGTATTATTACATTGTAATATATAATGAAATAATTATACAACTTACCATAATGTAGAATCAGTGGGAGCCCTGAGCTTGTTTTCCTGCAACCAGATGGTCCTATCTCGGGGTAATGGGAGACAGTGACAGATCATCAGTCATTAGATTCTCATAAGGAGGGTGCAACCTAGATTCCTCACATGCACAGTTCACAATAGGGTTCCCATTCCCATGAGAATCTAATCCCACCGCTGATCTGAAGTGAGGCGGAGGTCAGGTGGTAATGTGAGCAATGGGGAGCAGCTGTAAATACAGATGAAGCTTCACTCTGTGGCCCGGTTGCTAACAGGCCATGGACCAGATGCCTGTCCTAAACTATTACAGCTTAATAACTATTTACATAACATTACATTGTATTAGCTATTACAAGTAATCTAGAGATGATTTAAAAGGGTGCTTAGGTTATATGCAAATACTATGCCATTTTATATCAGACAGTTGAGCATATATGGATTTGGTATCCAAAGGAGTTCCTGGAACCAGTCCTCTATGGATAATGAGGGACAACCTTATACAAATACTCTATTGTAGTTAATAAATTTATTTTTCACCAGGTATGAGTTAGCAGTTCTGAAATGATTTTATGTGTATTCAGGGACTGAGCAAATAAATATGTATTATGGATAGTGAGAGTCAGTTTTCTCAGGAGAAAGGAGTTACACAAATAAGGAAAAGTGAAAGGAAAGGATGAACTCTGTGGTGTTGGGTTGGAAGAGATATCAATATAATTTATGGTATAAATTATGTATGTAAATATATATATACACACACAACACACCCCCATATGTATATATATACATTCCATACATTCATATATATGTCAAGATAAGTACATATAGGTATGTATGTATGCATATATAAATTTCCTACTTTATCTACTGAGAGGACCTAGAATATTACCTCGGTAGCAGTGAGCACACCTATCACCCAAATCTTGCTTTCTAAAAACTATTCTCCAATAAAAGGAACCAGAGTTCTTTTAAGAAATAGCTCAGCCTGGGCAACATGGCAAAACCCCATCTCTACAAAAAATACAAAAATTATCCAGGCATGGTGGTGTGCACCTGTAGTTTCAGCTACTCGGGAGGCTGAGTTGGGAGGATTGCTTGAGCCCAGGAGGTTGAGGCTGAGGCTGTAGTGAGCTGTGATTGTGCCACTGCACTCCAGCCTGGGCAACAGAGTGAGACCCTGTCAAAAAAAAAAAAAAAAAAAGGAAGGAAAGGAGGGATGGAGGGAGGAAGAGAATGAGGAATAGCTGATCCAGAGCTGGAGCAGGGAGAGTACTAGATGAGGAGTCTGGAGAATCTTACAGTGTCAGAAAGTAAGTACTCAAAAGAGGAACAGGCCATATGGTTCAGCAGTTCCACTTCTGGGTATATATTGAAAATAATTGAAATCAAGATCTTGGCCCGGTGCGGTGGCTCATGCCTGTAATCTCAGCACTTTGGGAAGCCAAGGCGGGTGGATCACTTAAGGTCATGAGTTTGAGGTCAGCCTGGCCAACATGGTGAAACCCCATCTCTACTAAAAATACAAAAATTAGCCAGGCATAGTGGCGCATGCCTGTAACCCCAGCTACTCGGGAGGCTGAGGCAGGAGAATTGCTCGAACCTGGAGGTAGAGGTTGCAGTGAGCCAAGATCACACCACTGCATTCCAGCCTAGGTGACAGAGTGAGACTCTAGCTCAAAAAAAAAAAAAAAAAAAAAAAAAAAAGATCTTGAAGTGATATTTATATACTTGTATAGCTGCATTATTCACAATATCCAGGAGGTGGAAGCAACTCAAGAGCCCATCAACTAATGAATGGATAAAGAAAATGTGGTGCATATATATATGTGTACACACACACACACACACACACACACACACACACACGGTGGACTATTATTCAGCCTTGAAAAGGAAAGAAATCTTGTCACATGCTACAACATGGATGAACCTTGAGGACATTATGCTAACTGAAATAAGCCAATCACCATAAGACAAATACTGTATGATTCCACTTATATGAAGTATCTAAAGTAGTCAGTTCATAAAGACCAAAAGTAGAATGGTGGTTGCCAAGGGCTAAGTGGAGGGGGAATTTCAGAGTTGCTTACTTGGTACAGTTTCAATTTTGCAGTATGAAAAAGGTCTATAGATTTGTTTCACAACAATGTGAATATACTTAACACTACTGAATTTACACCTAGAACTGGTTAATATGGTAAATTTTTTGTTTCTTTAATCACAATTTTAAAAAAATGACCTAGGCATGTGATAATAATACAGGAATCAATATGAATGAAGGTATCCTAATGGCCAAATCTAGAACAATTTGAGCAGCAAAATAAATAGTAATAATAATAATTTTTTTTTAAGATGGAGTTTCACTCTTGTTGTCCAGGCTGGAGTGCAATGGCACAGTTTTGGCTCACTACAACCTCCGCCTCCCAGGTTCAAGCGATTCTCCTGCCTCAGCCTCCAAAGTAGTTGGGATTACAGGTGCCCACCACCATGCCCAGCTAATTTTTGTATTTTTAGTAGAGACGAGGTTTCACCACGTTGGCCAGGCTGATCTCGAACTCCTGACCTCAAGTGATCCTCCTGCCTTGGCCTTCCAAAGTGCTGGGGTTACAGGCTTGAGCCACCATGCCCGGCCTAAAATAAATAATTACAGTAGCGGATTAATAGCAGAAATAAAAAATAAAGTAAATATCCATGATATACTGATATAAATAAATAAATGGGGGAGAGGGCCAGGCATGGGAGTTCATGCGTGTAATCCCAGCACTTTGGGAGGCTGAGGTGGGAGGATCACTTGAGCCTGGAAGCTTGAGAGCAGCCTGAGCAACATAGTGAGACTCTGTCTCTATAAAAAAAATAATAATAATAATTAGCTGAGCATGGTGGTGCATGCCTGTAGTCCCAGCTACTAAGGAGGCTGAGGCAAGAGGATTGCTTGAGCCCAGGAAGTTAAAGCACAGTGAGCTGTGTTTGTGCCACTGCACTCCAGCCTGGGCAACAGAGTGAGACCCTGTCTCAAAAAATAATAGGTAAATAAATAAATGGGGGAGGAGAGAGCTCTTCCTCACAGTTGGAATTACAATTAATAAATGTAGGAGGAATGGCAGAATTAGAAAATCATCATTTGGGAACCACCATAATAATAATTGTAGCAGGAAAGAAAAATCAATAAATGTTAAATTTGAAATGGATGGGAAAAGTGATGATGAGAAAGAGGATATTTTCATAGTCTCAAAGCATCTTCCCACAAATACTAATTCATTACAAAGGGAAAAAGAGCAACTTTACAGTAGAGAAATGTGGCAGATACTACCTTAACCAAGTGACTGAAGTTAACTTCAATAACGAGATGTATTGGCATCATGTGCCTTTTGGTATGGTTCGCTGAGAAGAGCACAATGTGACTTCTGTGGTTTTCTTGCCAAAATTCCATAACCTGAATTTGATTATGAGAAAACTTCAGATAAACCCAAATTGTGGGACATTGTACAACATAACTGGCCAGCACTCTTCAAAATTGTCAAGGTCATGAAAGACAAAGACTGAGCAGCTGTTCCAGATTGGAGGAGATGGAAGAGACGTGGCAGCCTAGTGCACTGTGAGATCTTGGAAGGGATCCTGGACCAGATAAAGGACATTAGTGGGACAGTTGGTGAAATTTGAACCAAGTCTAGATTAGGTAATGGTATTTTGTCACTGTTAGTGATGGCAGCGGCAGTCCATCTGGAGCAGCTGTTGCCATGATGCCGGCTGCAGTGGGGCAGGTGTGGCCGGGGCGGCACGCTCCACAGAGCTGGTGGGAGCCAGGGACAGGCAGAAGCCTGCCCCCTCTGAGTTGGCAGGGTGGGAGCTTTATGCTCTCTGGGTGCAGCTGCAGCTGTCCAGCTGTAGCTGCAGACCTGGGCATCCCTGTGCTCTTGGGGGCCAGGAGCAGGCAGGAGCCCCACCCTCCTGGGCGCAGCTGCAGTCACCAGAGCCCTAGCTGTGGACCCAGGCATCCCTGTGCTCTTGTGGGCCAGAAGCAGGTAGGAGTCCCGGCCTCCCGGGCACAGCTGCAGCCACCCAAACCATGGCTGTGGACCAGGCATCCCTGTGCTCTTGGGGGCCAGGAGCAGGCAGGAGCCCCAACCCCTCAGGTATAGCTGCAGCTGCAGCTGCCCAAGCCACAGCTGTGGACCCAGGCATCGCTGCACTCTCAGGGGCTAGGCTTGGAAATGCTTGCTCCTGCTGCCTGGCCTCTCCCGACTCCCTGCACCTGCTCCGATCTTGGAGCAAAGTTGAGGCCAAGCCCGGGCACTGCCACAACCTGGCTGGGTGTGCACAGGGTTGGGGCAGCACTGATATGCCAGCCCCCTGCTGCCTTAGCTCCCTCTGGACTTTGGGTGCCGAAAAGCACCAGAGGGAGGCTGAGGGGATGGTGTGGGCAGCTCAGCGCTGGTCTACACGTGCCCCTTGGCACGTGGCAGGAGGCAGACAGGCTCCTGTGTGGAAAGGGGCGGGTTCCCGGTGAAGCCCCACCTTCAAACCAGGGAGGCCTGAAGCCTGGGGGGTCAGGCTGCCAGCCCCGCAGACCGGAGTGGGAATTTATGGTGTTTTTTCCAGGCCTACCCATGGCCACCCATGAACCAATCAGTACACACTTCCTCCCCTTTGAAGCCCATCAAAACCCCAGACTCAACCAGACTTGGAAAATGATGGGACGACCTGCCTGCGGAGAGGAGCTACCCACTCCAGGGTCTCCTCCCTGCTGAATGGTGAGCAGATGATGGGAAAACCAGCCAAGGAGAAGAGCTACCCACTCCAGGGTCTTCACTCTGCTGAGAGCTGAACACTCATCGGGACACCCTGGCTGTGGAGATGAGCTACCCACTGCACGTCTCCTCTGAGCTGTTCTATCGCTCAATAAAGCTCCTCTTCACCTTACCCTCCACTTACCCACATACCTCATTCTTCCTGGATGCAGGGCAGGAACTTGGGACCTGCCAAATGGTGGGGCTGAAAGAGCTGTAACACCAACAGGTCTGAAACATGCCCCTTGCTCACCATGTTGCAGGCAACAAGAAGGAGAGAACAGAGGAGAGAAGAGCTGCAGAGAGAAGAGCTCCCTTTGGGGAGCCCAGACCTAGGAGCTCCCCAAGCCAGGGCTGTGACACCCTCTTTTGGGCTCTGTGGTTCTTGGAGTCTCCAAGCTTCCAGGCGCCACCACATTCCCTGGTGCCAGCTGTGGAAGCTGCTTGCAGTATGCCTGGTCCAGCTGCAGCATCGCAGGGAGCCAGCACCTGTGCCAGTCCCTGGAGCTGCCCACCCCACCACAGTCAGTGTTTCTGGCTGTGCACAGTGGCTGGACCCCATGTTCACTTGATCACACACCCCTTGCCACTCCACTTGCCCTTAGCAGGCACGGGATCCAAGCCGGCAGTGCGAGCTTGCCAGACTGAGTGGGCCCAGTGGGCCCAAGCAAAACTCAGGCAAAGGCACCACTGGCCAGGTTTCCAGCTAGCAAAGTGACACTCAAGGATCCCATAACATTAGCTTCCTGTTTTGATCATTGTACTGTGCTTATGTAAGATGTAAAAATTTGGGCTACCTGGGTAATGGTGAACTCTACCATTTTTGCTGCCTTTTTGCTAAGTCTAAGATTGTTTCAGAATGAAAAATAATACTTAGTGGTTTTGAATGACCTCTTAGTGCAAGTCAGCAGTGTGATCTATTGGCCAAAGAAGGAAGGAAAGAGGAGAAAGAGAAATACAGCATTTTGTTTTTGTTTGTTTTTGAGATGGAGTCTCATTCTGTCGCCCAGGCTGGAGTGCACTGGCGCAATCTCGACTCACTGCAACCTCCACCTCCCAGGCTCAAGTGATTCTCCTGCCTCAGCCTCCCAAGTATCTGGGATTACAAGTGTACACCACCACACCCGGCTAATTTTTGTATTTTTAGTAGAGACAGGGTTTCACCATGTTGGCCAGGCTGGTATTGAACTCCTGACCTCAAGTGATCCGCCCACCTTGGCCTCCCAAAGTACTGGGATTACAGGCATGAGCCACTGTGCCCGGCGAAATACAGCATTTTGAATAAAGAAGCTGTATGTCTTCATTACGTCTAGGGAGCATCAGGTTCTAGGTGTCATGGATTCAGATTTAGAAAAGCAGTAACAATTTTGGCCGGGCGCAGTGGCTCACGCCTGTAATCCCAGCACTTTGGGAGGCCGAGGTGGGTGGTTCAC
The DNA here is from genome assembly GCF_000001405.40 of Homo sapiens. Classification (NCBI taxonomy): domain Eukaryota; kingdom Metazoa; phylum Chordata; class Mammalia; order Primates; family Hominidae; genus Homo; species Homo sapiens. The sequence continues at coordinate 111,960,378 of NC_000011.10, forward strand.
AAAGTCAGGAGTTCGAGACCAGCCTGGCTAACATGGTGAAACCCCATCTCTACTAAAAATACAGAAATTAGGTGGGCATGGTGGCTGGCGCCTGTAATCCCAGCTTCTCGGGAGGCTGAGGCAGGAGAATTGCTTGAACCCGGGAGGCGGAGGTTGCAGTGAGCCGAGATCATGCCACTGCACTCCAGCCTGGGAGACAAGAGTGAAACTCTGTCTTAAAAAAAAAAAAAAAGAAAAGAAAAAGAAAAACAGTAATACTTTTAACTATTTTATGTAAGGAATAGTTAACCTTGGCTCACATCTCTGCATGTTACTAGGAGCACTTGAGGAATACTGATATACCTTGGTCCCACTCTCAGAAATTCTGACTGCTCTATGGTGGGCCTAGACATTAGTATTTTTTGAAAAGCTTTCCAGGTGATTCTGGTTGTTAACCAAGGGGGCTGGGAACCCCTTGGTTAAGGGAACTGGACTGTTTCGCTGGGAAAAGACTCAAATCAGCTTTACAAGAATCATATGGGAAAGCTTGGGAAGATAAATCTTTCTGAGTTCCTACCCTCTGGAGACAACTGGTAGATTTAGGATGACGTCTGCTTATGAAAAACTTCCCTTGTGACCTTGACGTGCAGCCAGGTATGGCAACAGCGGGCTGGGTCAGTGCTTCTCATGCTTTCATGTGCATATGAATCACCAGGAGAGCTTGTTAAGATATAGGCTCTGATTCAGTAGGCTGGGGAGGAGCCCAGGAGTTTGCAGGAGGCTCCCAGGTGTTGCCGATGCTACTGATCTGGGAAGCACACTTTAGTAGACAGCCGCTTAGTATAGTTTATTACACAAGAGATTCATGGATTGGATGTGGTGGAGGGAGTGGTTTGACTCAGGTACATCCTGAAAGTTTTAGGGAAGTCATTTAAGCCTCAGCAGTGCATTTATTTAGGCAGCAGTGTGGTAGAGTGGAAAGAGCATTGGCTTGGGAGTCATATCTGGATTCCATATTCATGATTTACTGTTTGGGTAACCATGAACAAGTTATTTCACCGTTTTGTGTCTCTGTTTTCAATGAGGAAAATAAATACAAAAACATCTCCCTGCCAGATTAGCATTAGATAAAATGTGTTTAAAGAACCTAGCATAGCTCTTGATACAAAGTAGGTGTTCTGAAAAGTGACTATTACTGTTTATGCTGTGGAATCCTCTTTTGTTGGAAGACCAGACTGTGAGTAATGTGCATGAAAAGTACTCAACAGTACTAATCAGTTTTGCATCAGAGACAACTTCTACGGGCAAGAAAAAGCTAAGGTTACTTAAGTAGAAATTATCTTGACCTCAAGAAAAATACTTGTTCTTGTTTGTCCCCCCGCAATTAACTTTTGCAGTCATCTTAGTTATTGGCCTGATAAAATGTGACAAATGATTAACTGATTCAAACAAATATTTGTTGAGCACCTGCTACTCTAAGAGTCAAATAATTCTGAACTATTGTGACTCTCCACATAAAGCATATTTCAGGCCTTAGCTCCTTTGAGCTCACTGTCCTCTTTGCTTCTTTTCCTCCTTCAGGAGACCCTCTGAAGCTTGGGGTTCAGGTTGGGCTAATACTCTGTTAGCACCCTATGTACCCCGTCATAGCTTTGTTTCTACCAGCCTGCAAGCTGGGGCTTGTTGTAGCCTCATAACTGGGTACAGTGCCTCAAATTATTGTTGAACTGATTGTGTGACATAGGAAGCCCTCAGGGAGATCAGAGTCTGTGGTATCTGAGAGGTCAGGGAAAGCTTTCTGAAAAAAGTGATACTTGAGCTGAGACTTAAGAAGAGGCAGGTTGGCCGGGTGCGGTGGCTCATATCTGTAATCCCAGCACTTTGGGAGGCCTAGGTGGGTGGATCACCTGAGGTCAGGAGTTCAAGACCAGCCTGACCAATATGGTGAAACCCCATCTCTATTACAAATACAAAAATTAGCCCGGCGTGGTGGCAGGCACCCGTAGTCCCAGCTACTTGGGAGGCTGAGACGAGAGAATTGCTTGAACCTGGAAGGCGGAGGTTGCAATGAGCTGAGATCATGCCACTGCACTCCAGCCTGGGCGACAGAGCAAGACTCCATCTCCAAGAAAAAAAAAGAGGCAGGAGTTAGAAGGAGGTGGAGCGGCTGGAAAGCATGGTGCATTTGGGGAACTGTACATAATTCAGATGAGCTGAAGCATGGTGGGTATTTGGGGAATGGGGGTGAAGCTGGAGAACAGGTGAAGGCTAGCACGTGACGAGCTTAAATGGCAATTGGATTTTATCTTTGAGGATAATTGGAGACAAGTAACAGATTTTAAGCAGGAATGTGTGGAGGGTGGGTTGAGGATGATAATAGATACAGGGAAATTGGTTAGGAGTTTTATATAAAAGCCAGGTAATCAGATCCCACCAGTCACCTTAGTGTTCTTTCTGGGCTTAACTGCTTTCCCTCAGACCAGAGTGGTTCACTCTAGAGGTGCCCTTTGCCTGGTCTGCTTCTGACTGCACAATGGGAGCAGACCTTGGAGCATCACAGATCTCATCTGGTCCCTGGTGATGGGTGTCTGGCCCACGTGAGGCAGAAGGTGCAGCCATTTCTGTTCTGTGGAGTAAGTTGGATAGCAAGAGACCCTTGGTAAATGCATGGACAACATTACTGGGTTTTAATACCATGTCTGCTATGTCCTAGCTATGGGGACATTAGAGAAGTTACATAACCTCTCTGAACCTCATCCATAAAATGGAGATAATGCTAACTCTAGTGTTTTTCTGAGAATTGAATTGGATGACGATGACAAAAATAATGTCATTTAGTACATTTAGTAAGCGTCAATTTTATGTCAGGCCCTGGCCCAGGTACCTTCACTAATTAAAACATGGGTCAAACACCAAAAATTGGTTTAGTTCATGATAGGTGCTCAATAAATATTAGATTCCTCCTCCCACCTCCTCCTGATCGTTGCACTTCCTACAGTTTGTCAGTGGCTGATGGATTGTTGTCTTAGCACTGTCTTCCAAACGATGTTATTTATTCTCACAAATTGACAAAGAGAGAAAATAATGACGATTTAATTTATGTTCAGGAAGCAGCCAGTGAGTAATTTCCAACATTGTTTCATTAAGGAAGTACTTGGGGCTTAGGAATCAACTGTATTTTAACCAAATTATAAATTAATACAATTAGCCCTTGAACTTAAATTTTAGGCTCAGGGTCCTGGGCTGCAAAGAAACCAGTCAGAGCTGCTACTTGGAGAGTGACATTGTTTGTGTGATATTTTGATATTAGTGCCCATCTTTTGACCAAATAATCAGCATAAACATCTGAATACCAGTTCTGTTTAATGGACAAAATGTAATATGTAAGGTTTCCAAGGGTTGGAATGAGTTGTATGTCCCTACGTAGATGCCTGACCAGTTTCTGATAATACTGGGCCCTAGCTTTGTCTAAAAGTAAATGAAAATGCCTCTTAGTCTTCAGTAACATTGCTCACTATAGCCTTTCTTTTTCCTTCTTTGTGTAGATTTTCGGTAACCAGATCCTCTTTGACAATATAAAGCATGGATTAAAACTAACTCTGTAGCAATCCTAGGATTATTGGCTCAGGAGAATAAATCTTGGGTTGACTGTGAGATGATTTCACTTAAGTCTCATTTTGAAGAAAGCAGCTATGGGAGAGGCAGCTCTGAGCATGGTTTATTGTTTATTCCTGGTTGCCCAAGAGCAATTCGTATGAGTATCAGAGTCTGTTATGCATATGGCACGAGTAATTGTTTCTGAGAAGTGCGGTGGGTTGCTGGCAGTCGTGAATAGACCTGAAAACTGGCTGTGGTTCTGGGCCAAGCCCTCATCCCTGGTCAACAGAGAAAAACTTGAGGAAAGCAAGAGTCATAGTCATTGAAAGACTCATCTGCTTATGTGTGTCTACAGTGCCACCCAAGTCCGAGGTTAGCTTATCACTGGAGATTAGCATAAAACTAGAGAATTTGTGAACATGCTGTGTGTCTGACCATGATATAATCTTTCTTCTCTCTTTCCTCAAAAATTTCTCCTGCTTCTGGATATGGGTTGTTTATTATACCCCAGTCACAAACGCTTCCTCAGAGGGTATGAGGTAAGGGTTGAGATTAATATGCTCTCTTTCCCTTACTTATATCTTTTATTTTCCAGCAACAGCTGCAGGCCTATGTGGCCTGGGTGAATGCACAGCTGAAGAAGAGGCCAGCAGTGAAGCCTGTGCAGGACCTGCGACAAGATCTCCGGGATGGGGTGATCCTGGCATATCTCATCGAGATTGTTGGTCAGTTGGCCCTGGACTCTGATACTAGAGTACATAGATCAGAATCTGGCCTTCTTTATCCTTCTTATGCCCTTTAGAGCAGGTTATTTTTTCTTTAGAATATATGGCAGTAGAGGTAGAGAAGACTTAAAATACTTGCCCAAGGTTAATTCATTTATTTATTCGTCAATAAACATTGTGTCCCGGGCACTGTATTATGCTTTGGGAATATGAGGATGAGAATAGTCCATGCTCTCAAGAGTCTACCAAACTAGTTGGAAAGGCTGGAAAGTGAAGTCAATTCCATTAATGTACTTAGTACTCCAGTGGGGTAAGCACAGATGGGAGCACATAGGAGGGACACCCAGCCCAGTCTTAGGGGCTCAGGGATTGGCTTACCAGAACTGATATCTCAACTGAGGCCTACCAGAAGAATTGGTATCTAAACCAAGGCCAGAGAAGGAAGTAGTAGTCAGGCAAAAAGAGGGATGTTACTGGCAAAAGGACCCTTCTACCATAATACTTCATAAAATTTTTTTCCTCTTGAACCCTGGGGTTGTTGACAGTCATTCTTACTAGATGGTACCATAACCTTATTTCCATAGCATTTGTCCATATTTCTATTATTATTTCTCTCATCGAATGATAATTATGTGGTAATCATTTGATTACCTATCCTGTGTGATCTGAGCTGTTTAAGAGCAGGCATAGTATAATGTTTTTCTGTTTATGCAAGCTCTAGCCAAATGCACATAATAGGTTCTCAAACATTTATTGTTACATTAGTTAGCTGATTTTGCTTTGAGTTCTTGAGGGATATAGGACCTGCAAGTGGTACGGAAGAAGCCAGGTTTGCAACAAGCAGCCCATCCGTGAATACCTCATAGGGACAGTTTATGAATTCATCAGAGTATTCATCTGTAATGATGGTAATAATGGCAACGGTAATAGCAACTGCTAGGATTGAACACTTTCTATCTTGTTTAATTTCATTTAATCATCATATCTTTGGGAAACATAATATTATCCCCACTTTTAGGAAACAAGCTTAAAAGAGAAGATTTATAAAAATAAATAGTACTTAGTATGAGTCAAACAAAATAGCTAAGCATGCTATTTTGATTTATTTATGATAGGTGTATAATATGACTAGTACTATTGTATTCATTTTATGAGGCTTAGAGAGGCTAAGCAACTTTACAAAGTCACATAACTATAAGTGCCAAAACAGAGGTACAAACCTAGATCTGCTTTAATTCCAAAGCCTGTTTTAAACATTTAATGTTTCATTTATTTGAATAGGTTATACATGGACTAGTAGGAAATCCAGATGTACAAAAGGATGTAAGATCAAACCTCCTTTTTCCACTTATGTTCCCCCACCAGCTACCCATTTTTCCTTCTAGAGGCAGCTAGTGTTAGCAGTTTCTTGCATTTCTTCCCAGAGAAACTTCCCATTCTATGTCTATACAAGTAATATGAATATGTATTCTTATTTTTCCAAAACCTAGGCCCTTTTTTTCCCATTCCCTCCCCTGCAAAACCCGGGGTTTTTTTTTTTTTTTTTTTCCTTTTTTTTTTTTTGAAACGGAGTTTTGCTCTGTTGCCAGGCTGGAGTGCAATGGCATAATCTCGGCTCACTGCAGCCTCCACCTTCTGGGTTCAAGCAATTCTCCTGCTTCAGCCTCCCAAGTAACTGGGACTACATGCGTGCACCACCACGCCAAGCTAATTTTTGTATTTTTTTTTTTTTTTTTTTTTTTTGAGACGGAGTCTCGCTCTGTGGCCCAGGCGGGAGTGCAGTGGCGCAATCTCGGCTCACTGCAAGCTCCGCCTCCCGGGTTCACGCCATTCTCCTGCCTCAGCCTCCTGAGTAGCTGGGACTACAGGCGCCCGCCACCGCGCCCGGCTAATTTTTTGTATTTTTAGTAGAGACGGGGTTTCACCTTGTTGGCCAGGATGGTCTCGATCTCTTGACCTCGTGATCTGCCTGCCTCGGCCTCCCACAGTGCTGGGATTACAGGCGTGAGCCACCGCGTCCAGCCAAAACCCAGGTTCTTAAACACAACTTTCTATTGTGACTTTGCTAGATAGAAAAGCTCCTCACAAGATTTTGCCTATATTCACTGGATCCACTTCCTTATTTCCTATGCTTTCTTTAATCTGCCCTTATCAGGCTTCTGATCCCACTCCACTGAAACCGCCTTCCTCAAGGTCATATCAAATCCAGTGGCCAAGCCTCCACCTTATCAAATCCAGTGGCCAGGCCTCAGACCTCATTTTATTCAACATAGCAGTACTTGACATAGTTGATAACGCCCTTCTCTTCAAACACTTTCTTTACTTGGCTTCCAGAATCCTATTAACTTCTAGTTTTCTTCCTTCCTCTCAGGCTCCTTTCATTTTTTTGTTGGCTTTTCATTTCCTTCCTGACCTCTAATCCCGGAGTGCTGCAGGTTCAGCCCTCTTATATATTCTCTACTCCTAAGTGATTTCTTCCCAAATTTGTATCTTTAGGCTTGAATTTTTCCTTGAGTTCTAGACATGAATATCCAACATCTCTACTTGGATGTCTAATATGCAACTCAAATTTCACACATCCTAATCAGAAATTTGGATGTCCTTCCCCCTACCAATCCCTTTATTCTCCAAGTTTCTTCATCAGAGTAACACACTGCATTATCATTTGCCTAGGTGTTAAAGCAGAACAGTTAGAAGGTGTCCTTAATTGTCCTTTTTGTCATATATTATATCGAATCCTTCATATGTGCCATCTGCTTTGTATTTACAATATACCTGATATCTAACTTCTCATCAGTCAGCCTCTTCCACTCTAGCCCAAACCATCATGTCCTGCCTTGACTATTTTCATCATGCTTCAGACTGATCTCCCTGTTTCCTCTCTCCATAGTCTATTTCCACGCAGAGTCCATTTTATTTATTTTATTATTTTTGTAGAGACGGGGTTTTCACCATCTTGCCCAGGCTAGTCTTGAACTCCTGGGCTCAGACAATTCCCCTGCCTTGGCTTCCCAAAGTGCTAGGATTACGGGCGCGGGCGTAAGCCATGGCACCCTGCCAGTCAACTTTTAAAAACATAAACCAGATTATGTCACTCCCTTGTCTCAGACTCTCCATTGGCTGCTCATTACACTTAGGATAAAATTCAGGCCCTTTGCTGTGGTCCAGAAAGCCCCGCCTGCCCTGGCATTGCTTGCCTGTCTAGCCTTTCCTAGGACTTGACTCCTTGCTCACTCCCCCAGCCACACTGCTCTTGCTGTTCTTCAGGTAAGCGGAGCTTGGGGTTTGTCCCTGTGGTTCCTCAGTCTGGAATGCTTCCTCCTCAAATCTTAACATGCTTTACTTTATTCAAGGTGCTGCCAAATGTTATTATCAGAGAGACCATGATCACTGTACTTTATTTTTCCTCAAGCACTTATCGCTACTATGAAATTATATTAAACACTTACTTGTTAACTTGATTGTTGTCTGCCACTCCTGCAGATATAAATTCTATGAAGGGAGGGACTTTATTGTTCTTTTTCTCTCCTTTTTCTCTGGTGCCCAGAATAGTGAGTACTTGCCACTCAATAGATGCTGAGTGAATATTTGCTGACTGAATAAATGTACACACAGTAACTTCACAGACCCCTAAGTATAAATTTGAAAGCCTTCCAAAAGGCTTTCATATTCCTATTTCCCATCTAAATGACAAACACCAGGACTTAACTCATTTATATATTTATGTATAATGTTGGTGTTCACATCAAATCTTCCCTTCCTCTGTGTCTAGCTGCTATGAAACTTTGATAATATTCCTCCCTATAACTTCCTATATTTTCTCTCTCCTAACAGCAGGAGAAAAGCTGAGTGGGGTACAGCTGAGTCCCGGTAACCAACAGGAGATGAAGAATAATGTGGAGAAAGTGCTACAGTTTGTGGCCTCTAAAAAGATTCGTATGCACCAGACTTCGGCTAAAGGTCAGTGCCTCATCACATCCTTGGTGCATGAGTATACTTTAACCAGTGAGTGCTAGCCTCAGGAAAATCCTTGGCTGTAACCTGGGGGAAGATAGAAAGTCTCCATTCATTTTATTTTATTTTTTATTTTTTATTTCATGATTATTATTTTTTGCGACGGAGTTTCACTCTTCTTGCCCAGGCTGGAGTGCAATGGCACAATCTTGGTTCACTGCAACCTTTGCCTCCCTGGTTCAAGTGATTCTCCTGCCTCAGCCTCCCAAGTAGCTGGGATTACAGGCATGTGCCACCATGCCTGGCTAATTTTGTATTTTTAGTAGATATGGGGTCTCACTGTGTTGGTCAAGCTGGTCTCGAAATCCTGACCTCAAGTGATCTACCCGCCTCGCCTTGGCCTCCCAAAGTGCTGGGATTACAGGCGTGAGCCATTGTGCCCGGGCATTCATTTTAATTGAATACAGATTTGCTTGAGTGTATGTAGGAAAATTAGTGGTTAGAGAAGAAATTATGGTTGGGCATGGTGGCTCATACCTGTAATCCCAGCACTGGGAGGCCAAGGCGGGAGGATCACTTGAGCCCAGGAGTTTGAGACTATCCTGGGCAACATAGTTAGGCTCTGTCTCCATTTTTTAAAAAAGAGAGAAGAAATTACAATATTGGGATATTAATTTTAGAATTTCTCATTTAAGTTATCAAAAATGAAGAGTTTATGTTTTTTAAGTTCCTTGGGTTTCATGACAAAATATTATTTAAGATACTCATAACCTACATTTTTTCCATCTAGTTTTTTAGAAGGGAAATATTTTATAGCCCTTTTTTGGATATCATAGAACATTCTAGGCAGGATGAAAGCAGCTCTGTGACCTCTGCATCTGCCCTCTTCTGTAGTGGCTTGGCCCAGATGGGTTTGCTGGGCTATTTTGAGCCCAGGCTTCAAGGGAGGAACAGTGTAGGTGTTCTTAGAGAGCATAGGCTCCCTAGTTCTCTTGCTGTTTCTCGAGAACTGACTATAGACCTGGTTTTGTTTCAGCGTCAGTTCCTGGGTCTGATTGCCTTTGGGTCTCATGACAATAGGGGCAGAACGGCTCATGTTGGATTATTATATTAGTGTTCTCTGTGTTTAGATCATTTAGATGAGGCCAATACTGATCATTGAGAGCACCTTGTGGAAGGTATCAAAGAATCCTTCACCACTCCTTCTCAACATAGTACTGGCAGTCCTAGCCAGAGCAATCAGGCAAGAGAAAGAAATAAAAGGCATCCAAATAGGAGAAGAAAAAGTTAAACTATCTCTCTTCACTGATGATATGATTCTATACCTAGAAAACCCCAAAAGCCTCTGTCAAAAGGCTCCTAGAACTAATAAATGACTTGAGTAAAGTTTCAGGATATAAAATCAGTGTGCAAAAATCAGTAGCATTTGTTTTACTTTTTTGAGATAGAGTTTTGCTTTGTCACCCAGACTGGAGTTCAGTGTCGTGATCTCACCTCACTGCAACGTCCGCCTCCTAGGTTCAGCTGATTCTCCTGCCTCAGCCTCCTGAGTAGCTGGAACTACAGGCATGCGCCACCATGCCTGGCTTATTTTTGTATTTTTGTAGAGACGGGATTTCATCATGTTGGCCAGCGTGGTCTCGAACTCCTGACCTCAAGTGATCCACCTGCCTCAGCCTCCCAAAGTGCTGGGATTATAGGCATGAGCCACTGCACCTGGCCAAATCAGTTGCATTTCTATACACCAATAACATTCTAGCTGAGAGACACATTATGAACACAATCCCACAAACAATCCCACTTACAATGACCACACACAAAAAAGAAATATCTAGGAATACATCTAACCAAAGAGGTAAAAGAAATTCAAAATACAAAAATTAGCTGGGTGTGGTGGTGCATGCCTGTAGTCCCAGCTACTCAGGAGGCTGAGACAGGAGAATAGCTTGAAAGCAGGAGGCCGAGGTTCCAGTGAGCCAAGATTGCGCCACTACACTCCAGCCTGGGCAACAGAGCGAAACTCTATCTCAAAAAAAAAAAAAAAAGAACAAAGCTACAAAGCTGGGGTGTCACATTACCTGACTTCAAACTATACTACAAGACTACAGTAACCAAAACAACATGGTACTGGTATAAAAACAGACACATAGACCAATGGAACAGACTAGAGAACCCAGAAATAAAGTTCCACACCTACAACCATGTGATCTTTGACAAACTCAACAAAAATAAGCAATGAGGAAAAGAATCCCTATTCAATAAATGGTGCTGGGATAACTGGCCAGCCATATGCAGAAGAATGAAACTAGATCCCTGTCTATCACCTTTTGCAAAAATTAACTCAAGATGGAATAAAGACTTAAATATAAGACCTTGAACTATAAAAATCCTAGAAGAAAACCTAGGAAATAACCCTACTTGATATTGGCATTGGCAAAGAATTTATTACTAAATCCTCAAAGCAATTGCAACATAAACAAAAATTGATAATTGGAATCTAATTAAACTAAAGAGCCTCTGCATAGCAAGAGAAACTATCAGGGGAGTAAGCAGATAGCCTATAGAATGGGAGGAAATATTCACAAACTATGAATCTGACAAAGGTCTAATATCTAGAATCTATAGGGAACTTAAATAACAAGCAAAAACAAATAACCCTATTGAAAAGTGGGCAAAGGACATGTACAGATACTTCTCAAAAGTGGCCAACAAACATATGAAGAAAAGCTCATCAACACTAATCAGATAAATGCAAATCAAAACCACAATGAGATACTATCTCACACCAGTCAGGATGGCTTTTGTTAAAAAGTCAAAAAATAACAGATGTTGGCAAGGCTGTGGAGAAAAGGGGACACATATATTGTTGGTGGGAATGTAACTTTGTCCAGCCACTGTGGAAAGTAGTTTGGAGATTTCTCTAAGAACTACAGCAATCCCATTACTGGGTATATACCCAAAGGAAAATAAATCATTCTACCAAAAGGACACATGCACCCGTAGGTTCATTGCAGCGCCATTCACAATAGCAAAAACATGGAATCAACCTAGGTGCCCATCAACAGTGCAGTGAATAAATAAAATGTGGTGTGTATATCTATATCTATATCTATATCTATATCTATATCTATATACACCATAGGATACTATGCAGCTATAAAAAAAAAATTCATGTCCTTTGCTGCAACATGGATGCAGCTGGAGACCATTATCCTAAGCAAACTAATGCAGAACCAGCAAATCAAACACCATTATGTTCTTACTTATAATTGGGAACTAAACACTGGGTGCACATTGGGACATAAAGATGGGAACAATAGAAACTGGGGACTACTAGAGGAGGGAGGGAAGGAGGGAGGAAGGGCTGCAAACTACCTGTTGGGTACTGTGCTCACTATCCGGATGATGAGTTCAATCGTACCCTAGACCTCAGCATCACACAATATACCTTTGTAACAAACCTGCATGTGTACCACCTGCTTCTAAAACAAAAGGTGAAAAAGAAAAAAAACAAACACAAATAATCCTTTTCCAAGACTTGTATATTTAAAGGCTACAAAGCTAAAAAATAAAATAAAAATTTACCCATTTCGTTACATTGACTTTCACCAGACTTACCACACTGTTTTCTGCCTACATTCCTCTTTTATTTCTAGGGCAAAATTTAGAGTTCCACGATACCTCTGATCTGGTTCCCATGTGGAGTGGGCTTGGGGATCTGGCCCATTAAAGTCAGCTATTTTGAGGGAACACTGCCATTTAGGACATCATTGTCATTTACCTGGAGAAGTGTAACAGTCTGAGTTAGTCCTGCGGCATTGATTTTTGTCCCCTTCTCATCTGCTCTCCACACTGCAGTCAGAATGATCTTTCTAAGAGTACATATACTCATGCCACTCCTCCGTATCTGAGGACCCTTAGGATAAAATCCAGAGTCCTTCCTGTGGCCTCCCATGCCCTGTGTGATCCACCCTCTGATGCACCCCTCTGCTGCCTCACCTTTCCCTGTCTCCCCCTGCATTCTGGGCTCTGCCTATGCTGAACTTCTTTCACTTCCTCCACCACAGTGCTGTGTCACAGAAATAGAATGCAACTCACATAGGTAACTTAACCACATAGGTTTCTAATAGCAGGCCGGGTGCAGTGGCTCACACCTGTAATCCCAGCACTTTGGGAGGCTAGGCCTCCCTGATCACACTCCTGGTCACTTGAGGTCAGGAGTTCAAGACCAGCGTGGCCAACATGGTGAAACCCCATCTCTACTAAAAATACAAACATTAGCTGGGCGTGGTGGTGGGCACCTGTAATCCCAGCTACTCAGGAGGCTGAGGCAGGAGAATCGCTTGAACCCAGGAGGCAGAGGTTGCAGTGAGCCAAGATCGTGCCATTGCATTCCAGCCTGGGGGAAAAAAAAAAAGAGTTTCTAATAGCCACATCATAAAAAAAGAAACAGGTGAGCCGGGCGCAGTGGCTCACGCCTGTAATCCCAGCACTTTGGGAGGCTGAGGCAGGTGGATCACCTGAGGTCATGAGTTCAAGACCAGCCTGGCCAACATGGTGAAACCCCATCTCTACTAAAAATACAAAAAATTAGCTGGGCATGGTGGCGGGCACCTGTAATCTCAGCTACTCAGGAGGCTGAGGTAGGAGAATTGCTTGAACCTGGGAGGTAGAGGTTGCAGTGAGCCAAGATCACGCCATTACACTCCAGCCTAGACAACAAGAGTGAAACTCCATCTCAAAAAAAAAAAAAGGTGAGATTAATTTTAATAATATTTCATTTAACTCAATATATCCAAAATACCATTTCATGCAATCAATATAAAAAGTTATCGAGATATTTTGCATTTTGGGGGCATGTGTGTATGCTAAGTACATACTACACTTAGAGCACATTTCATTTCAGACTAGTGACTTTTTAAGTGCTTGATAGCTACAGGTGGCTAATGGTTCCCATATTAGATGGCATAGCTCTAATATATCATGCTCTCTCCCACTTCAAGACCTTCACACCTGCTGTTCCCTCTTCCTGGAATACTCTTTGTCTTTCTCTTGTCTAACTAATGTGCTACTCTTTTGTCAATCAAGTCTCAGTTTAGAACCCACTTCCTCTAGGAATCCTTCTCTGAGCCATCTAGATAAGATGTCTCTACTCTGACCTCCCAAAGAATCCTGTACTTCTCTTATCAAAACACATGATCTTACTTTATTGTCATTGCTGTTATATATTCGGTCTCCCTTGTTGCCCAGAGCTTTGTGAGGACTGAGACCCTGACTGCCTTGCTTACCTGTATCACTAGCAATATGTAATAAATGCAGAAGTCCTCAGCTTTTGCCTCCCTCTTAGGACCTCTTGGTCTGTTTTATTCTTGGTCCGTTTTATCCTTCAGATATTGTGGATGGAAACCTGAAGTCTATCATGAGGCTGGTCCTTGCCTTGGCAGCTCATTTCAAACCTGGCTCCAGCAGGACGGTGAACCAAGGACGGGACTCCAGAGCCCCTCTGCAAAGTCACCGACCACACTGTGCCACTGCTGTTGCCCAGGGAGCAGCTGCTGCTCTGGCCGATGTGTGTCATGACATGTCCCGATCAGGACGGGATGTCTTTCGATATAGACAGAGGTAAGGGTAGAAATCTGGGGGTGGGAACTGATCCCTCTCTCTGATACTTCTTCTGTTAGATGATACAGTGCAGTAGATAGAAACGTCACCCAAACAGCCCCAGATTGCAGAAAAGAACATGGAGTGGGGAGGTAGGGGAGGGCACTCTCAAAAGAGAAAAGCCTTTTCTTCTGAGATGTTTATTTTTATTTTGCATTTAGCAAAAGTAAAGGAATCTTATGTGTAAGTTTTTGCTCTGGTGCCCAAAATTTAAATATACACTTTTGGCACAGTGTGTTTTCTTCACTGGGAGGTCCGTGGGAGCAGTGTTCCAGTTCATCTAGAGGAAGCTCCACTCTGGAATGTACCCAAAGGTCAGGTTGTCTTGGGAGTCATGGCAGGAAATGCTTTGTGGGTTGTGTATCTGCTAAGAGAGAGCAGGACCCTGAGGTGTTGCACAGGTTGGTGAATTACTTGTTTTTTGTCTGCCTTCCCTGCTAGGTACCAAGTGTCTTTGAGGCAGGGGTTTTGTCTTACTCATGTGTGTATACTGCTCGCAGAGTGGCAGTCTCTCTGTACTTGTTGAGTTGATCTGATCTGAAGGACTGACACCTTCCCTTTGCTGGGGTCCTTTGACTTTAGGAACAGCAGCATGGATGAGGAAATTGAGAATCCATACTGGAGTGTGCGGGCCCTAGTGCAGCAGTACGAAGGGCAACAAAGGTCCCCGTCTGAATCCAGCTGCTCCAGGTAACTGTGGCCTCTGAAACCTGAATTCTGGAGGATTCTCGGAGTTCTCGGCTTCAAGTAACAATACAACAAGCAAAAAGGCACCTAAGCCCTTTTTCTCCCCTCAGTTTATGTTTGGCTTTAAAGGGATACCCCTTAGCAGTGCTTTGTGGGTTTGTGCTAGTAGGAGGGTAGGAAGGTAGGGTGGGGTGCTGGTTTATTTCCCACAAATGGAATCTGTGCAGTCCCAGTGCCAGTGCTTAACTGTGACCACATGGGGGCATGGCTGGAACCTGTCAGGGCCCAGTCCAGTGGTTCTGACATTTGCATATGAGGTGCCAGTGTTTATGATAGCCAGTTCCATTGTGCTGTCCTTGAGCCTAAGTGTAACTCTTAAGGCCGGAAAAGTCTGTGTAAAGCTCATAGAAGAGAAGAAATTGAGCAGAGTTGTCTTAGAGCATTAGAATGTTTCCAACTTTCCTCTACAGGAACTGTGGCTGATTAGTATGTGTTTGAGCAAACTAATGATGTTTGCGACTCTAGCTAAAAGTTGTGTGTATCCTTTAGAGCCAAGTACAGAGACCAAAACAGGATACAGTGCCCTAATAAAAACCTTATCAGTGGCAGAAAAAAGATTACTTTACTGGCTCATGTAAATTGTGCTTCTATAAACACTCCCCAGATCATGTTTTTACTAACTTCATTTTGTTGCTGAATCATAATTTATGCTCTAATGACCTTTTCTTTCCTATCCCAACCCTGTGTAATCTGCTCTATTTAGGGCTAATTGTTCCTTGTCTTGTATGTATGTTATGTGTCCTTGTTTTCTTCCTCCTATTTTTTTCTCATAAAACTCCATCCTATTTTAATGCACATTTCCTAATTTATTGAGGTCATATGGAACTCTTTCTAGTATTTTAATATACTGGTAAACTTGCTAACTTTTTACCTTTTTTACATTTAATAGCTGTGCTCTTTCTTACTTATAAAATTCACATAACATAAAATTAACCATTAAACATTATAAAGTGTACAATTCAGTGGCATTTAGTATCTTCATAATGTGGTGCGACCATCACCTCTATCCACTCAGAAGACATCTTCATCACCCCAAAAGGAAGCCCTGCGCCCATTAAGCAGCAGGTGTGCTTTTAATGAGAATCTAAATCATTTCTTCCTTGCTTGCTGCTTAGGTTATCACCTGGAGCGGAATTACAGGATGTTTTGTTGTATTGCTTCCTGCACTTCTGCAGGCCTTTCACTCTTCTGAGCCTGATAGTGCCTGCTAGAGTTGGTGGTAGGAGGAAGAGTGGATTTCTTCCTGAGGGCACCTGCTTTCTCCTCCAAGGCAGGAGGACTGAGGGGAGGGCTGTGAGACTGTGAATGTGTGAATGAGGGGCCCACCGGCTATCAGGCTGCAGTGAGCTAATGGTGACAGTTTTCTAGGAGAGGGGCCAGAGGAGAATTGTTTGCTTTACCCTGTTTTTCACTACTGGATTTTGACATTTTCTTCTAATGCTGACCCCTCATCCAGCTCTTTGGCATGCTGGGTTAGTAGCTGCCTTTTCCTCAGTGAGTCCCTGGGGAAGGAGAGGGCTTCTTGTGGCTATCTGGAACCCAGCAGGTTCCCGCACATTCTGAGCCCTCGCCCCCAGGGAGCCCACTTAGTGGCTCTGTGACCCATGAAGAGCCCAGGAGCCCCCAGATGTGGCTTGCTCAGGACGGGAGTGGCTCAGAAGGAAGGATAGCCCCTGGGTGTCTCATTCCCTGCCACTGCTCCTCCGGAGACGCCCTGGGGAAGCCCTGCCAGCCTGTTGCTCCGAAAACCGCATACCAGCCTCACATTGTAGCCAAGCAAAATGATCCTTAGTTGGTTAAAAAGAACACACGAAACGCCAGAGGGGAAGGTGGGAGGGGATAGGTGCTCGGCGAATTTTCCTGGGGAGCGTCAGAGTCTCCACCCCGAGGAGCGGCCAGAGCCCCATGCGGGCCTGACCTGTCCGACCGACCCCTCGTCCACCAAGGGAGGGCTCAGAGTGGAGAAGGCAAGGTTTTTGGTGCGGGGCTCCCCAGCACTCAGACCACTAGAGCCCTCCTCGTGATTCTGCCGATACGCGGCTCTTCCCCTGCCTATCCTGAGGCTCCCAATCTCCTCTCCTCGCATCCCCCAACCCCTCGTCGACGTCCCCACCCCCACCTCCACCCCGCCCAGCCCCGCCCCTGGCCCGCACCCTCAACCTCCGTCCAGAGCGGTCGGTTGGCCAGCGGAGCTGGCTTGGGTCGGAGCCCGGCTGCCTCGCCGCGTGTGACAGCCCAGGGAGGGAGCAGAGGGTGGGGCGGGGAGGGATCCGGAAGGTGGCACGGAGTGGGATCGCCGCTGGGGACTCGAGGCGCAGCCTGCGCCGCCGGGAGCCTCCCTCCCAGTGGGAGATGGGTTGAGATGCCCCCGCCAGGGGGGATGCCCGGCACCGTGCGTCCGCGGAGGCCAAGATGCAGCGGCCAGGGGCCGGCAGCCTGCGAGGGGAGGCAGCTTCCGCCGGGGCCGGGCTGCTGCACAGTCTGAGCGGCCGGGACTGCGCGCTTCAGAGCCTGGAGCATCCCAGTCGCTGGGGCCGAGACGCCGCCGCCGCCGCCGTTCCCGCTTTCTCCCGCGAGCCGGGCCAGTAGCTTTGCTAGCTGGCCTTCCCGTGGAGGCGTTTTCCAGCCCCAGCGCGGGGAGACATGCCTGAATTTGGGAGCGATGTGACTCTCAGCCTCCCACTTCACCCGGGGACGCAGGCTTGCTGAAGCCCGAGACAGGAGGGGGACCATGGGAGGGACGCAAGTCAAATGGTGAGCTGAAGCCACTCTGGCTTTGGAAGTGGGGGGCCTGGGTGGGAACAGGGGCAGGGCTGGAGGATGCTGTTGGCCGGAGACAGGCGGGGTGGTGGGAGCATTATGTTGGGAGGACCGGCTGCTGACCAGGGGTTATCACTATAAAATACGGTGGGCGTAGGAAGTGGAGCCAGCATGGGGGGAGGATGAGTAGCCCTTGCGCCTGCCAGGGTCTTTGGTGGGGGAGGGCACTTCATGAGGATATAGAACTCTTCCTTATTGCCTATTACCCGTTTAAAAAAATTAATTTGAGTGGGATTTGGAAGTATCTTTGCTGCAGGATTGCTTGTCTGATAAATTAAGATAGAAGAGCTATTAGACCTGTGGGAATTAAGAAATGTATCAGCCAGACCTGATCAGTCATTCTCTGACCTCAGAGAGGATTATGATGCTAAGTAGGGGATTGTTTATAAAATAGGACTTTTAAGCTAATCAGGGAGGAGCCTGTCATATACATAATTAATTAGCATTAAAATATTTTTTTCTGACCTGGGGCAGAGGATATAATGCATATTCCTTGTCCATGAGGTACTTCTTTAGGGAGGCAGCAGGGTGCCTGCTCTGACATGTGCCTCGGGAGTTTCCTGCCTGAGGTCCTTTATCTCTCCACTTGGCCATCGAGTTTCATGGTCTCACCTCTCGGTGGCCTCACATTGGCAGCCTCAATTCAAGAAAGAGAAATGTTGTTTTCCTTTGGCTGCTCTGCCACTCCCCCAGCGGGGATGGATATCCAGACATCCGCCTCCTTCTGCCCTTATATGGGAGATAACTCTTAGGAAGGAGAAGGAGCTGAGCATGCGTCTGTGCTTTTAGGAAAGCAGTTTTCTAGCATCCTAGGTTCACACTGCACCCTCCTCCCCGATTTTGTCTCACACTTACCAACTGTGGTCCAGCAAAGTCAGAGGATGGAACATGTCATCCATAGCACCTTGTCAGATGAGAAAGTGTTTTCTTGTTTCTCAAAGATGAGCAGCTCTTGCAGGCCGCTTTCTACACTTGGATTCCCATTTCTGTAAGAAGGTAAATGCTGAGGCCTGAGCAGGCACAAATCTATTCTCCTTGTGAATGACATAGTACACTTGGATGAGAGCTTTTCAAGCAGCTAATTCATGTTGGCCTGGAAGTCAAGATTGCCTAAGCGGTGAAAGATGAATAAGAAAGTTCTAGAAAGCAATTGCTATTTCGGAATATCACTTCTTGCCACTCCCTACCCCTCCTGCCTGTTTGGTTATAGATCTATAGATATGGTTAAGCAACTTTCTTTAATTTGATATTTCAATTTAAAAGCTTTAAAATGTTTTCTGTGGTTCTAAGAAGGAAGAGAATGTATTTCTAGTTGAGGTCATTCCCAGCAAAGCCCCTAAAATACGGACAGTGAGGAGGATGAGACACTAGTCCTCAGGCTGCCTCACTGCTTTTGACGTGCCTGGCTACCTCCACCATGCCTGGCTCTTGTTTTTTACTGGATTCTAGGAGGACAAAATGTTAACTCCTGATCGTGGTTGTGAGGATTCGCCTGGGAGACTTCAGGGGCACATTAAGTGGGTCAGTGAATCCTAGCCACTTTCACTGTTGTCTGGGTGATAGATTTGGAAAGAATTCCTGAGAGGGGGCTGGGCCCGGAGACCCCTCAGCCCCTGAGATTCTTTCAGTGCTGATGTTCTCAAGGTGCAGTGCAAAGAGAGATGGCTCGAGACTCCTTTTCCCTGTCACATGGAAGCACCAGCCTCACATTCCCATCTTGTCTTGTAGATTTGCTGTTTTTTTGGAGATTTAAAATTCCACTTCCCTGAAAAATCTGCATAGTTCCTTCCAAGGCTAGTAGTTATATCAGAACTTAAGGGCCAGGTACGGTGGCCCACGCCTGTAATCCCAGTACAGAGGCTGAGGAGAGAGGATCACTTGAGCCCAGGAGTTTGAGACCAGCCTGGGTAACACGGGGAGAACTTGTTCTACAAAATGATTTAAAAATTAGCTTGGCATCATATGCACCTGTAGTCCTAGCTGCTCAGGAGGCTGAGGCAGGAGATTTGCTCAAGCCCATGAGCTTGAGGCTGCCATGAGTTATGATGGAGCCACTGCACTCCAACCTGGGCAACAGAGTGAGACCCTGTCTCAAAAAAATAAAACAAAACAAAATCTTAAGAATTGTTGAGAAGATTCTGAGGACAATTTGAAAGTATTGTGTCAGAAATATAAATAACTTTTTGATAGGAATAAATCAAGTAAACCCTTACTCCACTATTCCTAGCAGGTCTTTCCCCTTTTGACATATTATCTTCCCCTTGTCATGCTCTAGCTCAATTACTGATATATAACCGCTCCTCTGCCCAGCCTGGCAATGTACGCCCTCCAGCAACTTTTCCCCTTGAACCACCCCCACCCTGTACTCTCCTTTGTGATCAGCTCAGAGCTGATCTGCCATGATAACTTGGCTGGTATTGCCTGTATCTGTGAGAGATCAGTGTTTTGGAAATAAAATTTCCTTCTAGCTCCAAAAGCTACTAGACACAGACTGGCATCAGTCTTTGAACGTGGGCCCAGGGATGGTGATGGAGGAGGTGGTGGGAGGTAAAACAAAGCAAAACTTGGAGTTCTTTGAATGCTAGATTACCCATCATTTTGGTAAATCTCTTCTCAATGAATTAGGCTTAAAGGCATCCTTGTTGTGGGAGAGACTTTGTAGGACTGGGTCATTCCTTTATTCAATATTAATTTCATTCATTCAAAAAGTTAATCATTAAATAAATATTTTATTTTCTGTGGGCCAAGTACTGTGTTACCCATGGAGGAGTAAGATGAATAAGAACATGTCCCTGTTCTCAGGAATAAATTATGAAAGCTGCTTTCTGAACAACTCTTCATAATAATCGTTTTTCTTCCTTTTTCTTCAATCACAGCCTGACTTCACCCAGTCCAATCCACAGTGCAAAGAGCGAGTCCATTATAACCCAGTCAGAAGAGAAGGCAGATTTTGTGATTATTCCCGCTGAAGGAATAGAGAACAGAACAGGTACTATCTCTACGCCTGCCTGGGCTGGTTCAAGGAACAGTCAGCTTGAAGAATTTAGAGGTCCCCATCACCAATAAGCTCCCTGGCCTTCCCCATCTCCATGGTCTGTGCGTGCAGGGTCAGCACTAGAGGGCTCTAATGACTTTGAGCCAATTAATGTGGTTATCCTCTTGCAGAATGCCATTTCTGATATCCTAGCTGTCAAAAATCTTGCAGCAGCATAGATAGGCCCTTTCTCAGCTGGCTGCCTATGAATTAGGAAATGACTTTGGGGCAGTCAAAAGCCTTACTCAAGTAAACACTTTTATTATTCCTATCTTATACAAATAATTGCAGGACTTACATAACTTAAATTGGGACCAGAAATGCATTGTATGAGCTGAGGTGTCTGTGAGGGCACAGAGAATAGAGAGCAGGTCTATATCAGGCTTGGTATGAAGCTACAGAAAGGACCACAAAGAGTTCCCTTTGTTTAGACTTCCATACTCTGTCTCAGTTGCTCTTTATTTTTTCTTACATAGAGAGAAAAACATGCAAGAAGCAAAGTGCAAGACTTAGAATTGTATTTACCCACAAGAGTTGTAATGAAACACAGGCCCTCAGAAGAAAAACTGGAATTGAATTCTTCTGTATTCTGCTCCCCATCTAACCCTGGCATTAGTACCAAAGAGTCAGTCATGTTACTGAGTCAAAACTCCTGAGGCCTTAGAGAGAGAGGGAGAGCATTTACTGAGTGCCGCTCTGGGCCAGGCACCAGCAGGCCCTGCACATAAGTTACCTCATTTAATCTTTGCAGCAACCCAGAGGGGTTATTATATTCGTCTCTTGAATGAAGAAACTCACTGAAAGAGTTTATGCCTTTCTGAATTCTAGAATGCATTTTAAATGGCTGTACATACAATTAGATAGTATAAAATAGACAAGGAAACCAGAGCAAAGAGACCTTAAAGCTAGGAAAATAAAAGTGATATTAAACAGTTTGTGCAGGTATGTTTTTATTGGTTTGTTTGCTGTGTGACTCACACAGTATTCTACATGAAAGTGGTCCACTTATGAGTGAGTGCTGAAAGGAATATTGAATTGAAGTCTCCCCTCTAAAGCTTCAGAGTAACCAGTAAGATTTTGTTTTCATTGCATCTGACAGCTCCTCTTTTTGTACCTGGCAAAGTCAGGCTCTTGGAATGCCAGTTCTAAGAATTAAGGGTGAAGTCTGTGTGGCGCATACCAAGGCTCCCGTGGAGGGAATCTTAATACTTCCTAAGAGTTTTAAAAGAGGATAGATTGTTCTAGCACCAAGTGAGCCTGAGGCCTGAGCTCACAGCCAATTCTTTAGGCCTCACAACCCCACCTGGTGGAGAGTCCAGTCTGTGCTATGAGAACAGGTTCAGAACGCAGGTGACCTGAACCTGTGAACGCTACCCTGTGAACGCTGTCTGCTGGAAATCAGTTTTCTTCAACATGAACTGTACTCCCTCTTTTCATTTTTTAGAAGGGACAGATTCTCCATTATCTCGAGACTGGCGGCCAGGGAGCCCTGGAACCTATCTGGAGACCTCATGGGAAGAACAGCTGTTGGAACAACAAGAATATTTAGAAAAAGAAATGGAGGAAGCAAAGAAAATGATATCAGGACTACAGGTAGCTCTCTCCCTTGTAGTTTGCCCTTGTTATACCAATTGATTATTAAGTCAGTATTATCAATGGAAAATAAACTGATTTTAGTTTTCTAGGAGGTCAGAACTGAATGAGGAGTTTAGATATAGGGAATAGCACAGAAAGAGCAGAAAATTCCTTATATTTGAATACTTTAAATGGACTTTGTGGGCTACCGTTCATAGCACAGCGCTTAAGATTTCAGCAAGCCCAGGAGCCATTACTGACCCTTATCAAGTCCTTATTGTTGACTCTGTGCTACATAGGTGGGCTTCTACCCTGTATGTGGCTGCAGACCTGCAATTGCAGCTTTCACCAAAGAATGGCACTGTGAATAGTCTGGGATTTTCTTCTAGGAATTCTCTAGCAGGAAGAGTGTAAGAGCCAGTAATGCTGCCAGGTTTCCATTTGAATTTAGCTAAGGGATTTAGCTCACTCCTAATACATGTGCAAATGGATGCCAAGGCATAATGGTCAGGTAGAAGAGGTTTACTTTGAGCAACAAAGCCCTTCAGTTTTTCCTATACCTGTAGTGCCAGCTCGGCAAATCTACCCGAGACTGACCCACTTGACATAGTTCCCACCCTGAGTGACCCCCTCATTCTTGTCTTTGTGTGTCTGTCTCTGTTTGGGGGAGCGCTTATAGTGTGCTGATGACCCTGAAATTGCCTAGGAATATTCCTTTCTGTTTGTGCTGGGAACTGCAGTGCTTCTGAATTGTCAAATATTTATGGACACGTAAACAAAGCCCACATTATGTGTGTGGCTCTGGCAGCCGGCAGGCGGTGGAGGGCGTGCTCCCAGCTAGCCTGCAACAGGGTGGGGACACAAAAGATTCCTAAAGAAGAAAGGAGATTGGTGCTGTGGCAAAGCAATTTGCATAACGTATGCCCCAGGAACTGAGAAGTGTGGGAGGAATGTTGCCTGCGTAAACATTCCCAAAGAAAGTTGTTGGTTTTCCTTCATTTGCTCTGTATTTTTAAAATGGCTGGCTTATGAGGCCTTTTAGATCTCTTTTCTGCCACTCCATTAACAAATACCTTAATGGAATGTTTTTGTGTGTGTTTTACTTGCATAGGAAGTATGTCATGGAGAACTTTGAGATTATACCCAACCAGGTTGTTCCCAGGATAATTTGCATTATATGAACATAGATATTCATCAGTTTGGCTCAAAGTTTGTTTGCATTTTCTTAGTCTGGGAGAAATTCGATGGCAGATTAGACAGAAAAAGAAGAGAAATGACAGGCAGAAAGTCAGCATCTTAATATTTCCTGCAAACAGAAGAGTTTTAATTCACAGCCACATGATCACAATGAGAATTTGGTTCCATTGTAGAATACAAAAGGGCTCACAGCATCCACTGGGCTTCTTAACTCTTTTCAGTGATTAACAAGTTGCTTGCTAAGCCACATCCAAGATTTCTGACTTATTAGTATTCCTTAGTTAGAACCCTTTGAACAGTTTGCTGTTATAGTTGATATTTCCATAATGTTGAATGCCCTTAGCTCCCCGCGGCCCTGGCTTCTTATATATGTCTGTACCTGTTGCCATGACTGGTGAGATAGCAAAATTCATTTGACTTACTCAAATTTTATTATAAAATGGGGTCACATTTTTCAGTCTTTCACTGACCTGATAGATACTCACCTGCAGGGACAGATCCAAGTTTTGTGAGTCCTCACATATATAATTTGTGTGTGTGCAGGGGGGCTTCTTAAAGAATAAGATTACAAAATTATGAATATAATAATTAGGTATAGGCAACGCATGGTGGGCCACACCTGTAACCCCAGCACTTTGGGAGGCTGAGGCGGGTGGATTGCTTGAACTCACAGGTTTGAGACCAGCCTGGGCAATATGGCAAAACCCTTGTCTTTACTAAAAATACAAAAATTAGCCGGGTGTGGTGGCGCATGCCTCTAATCCCAGCTACTAGGAGGCTGAGACATGAGACTTGCTTGAACCCTGGATTGCAGTGAGCCAAAATCGGGCCACCGCACTCCAACCTGGGTGACAAAGTGAGACTCTGTCTCCAAATATTATAATAATAACAATAATAATTAGGTATAGGACCTTGGGAGAGGCAATGCATGCGGGGGGCCTACAGCTGGAGCTTTCTTAGCTTCATGGTAAATCTGCCTCCCTATTCCACCTACGTATATTCTAATGAAAACCACCTGGGTCAGGAGCTGAAATGAATGAGGACATCTCTCTGCAAATGTGTTTTCCTTCTTGTTCAATAGAGGTTGCTTTAGGGAGTAAAAATGCAGAATCAGTAAAACAAAGAAAAATCAAACAAACCCAAGTGAGTGCTCCAAATGTATTCCAAATAATTCATTATAATACTCATTTCTAAGCCGTGATGATTCTACACTGCTTTTAGATCATTTTCTCCCTGGTAAAATTGAGTTTGAGCAGCTCCAGTTTGAAATGTGTTGTGTCTCTTTTGAAAAAAAGGTTTGTTTTTAGATTTTCTTCTGGGGCCAAGGCACCTTGAAGCAGAGCAGTCAGGTGTCCAGAGAGCTGAAAGAGCCAGAGCATGGACCTAACGAAAGGAACTAGTCCCAGGGTGAGCAATGGGAAGTATCTAAGGAGCAAAAATTACCAACGAAATGTCTTGAGGAGGCTGAGTTGTGATTTTAACTTGGGGTGAGCTTACCAAGTTCAACTCTGGACTAAGTCATCTGAAGGAGAGTTAAGTTTCTTTCTGCCTTTGTGGTTATTCAGGCCTTACTGCTCAATGGATCCTTACCTGAAGATGAACAGGAGAGGCCCTTGGCCCTCTGTGAACCAGGTGTCAATCCCGAGGAACAACTGGTGAGCTCCATCTTTTGTGATTGGACACTAAATCTGTATGTATTTTACTTGTATTTAGCATTTGACACTGCTGTTCATGCCTTCTTGAAATGCTGTCTTCCTTGACCAGTTCTGGTTTTCCTCCTACATTTTTGACCATTGTTTCCTTCTTCATTCATTTAATAAACAAATATTTATTGAGTGCTGACTATATGCCAGACCCTATTTCAACATGCTGGAGATATGGTAGTAACAAAACAGATCTAAGACCCGACCCTTATGGAGTTTACATTCAAGGTCTCTTTGAAGCTTCTCGTTTTCTGCTTGTGCCTTTAATGTTGGTGTTCCTCAGCATTCCAGTCTAGGCCCTCATGTGTCTTAAACATTAACCTGGGCGGTAGTATCTGCCTCCAGTTCTTCACTCACTTCCCTCTTGCTTCTCATGTATTTATTTCCAGCTCAGCTCTTGCTATGGATTTCTAGATTTATGTATGCAATATGCAACTGCCTACTTATTATCTCCACTTGTAAGTCCCATAAGCATCTCAATTTCAGTGAGTCCTAAATTAAAGTGTTTCTGTCCTCTGCCCAACCACCAAAGCTACTTGTCCTTTTGGATATCTGTTTTGGATACCAAAATGCGCCAAACAGAAATCTGAATGTTGTCCTTGAATCCTTTCCCTCTACATACTTCCCTGTACATCCAGTCAGTCACCAAGTTTTACCAGTTTACATTTCTAATTTCTTTATCCAGTTTTCTCCATTCTCACAGCCACTTGAAAATCAAGCCTCCATCCAGTATTCTAACAGCCTTCTCACTGGTTTTCCTGATTCCTCTCCTGTCTTCCCCTAATTAAGTTTTTGTAAAACAGCAAGAATAATTTGCCTTAAAGACAAACTTCATTTTGTAACCCTTCTGCATACAACTTTTCATTGATTCCCCATTGCCCTCACTGGCCTTTCTTGATCTCGCCCTGATATTTCTCTCCAAATTCATCTCTTGCCATTTCTTCTTCCCTTTACCCCACCCCCTCCCCTGCACCCAACCCCCACCCCATACTTATTCTTTTTTTTTTTTTTTGAGACAGAGTCTTGCTCTGTTGCCCCAGGCTGGAGTGCAGTGGCACGATCTTGGCTCACTGCAACCTCTGCCTCCCGGGTTCAAGTGATTCTCCTGCCTCAGCCTCCCAAGCAGCTGGGATTACAGGTGTGCACCACCACACCTGGCTAATTTTTGTGTTTTTAGTAGAGATGGGTTTCACCATGTTGGCCAGGCTGGTCTCTAACACCTGACCTCAAGTGATCTGCCTGCCTCGGCCTCCCAAAGTGCTGGGATTACAGATGTGAGCCACCACGCCTGGCCCACCCATACTTATTCTAAGCTTTATCCATATAGATCTACTTGCTACTTGATGCATATACTTACATCAGAGAGCAGGAACTGTTTCCTGTTCTTTGTATCCACAGTACAGAGCTGGCATCTAGTAGTGCTCAATAAATATTTGTTGAATGAGTGGCTCTGTACTTCACAGCATAGGTGCTTAGCCATCTCTGTTTGTCTTATATTCAGATTATAATCCAAAGTCGTCTGGATCAGAGTATGGAGGAGAATCAGGACTTAAAGGTATGTCAAGACATGTACATTTTACCCCTTAAAAACATTATGGGGGCCAGGCACGGTGGCTCGCGCCTGTAATCCCAGCACTTTGAGAGGCCGAGGCGGGCAGATCACAAGGTCAGGAGATCGAGACCATCCTGGCTAACATGGTGAAACCCCGTCTCTACCAAAAATACGAAAAATTAGCTGGATGTGCTGGCACACGTCTGTAGTCCCAGCTACTCGGGAGGCTGAGGCAGGAGAATTGCTTGAACCTGGGAGGAGGAGGTTGCAGTGAGCAGAGATCGTGCCACTACACCCCAGCCTGGGCAACAAAGTGAGACTCCATCTCAAAAAAAAAAAACACCATTATGGGACTATTACACAACTTCAAGAGGGAAAGGGATTTCAGAATTGGAATCTTTCCTGTATCTGTATTATGTCTTTACTTGAAAGAGAGAGATACATCCCAAATATGTCAGGAAGGTAATAACTTTTTAATCCTGGTGGTAGGTAATAGAATTTCGGTGTCATTATTGGTTGTACCATTCTATATGTTTGAAATATTTCATGGTTTTTATTCTTTAATTAAAAGAAAAAATGTATCTAATACCAGTACAGTCTTTTTTTATAAATACTTCTCAGAATTCTTTTAGGTCAGTGATTCCTAGCTTTTCTTTTGGTCATAAGTCTATGAGTAAAGACATTAACCCTCTCCCTAGAAGTATGCATGTATGTTTGCACTCATACTCATAGACATGAATTTTTTTTTTTTTTTTTGAGACAGAGTTTGGCTCTGTCACCCAGGCCGGAGTGCAATGGTGCAGCCTCAGCTCACTGCAACCTCTGCCTCCTGGGTTCAAGCGATTCTCCTGCCTCAGCCTCCCAAGTAGCTGGGACTACAGGCGCCCGCCACCATACCTGGCTAATTTTTGTATTTTTAGTAGAGATGGGGTTTCACTATGTTGGCCAGGCTTGTCTTGAACGGCTGACTTCGTGGTCCGCCTGCCTTGGCCTCCCAAAGTGCTGGGATTACAGCGTGAGCCACTGTGCCTGGCCGACATGAATTTTTAATAGAGCAACTTTTATTTATTTGTTTTGTTTTGTTTGTTTGTTTTTTGAGACAGAGTCTCACTCTGTCACCCAGGCTGAGTGCCATGGCACGATCATGGCTAACTGCAGCTTCGACCCCCCAGTCTCAAGCGATCCTCCCACCTCAGCCTCCCTAGTAGCTGGGGCTTCAGGAACACACCACCATACCTGGCTAATTTTTGTGTTTTTTGTATAGATTGCTCTCGCCTTGTTGCCTAGGCTGGTCTTGAACTCCTGGACCCAAGTGATTCTCCCATCTTGGCCTCCCAAAGTGCTGGGATTATAGGCATGAACCACTGTGCCCAGCCTAATAGAGCAACTTTTGAGCCCATCTGTGGAGTCCAAGTTACAGATCCCCATTTTAGATATGTTAATTGCAAAATCTTGATGTGATACAATAGGAAGAGAAGAGATTGGGGTCTGTGTTATGGTTGTTCCCCTTCTAAAATCTATTTCCTAGTGACAATCGTATACATATATTTTATCTATTGTAAGGGAATGTTAATTACTCAGTATTTCATTATTAGGCTAAATGTGTTTTTGTTTGGCCCACAAAGAACAATACCCTCTTGGATCAGAAACACTCCAACCCTTTGCTAAACATTAAAAATAGGGATAATTATTTAATGACATTGGGGGTAGGCATATTTAGATATGATCATATATTCAGTGAGAAGGATTTAGATTATTATAATTAGGTTTTCCTGTTGGTGAAGATTGCTAAATATAGAAATGAGAGCCTATGGGAATTATGGGGTATCTTCTTTCTTGGCAACTCTTCTCTACCTGAGCAGTTAAGCCTGGGTGCCAACAGGGAAGAACGGAATGGTTCTCTTCTTGTTTCTGTGGATCAGCCTGTACTGCTCACTGAACCAGAGCTGTTTTCTGCCTTAGTAGAGGGTTAATTTTTCACGGAATGATCAACTGGGTTTTGTCCTCTTGCCGACAGAATGAGGTAATGCATTCTGAAGCAACCCAGATGTCACCATCTGATCTAACTATATTTGGTTTGCAGAAGGAACTGCTGAAATGTAAACAAGAAGCCAGAAACTTACAGGGGATAAAGGTAAAAAAGAAGACATTTAATTCTTTAAATAAAGTCTCTGCAATGTAAAGTAGTCTGTTGGTGAGTGGTGAGAGTTGGAATTTTCTGTGGACCTTTAATAGCTCTGTGCTATTGGTAAAGAAAGGGCTTTGTGGGAGGGAAGTGAGACATGTCGAGGAATATACCTTTGTTTTGCTGAGGCTTATTTCTAGTAGTTATGATTCATGTTGCTACCATTTCCATCTGTTCCACCCTGATTGTCTCTATATGTAAAAGAATCCTCTTCAGTGTGAAAGAATGTCCTCTAGGGCCGGGCGCGGTGGCTCACGCCTGTAATCCCAGCACTTTGGGAGGCCGAGGCAGGCGGATCACGAGGTCAGGAGTTCGAGACCAGCCTGGCCAACATGGTGAAACCCCATCTCTACTAAAAATACAAAAAATTAGTCGGGCGTGGTGGCAGGCACCTGTAATCCCAGCTACTTGGGAGG
This sequence comes from Homo sapiens, assembly GCF_000001405.40. NCBI lineage: Eukaryota > Metazoa > Chordata > Mammalia > Primates > Hominidae > Homo > Homo sapiens. The sequence goes on from NC_000011.10 coordinate 111,989,523, forward strand.
CTGAGGCAGGAGAATCGCTTGAACCCAGGAGGCAGAGGTTGCAGTGAGCTGAGATCATGCCATTGCACTCCAGCCTAGGTGACAGGGTGAGACTCCGTCTCGGAAAAAAAAAAAAAAAAGGAATGTCCTTTAAAAAAATTGTTATTTACTTTGTTTTTGAATAGTTAACTAACATTCAAATCATTTTAAAGGTATAAAAAGATAAACCATGAAGTGTCTGCCTGCCAGCCCTGTCCCATCAGTCATCTAGTTCTCTTTCCTAGAGGCATCTTTTTTTTTTTTTTGAAACGGAGTCTCGCTCTGTTGCCCAGGCTGGAGTGCAGTGGCGCAATCTTGGCTCACTGCAAGCTCTGCCTCCTGGGTTCATGCCATTCTCCTGCCTCAGCCTCCCAAGTAGCTGGGTCTACAGGTGCCCGCCACCACGCCCGGCTAATTTTTTGTATTTTTTTAGTAGAGACGGGGTTTCACCGTGTTAGCCAGGATGGTCTCCATCTCCTGACCTTGTGATCTGCCCGCCTTGGCCTCCCAAAGTGCTGGGATTACAGGTGTGAGCCACCGCGCCCGGCCTTTTTTTTTTTTTAATGTTGACATGGAGTCTCACTCTGTCGCCCAAGCTGGAGTGCAGTGGCGTGATCTTGGCTTACTGCAATCTCCGCCTCCTGGGTTCAAGCGATTCTCCTGCCTCAGCCTCCCGAGTAGCTGGGATTACAGGTGCGCACCATCACACCCAGCTAATTTTTGTATTTTGAGTAGAGACTGGGTTTTAGCATGTTGGCCAGGCTGGTCTTGAACTCCTGACCTCAGGTGATCCACCTGCCTCGGCCTCTCTAAGTGCTGGGATTACAGGTGTGAGCCACCACGCCCGACCTCCTAGAGGCATCTTAACAGTTATCAGCACATTTGTGTCTACATCGCTTTCCCCCACGGTTTTACCCAAATGGTAATATACTAGAAATAAAACTTGACACCTTGCTTTTTTTCACTTAGTAGTATATCTTCGAGCTCATTCTATGTCAGTAGTACATAAAGACTTTCCTAGGTCTTTTTTATGGCTGCATAGTATTCCATTGTATTCCACTGTATACATACATATATATGCTAAATGATTTATTATACATGATAATTTCTAGTCTTTTGCTAATATAAACAATGATCTAACAGCCTTGAATATATGGTTTTTTTGTGTTGTTTTGTTTTTTCTGAGATGGAGTCTTGCTCTGTCGCCCAGAGCTGGAGTGCAATGGTATGATCTCAGCTCACTGCAACCTCCACCTCCCGAGTTCAAGCAATTCTCCTGACTCAGCCTCCCGAGTAGCTAGGATTACAGGCGTGTGCCACCATGCCCAGCTAATTTTTGTGTTTTTGGTAGAGACGGGGTTTCACCATGTTGGCCAGGCTGGTCTCGAACTCCTGACCTCGTGATCCGCCTGCCTTGGCCTCCAAAAGTGCTGGGATTACAGGTGTGAGCCACCATGCCGAGCCTGAATATATGTTATTTCACCCAAATGGGAGTATATCTGTGCAATAATACCTAGAAGTAGAAGAGGATGTTTTTAAGTGGCTGCTTTTCCCCTCTTCCTTGCACATCCGTTCATGGGCTAGACTATTCACTCAGCAACATTTTCCAAGGTATATTCCGTAGGCTTAGTACTTTTGAAACACTTTAAAAAACAAATGTGTTCCACGGTCAGATAAGTTTGAGAAATGCTCTGCTGTCCTGAAGACTCACTGTGAATAATAACATGTAAAGGATCTGAAAAGGTCTGTCATAAAGAGGTTGGCCTAAAAATGATTTAGAATTAATAACCACAGAAGTGTCTTTTCTCCCATGTAACATCATGTGGCACATTAATGTCCCATGGAGCACATTTTGGGAAATATTCCTTTGAACTACTGATGCCAAGGGCATCTTAGACTTCCTTTACCATGTACTGTCATGGCAGAGTGTATAATTAAGAATGGGCTCCCACATTCTTCAGAGTCTGTACCCTTTCTTTGCAGTCTGTAAAGAGAGAAAAGTCAGGACAAATATATTAGAATGCAGCCCTAGTCCATTAGTTCCATTTGAAGTCACCATGGTTGATGGAATATGTCATAACTGTCCTTATAAGCAAGGATATCCAGCTCACCTTTTGTTAGGCTTGATAGGAACCAAGAGGGTTCAAGCTGAGGGAAAGAAAGCCTAATGCTATTAAGATCATAGGAAATTGGGAAGAGGGATCATGAATCAAAGAACAGTTATGCTCAGTGGAAATATAATTCTAATCCTGGTCCAGACTAGGCATTGGAAGCCATTGGAAGCAGGATAGCAGCAAGGCTCTGGAAGCCAGCATGGGAGTGATTTCAGGGATTCTTTAACAACAGAGTGGCGGGCATGAATAGGGCCCATCTCTCCAGGAAATGGGGACTGGGCAGAGAGGTAGAAGGAAAAACAGCTAATCTAGATTGAGTATTTATATGCCCAAGATATAAATGAGAAAGCCCAGGTGGGAGAAAGTAGAGTGCATTGTCCAAGGCTGACATCACAAAAGTAGTAAGTGGTAGGTTTATAATTTGAATCTACGTCTATCTGATCCCAAAGTCCAGTCTTTCTCTCTCGAATACACCATGCTGTCAGGATTGAGGGTGGGGACAAATAGTAAGCAGAGAAAAAAAATCAGGCTTCAGTAAGTTTCATAGAACAGTGGATAGGATTTTGCTCTGGATGCTAGTTTCCTAGAGGGGGACAGAAAAACCCCTCCTCAGCAACTCGTGGCAAGACCCTTTACCCCATTTGTCTTCCAGTCTGCCATAACGAATGCTGGAAACACATTAAAGGCTTTAGTAATTTGTAATAATAACTGGCTGATTGATGAACTGAGACAACAATAATTAGTATGCTTTTTCCCCTAGGATGCCTTGCAGCAGAGATTGACTCAGCAGGACACATCTGTTCTTCAGCTCAAACAAGAGCTACTGAGGGCAAATATGGACAAAGATGAGCTGCACAACCAGAATGTGAGTTAAATGAATGAGCCTTGACCTCAGTGAGCCCCATTAGCAGAACAGGCTACTGCACGAAGAACTATTAGACTGGCCATCCTAATCTCTTATCTTGCTTCTGGGATGCCTGCCTTAAGTGTCTGCAGTTATTTTTATTCCCCATTAGACTCATCTCTGTTCCTAGGTGAAAGCCCACATCATACTGGGCAGGAAGGTCCTTGATCTCCTCTTCAACTTTGAGGACACTGAGATACAGAGGCAAAATTGTGGTTCTACAGTCTAATTACTTCACTAAAAATGTGGAGAGCAGCTGTGTATTTTTACCATCATACCCTCTCTGTGCTGCATACTGTAACTGCCAACATTAACTGGTTACTAAGTAGCTGGTTTCCTTGAGGGTTAGCAGGCAGTACCTGCGTGCCATGAATTCTTTCTTATTCTTGCAGGTGGATCTGCAGAGGAAGCTAGATGAGAGGAACCGGCTCTTGGGAGAATATAAAGTAAGAATGAATATCAGTTTGGAAATGACTTCCACTGACTTTTCATGAACAGCCCGTTATTGTTGCTCAAAAAGCACTTAAGTATTCTATTTTCATCCTTTTTGATTTTTTTTTATCCTTGCTTTTTAGAAGGAAGCATTTTTCTGTGTCCCCTGATGCACTAGCTCTGAAGAATAGATGGCACAGCTAGGAGAAGGAGTACAGGACTAGGGGTCTAGAAACTTCAGTTCTAGTCTTACCTTTATCTCTGACTAGTATGAATGGCTCATAGTGGTCCTCCTACAAATGCCAGTTCCCTTCTTCATTACTCTTGAAGAATCCTTTGCACTATGTAAGATTATTATGGTGTGTAAAGTCTTCCTGGTATATTTGAGGAAAGGACTTTTTTTCCTGAGGCTCTACTTTACTTGAGTGGAAGTTACACTGCAGAGGGTGAACTTTTCAGTGTCCCTGGTTTTGCCGCTCATCTTAAAGCTCTATCTTTATTGCAGAAAGAGCTGGGGCAGAAGGATCGCCTTCTTCAGCAGCACCAGGCCAAGTTAGAAGAAGCACTCCGGAAACTCTCTGATGTCAGTTACCACCAGGTCAGAACATATTCAGCCACTGACTTCCCTGCCTCTTTGGCCCAAAGAAATCATTTTCTGATTTAGTGTCTATTTTGCAGGTGGATCTAGAGCGAGAGCTAGAACACAAAGATGTCCTCTTGGCTCACTGTATGAAAAGAGAGGCAGATGAGGTAACCTAGACCCCGTGTTCTCCCTCCCACATTTATGAAGCAAACGGGGAGATTGTGTTTCTGACTCAGAGCTGAACCAAGGCCACAGGCTTGTTTGTTAGGAGGCTCTATGATGAGCTAGTTAAAAGTGCAGGTTCCAGAATAAGAAAATCTGGTTTCACGTTCCACCTTTATCACTCCTACATTCTGTGGCCTTCAGTTGCTTATCTTCTGAGCCTTAGAAATAGGGCTTATTTGGAAAATGGAAATAATAGTGATTCAGTCTGTCATTATGAAGAGTATATGAGATAATCCACATAAATAACTAAACACAGTTCTGTTGGAGCCACTTGGCATAGAGTCAGGCTCAAAAAATATTCACCATGGCCTGGCACAGTGGCTCACATCTGTAATCCTAGCACTTTGGGAGGCCAAGGCAGGTGGCTAACTTGAGGTCAGGAGTTTGAGACCAGCCTGGCCAATGTGGTGAAACCTCGTCTCTACTAAAAATTACAAAAATTAGCCAGGCGTGGTGGTGGATGCCTGTAGTCCCAGCTACTCAGGAGGCTGAGGCAGGAGAATAGCTTGAACCCGGTGGGTAGAGGTTGCCATGAGCTGAGATCATGCCACTGCACTCCAGCCTGGGTGACAGATCAAAAAACAAAACAAAACAAAACATACATATATATATATATTCATACATACATATATATACACTCACACATATATATACATACACACATATACACATATATACATATATATACACACACATATATACATACATATATAACCATACATATATATGTATATGTGTGTATATGTATATGTATGTATATATGTATATGTATGTATGTATGTGTATATTATGTATGTATATGTATGTATGTATATGTATGTGTATATATATGTATGAATATATATATATGTGTGTGTGTATATATATATATTCACCATTATTTTTAAATTACTGAAGCAAAGCCAGGCAGTGCTGGAGCAGCATTCTGAGGCTCTCCAGTGCTGTGGCAGAGGCTAGGTTGGGGCCTCCAGGTGGAGGTTAGCATTTCCTTTATTCACATCCAACAATGCGTACTAAGTGTCAAGTGCTGGGCATACAGCAGTGACCAAAAGGGGAAAAAAAATCTATACTTAAGAAAGATACATTCTAATAAAGAGAGCCATTAAACAGACAATTATATACTTCATCAGGAAGTGATAAATGTAAAGAAGAAAAATAAGATAGCACATCTGGTTTACAATTCTCCCTTTAACAAGCAACATTTCTTCATGCTGCTGTAGGCGACCAACTACAACAGTCACAACTCTCAAAGCAATGGTTTTCTCCTTCCAACGGCAGGAAAAGGAGCTACTTCAGTCAGCAACAGAGGGGTACGTACCTGGAGTTTTGATGGAGTCCTGCCACTTCTCACTGAAACCAGAAGAGTGCCAAAGCCATGGCCAGTGGATGAGGCCTTTTATATTCCAGTTCCCTAATTCCTGGATCTGTGGAGTGTGTAAAGATGTGAGGCACTTGCTATCCAAAATTAAGAATTAGTGGGCAAACCATAGGCCTGCTTCTGTGGGGGAAAAATCTTCTGGAAACTTCTCTCCTATATCCTTTTAAGCCCAGTGGTTGGGAAGTGGCACCGTGCCATGCCAGCAACACCTTATTTTTGCCCACAGACCAGCGACCTGCAGCTTGTTCGAGATGCTCTCCGCAGCCTGCGCAACAGCTTCAGTGGCCACGATCCTCAGCACCACACTATTGACAGCTTGGAGCAGGGCATTTCTAGCCTCATGGAGCGCCTGCATGTTATGGAGACGCAGAAGAAACAAGAAAGAAAGGTAACCCTCTTGCTGTGGTATCTCTCTTAGGCAAGCTCCTGAGAAAGCTGGGTTTTAAGAATTTTAATTGAGATGAAGGCAGTGTGAAGAGATACAAGACCCTGTTAAAGGTTAGAGTTGTTTTTCTCTATTGTTTTTTCTCTCAGTGGAACTGACTATTCATCATGGTATGACAATCCAGAGAAGAAGTTCATGGTCATACTTGCTCCCAGCAACTGTAGCTGTGTAAAGATTGTGGCTCTTGACCCCACAGGGTCTCCCTTTACGCTTCTTCCCCTCCCACCTACCCCTGATTGAGCTTGGCCTTGGATGAGAAAATATACGGAAAATGCACTGGAAACCAGAAAGCCTTTCATATATATTATTATTGTTAGGATAAATATATTAGATTTTATATGTTGTGGAAGAGATGGTAGAAAAGTATGTAGTATTTTAAGCACACTTTTATGATTTAAATTTCTTGGTTAAGTTCTCTCATTGATCATAACTCTTGTGATTTTTGTGTGGCTCCCCAGGTTCGGGTCAAGTCACCCAGAACTCAAGTAGGTAGTGAATACCGGGAGTCCTGGCCCCCTAACTCAAGTAAGTACCCATTTTTGCTCAGTAGGGACTCCTAGCATATTAGACCAGAAATTTAGTATTTTTCACACTACATTTTGGGGATGTAATTTTTCTTGTAGTACTTCACTTTTATACTATTTTGTTTCTGTAGCAATACTGCAATTGAGTTAGTTCTAAGACTATGAAGACATATGCCATCACCACCCCCAGTGCCATTTAGCCACGTGCAGGCAGGATGCTGTTGACTCAGAGAGGCTAAAATATCTTTGAAGAACACAGAAGCTCAAAAGATTTATGCTGAAAAAGCAAAATATAAAACAACAAAAACACATACATACGTAAATTTTTCTACACTCCCAAACAGCACAAAAAAAATTTCCACTTCTTCCTTGAAGCAAGGCGTTTAATTTCTTTGGAGATATTCTTAAAACTTTGAGTGCTCAGGCCGGGCGCGGTGGCTCACGCCTGTAATCCCAGCACTTTGGGAGGCTGAGGTGGGTGGATCACCTGAGGTCAGGAGTTCAAGACCAGCCTGGCCAACATGGTGAACCCCATCTCTATTAAAAATACAAAAATTAGCCAGGTGTGGTGGCACACGCCTGTAATCCCAGCTACTCATGAGGCTGAGGCAAGAGAATCACTTGAACCCAGGAGGTGGAGGTTGTGGTGAACCCAGATTGCGCCATTGCACTCCAGCGTGGGTGACAGAGTAAGACTCCATCTCAAAATAAAATAAAAACTTTGAGTGCTTAAGGCGTTTAGTTTAAGTCCTGCAAAATGTTTGCACCATCTAATGGCCATGGCTAGGAAGTGTATTTTAACCTGCTCCGTGCCCACTCTATATTTTTTCCCATTTGTTCAAACTTGTTGGAAAGCTACCCTGCCTGGTAATTTCTATTTTAGTTTGTATTTTGCCTTTTGTGGCTTAGTAATGTTCATGTTTTCTTATCTTTTAATCAGGCCTAATCAAAAGGTATCTAATAATTTATAAAAACCAAATAGTAAAAAGCTGACTAGAAACAGTTTTGTATGTTACATATAAATTTTTAAAAGCACATTAAGAAACCTAAAGTAAAAATCTGAAAATACTTGCAAAAATATGAAATGTAAAATTTTTTTGTGGAGTAAATAAAATAGCATTTCAAACCTCTGATCCCAGATATCTTTTCCTCTTGGATGAGGTTATCTATGCTGGGAATGAAACAAATTTTTTTTTTTTAGCGGCGGGGGATGGAGTTTCACTCTTGTTGCCCAGGCTGGAGTGCAGTGGCGCAATCTCTGTTCACTGCAACCTCTGTCTCCCGGGTTCAAGCAATTCTTCTGCCTCAGGCTCCCCAGTAGCTGGGATTACAGACGTGCACTACCACGCCTGGCTAATTTTTGTATTTTTAGTAGAGATGGGGTTTCGCCATGTTGGCAATGAATTATTTTATTACCAGAATTAGTTTCAGTTTCCTTTTCTAGCAGTGTTTCAAAATAGTCATTTCTATTGTTTGTAGAGGATTATTATTATTATTTTATTCATTGATTTCTTCAGATTAGTGTAAACTGCCAATATAAATAGGTGTAAATACTTAGAAATTTCTTTTTTAAGTACAATAAATTCCCCCCCAAAAAATTACTTTGTGCATATATAGTATTTATTTAAAGTACTACAAATAAATCTATAGCTGCTTGAAAACTAAGATGTTAATCTAATGCTTCCAGTGATAACTGTATTCACAAATAAGCTGAAATATCTCTTATCTGAAAATACAAAAATCTGTGTAACTTCTGCCAGCTCTCTAGCTACTGACTTATTTCTCTTACTCCTGTACATCAAAATTCTTAAAAGAAGAGTCTATATTTGCTCTCTTTTCTTCCTCACTTCCTGTTCACTACTCAGCCCACTACAGTCTTTTATCTGTTACTTTGCTTAGTGTTCTTCTTGTTGGGTCTCTGTTGACTTTCTTGTCGCCTAATCAAGTGGTTACTTTTTAAACCTTATCTTTCATTGTCTTTTCAAAAGCATTTACTATTCTCTAAAAGTCTCCTGGAAACTTTCTTCTTCTTCAGTTTCAGTGTCATTCAGATATTCATTTAACATATTTACTAAGCATCCATTATTCACCATCAATGTTAGATGCTGGAGATATAGAGATGAAGAGGTTAGACTTGGCACTTGCAGGTAGTGAAGTAAATACCTGAGTTTTCCTTCTAGTCCCTCTTGAATCTCCTTTTATTCTGCTCTAATTCTTGAATGTTGATGTGTCCTGGGATTCCATCCAATTGAAGCCTAAACCTAAGCCTTTTCATATTGTCTTTGGCGTCAGGTGACCTCTTCCACTCCCCTGGCTTTAACTACACTTGTGTGCCGATAATTTTTATGTTTTATCTCAAATCTCAGTTATTTTCTGAGCTTCAGTACTATTTTTTATTTTTATTTTTATTTACTTTGAGACAGAGTCTCGCTCTGTTGCCCAGGCTGGAGTGCAATGGCGTGATCTCGACTCACTGCAAGCTCTGCCTCCAGGGTTCAAGTGATTCTCCTGCCTCAGCCTCCTGATTACAGGCGCCCGCCACCACGCCCGGCTAATTTTTTGTATTTTAGTAGAGACAGGGTTTCACTGTGTTGCCCAGGCTGGTCTTGAACTCTTGAGCTCAGGCAATCCACCCACCCCGGCCTCCCAAAGTGCTGGGATTACAGGCGTGAGCCACCGCGCCTGGCCTAGTACTATATTTTTAAATGTAAACTAGATATCTCTCTCTGTAGGTCCCAAGGCACTGTAAAGTCATGTCCAAAACTGGACACAAAACAATAGAGAGGGAAAAATACAGAATATACAATCAAACAGATCTAGGGTACAATTTGGGCTGCACCATTCAGCACAGTGTGTGACCATGGGCAAGAATGTTAATGTCACTGAATCTTAGTTTCCTTTTTTATGGAACCAAAGTAATATTGAAGAATTTGAGCATTAAATGAAATACATAGAAATCATCTAGTGTACTGTGGAGCATATGAGAGATGCAAGGCAAATGTTTCTCATTCCCCTCTGGCTGTGCCCTTTCTCTTTCAATATAATTAAATTTCCTGAAAGAGTATTGTACTTTCTGAACCCACTTCCTTTCTTGCCATTTACTCTTAAGGGAAAACAATAATTATTTCAGATTTAAAATAAAACAGTAGATTAGTGAAATCAAATTGAGAGTTCAGATAAAAACCCATATAACCAGAGAATGTTCTTTTCAACCAATGGTGCTTGGGACAACTGGATATTTCCATGAAATGGGACCCCCTACTTCACACCATATACAAAAGTTAACTCAGACTATAGATCAGTGACTTAAATGTAAGAGCTTAAAGCTATAAAGTTCTTAGAAGAAAACATAGAGAAAAATATTCATGACCTTGGATTTGGCAGTGGATTCTTAGGACATCAAAAGCATGAGCAACAAAAGAAAAAAGATAAAATTGGGCTGGGCGCAGTGCCTTATGCCTGTAATCCCAGCACTTTGGGAGGCTGATGTGGGTGTATCACCTGAGGTTGGGAGTTTGAGACCAGCCTGGCCAACATGGTGAAACCCTGTCTCTGCTAAAAATACAAAAATTAGGTGGGCGTGATAGTGGGCACCTGTAATCCCAGCTACTTGGGAGGCTGAGGCAGGAGAATCACTTGAAACCGGGAGGCAGAAGTTGCGGTGAGCTGCTCCAGCCTGGGTGATAGAGTGAAACTCCATCTCAAAAAAATAAATAGGCCAGGTTCACGCCTGTAATCCCAGCACTTTGGGAGGCTGAAGCAGGCGGATCACCTGAGGTCAGGAGTTCGAAACCAGCCTGGCCAACCTGGCGAAACCCTGTCTCTACTAAAAATACAAAAATTAGCTGGGGGTGGTGGCAGGAGTCTGTAATCCCAGCTACTCGGGGGCTGAGGCACAAGAATCACTTGAACCTGGGAGGTGGAGGTTGCAGCTAGCTGAGATTGCGCCACTGCACTCCAGCCTAGGCTACAGAGGGAGACTTCGTCTCAAAAATAATAATAATAAAATAAAATAAATAAATAGATAAAAGATAAAATTGGACTTCATCAAAATTAAAAACTTTTGTGTATAAAAGAACACTATCGAGAAAGTAAGTAGACAACCTACAGAATAGGAGAAAATATTTGCAAATCATATTGTCTGATAAGGGTCTAGGATCCAGAATATATAAAGAACTCTTACAACTCAACAGCAAAAGGACAAACAACCCAAGAGAAAATAGGCAAAATACTTGAATAGACATTTCTCCAAAGAAGATAAAGAAATGGCCAGCCAGGTGCGGTGGCTCACACTTGTAATCTTAGTACTTTGGGAGGCTGAGGTGGGCAGATCATGAGGTCAGGAGATCGAGACCACCCTGGCCAATGTGGTGAAACCCCGTCTCTACTAGAAATACAAAAATTAGCTGGGCGTGGTGGTACGCACCTGTAGTCCCAGCTACTCGGGGGGCTGAGGCAGAAGAATCACTTGAATCTGGGAGGCGGAGGTTGCAGTGAGCTGAGATTGTGCCATTGCACTCCAGCCTGGCACCAGGGCAAGATTCTGTCTAAAAAAAAAAAAAAGGGCCAATAAACCCAAGAAAAGATGCCCAAAATCATTAGTCATTAGGGGAATGCAAATCAAAACCACAGTGAGATACCACTTTACACCTACTAAATGGTGTCAAAAATGGAGAATAATAAGTATTGGTGAGAATGTGGAGAAGTTGGAACTGTCATACATTGCTCTGGGGATGTGAATGGTGCAGCTGCTGTGGAAGACAGTTTGGCACTTCCTCAAAAAGTTAAACATGGAGTTACCATATGACCCAAAAGAATTGAAAACAGGAGTTCAAAAAAACTTGTACATCTATGTTCCTAGCAGCCATATTCACAATATTCGAAAGGTAGAAACACCCCAGATGTCCATCAACTGATGAATGGATAGACAAATTCTGGTATATGCATACAGTGGAATATTATTCACCTATAAAGAGGAATGAAGCACTGATCCATGCTACAACGTGGATGAACTTGGAAAACATTATGCTAAGTGGAAGATGCCAGACACAAAAGGGCACATATTGTGTAAGTCCATTTATATAAAATGTCCAGAATAGGCAAATCCATAGAGACCAAAAGTAGAGTGGGTTAGCCAGATGCCAGGGTCAGGAGCGAGGGAGGAATAGGGAATAACCACTCAGTGCATACAGGTTTTCTTTTGGGATGATGACAGTGTTCTGGAACTGGATAATGGTGGTTGTTTGCACATCATTTTAAATGTACTAAATGCCATTGAATTGCACACCTTAAAATGGTTAAAATGGTGAATTTTACTACAATTTTTAAAAAGTGAGATTTTGTAAAAAATAGCAGTTCTGCCTTCTGCCTAGGATGTAGAAAGCCAGAAAGAGCCTTGCTTCTACCCAAAAAACAAGAAAAAGTTGGATAATCTAAAAAATCGTAACTTTCTTGAACCCATCAGAGAGATGAAATCATAGTGCAGTCAACTAGCCTGAAAAAGAAACAGGCACCTACAAGGAGAGATAGGATACAAGTACTGGCTCACTTGTGGTAGACCCTGGGAGGAAGATGGGGCCACTATACAACAGATAAGAATTCAGCTGAGATTTTTTTTTTTTTTTTTTTGAGACGGAGTCTTGGTTTTGTTGCCCAGGCTGGAGTGCAATGACACGATCTCAGCTCACTGCAGCCTCTGCCTCCCAGGTTCAAGCAATTCTCCTGCCTCAGCCTCCCAAGTAGCTGGGATTATACATGCCCACCACCACACCTGGCTAATTTTTGTATTTTTGGTAGAGACGGGTTTTCACCATGTTGGCCAGACTGGTCTCGAACTCCTGACCTTAGGTGATCTGCCCGCCTCGGCCTCCCAAAGTGTTGGGATTACAGGGGTGAGCCACTGCGCCTGGCTTGAGATTTTTAATTATTTGCTAAAGGCTGAGAAGACAGTATAGGAACCTTGGGAGCCACAGACACGAGGAATTTGCACCCACTTGCAGACACTTTTTCATGACTACCAGGTGCTTATGAAAATGTTGGTTGTGACAGTGAGATATCATCTTACCCCAGTTAAAATGCCTTTTATCAGAAAGACATTTGACACAGCAGGCATGTGAAAAAAAAAAAAAGGATGCTAGCAAGGATGCAGAGAAAGGGGAATGCTTATTATGCACCATTGGTGGGCATGTAAATGAGTATAGTTAAATAGAAAACAATGTGGACATTCCTCAAAAAAATACAAATAGAGCTACCATGTGATCCAGCAATTCCACTGCTGGGTATGTATCCAAAAGAAAGGAAATCAGTATATCAAAGAGGTATCTGCATTCTCATGTTTATTGCAGTACTATTTCCAATAGCCAAGGCTGGTCACAGTGGCTCGTGCCTGTAATCCCAGCACTTTGGGAGGCTGAGGCAGGAAGATCGCTTGAGCTCAGGAGTTCGAGATCAGCCTGGGCAACAGAGCAAGACCTTGTCTCTACTAAAAATAAAATTAGGTGGACATGGTGGCACACACTTGTAGTCCCAGCTATTCAGGGGGCTGCGGTGGAAGGACAGCTTTAGCCTGGGAGATAAAGGCTGTGGTGAGCTGTGATTGTGCCACTGCATTCCAGAGTGAGATCCTGTCTCAAAAACAAAACAAAACACCAAATAAACAAAAACACAATAGCCAAGATATGGAATTCATCGAAGTGTCCATCAACAGATGAGTGGGTATAGAAAAAAATATATATATGCAAAGGAATATTATTATTCAGCTATAACGAAGCATAAAATCCTTTCTTTTGCAGCAACATGGATGGAGCTGGATATTATTATGTGAAGTGAAATAAGCCAGGCACAGAAAGACAAGTACCACATGTTCTCTACCAGTATGTGGGAGCTAAAAAAAATGTTATCTCATGGAGATAGAGAGTTGATTGGTGGTAACCAGAGGCTGGGAAGGCTTGGGGAGGGTGACAGAGAGGTTGGTTAATGGATACAAAAATACAGTTAGATAGAAGGAGTAAGATCTAGTGTTTGATAAGAAGTAGGGTGACTATAGTAGAATTTATTGTATAGTTTGAAATAGCTAGGCTGGGCGTGGTGGCTCATGCCTGTAATCCCAGCACTTTGGGAGGCTGAGGTGGGCAAAACCTTGTCTCTACTAAAAATACAAAAATTAGCGGGCGGGTGGCAAGTACCTGTAATCCCAGCCACTTGAGGCACAAGAATAGCTTGAACCCAGGAGGCAGAGGTTGCAGTGAGCTGAGATCGCACCACTGCACTCCAGCCTGGGAGACAGAGTGAGACTGTCTCAAAAAGGAAAAACAAAAAAATAAAATAGCTAGAAGAATTGGGATGTTTTAACGTAAAGAAAAGATAAATGTAGGACAGGCGCAGTGGCTCACGTCTGAAATCCCAGCATGTTGGGAGGCCAAGGCAGGTGGATCACCTGAGGTTAGGGGTTCAAGACCAGCCTGACCAACATGGAGAAACCCTGTCTCTACTAAAAGTACAAAAATTAGCCAGGCGTGGTGGTGCATGCCTGTAATCCAGCTACTCGGGAGGCTGAGGCAGGAGAATCGCTTGAACCCGGGAGGTGGAGGTTGCGGTGAGCCGAGATCATGCCATTGCACTCCAGCCTGGGAAACAAGAGTGAAGCTCTGTCTCAAAAAAAAAGGAGAAAAGATAAATGTTTGAGGTGATGGATATCCCAGTTACTCTGACTTGATCATTACACATTGTATGCACGTATCAAAATAACACGAGCCAGGCATGGTGGGCTTATGCCTGTAATCTCAACTACTTGGGAGGCTGATGTGGGAGTATTACTTGTGTCCAGGGATTTGAGACCAGCCTGGGCAACATAAAAAAACCCCATCTTAAAAAAAAAAAAATTATATATATATATATATATATATGTATGTATATATATGTGTATATATATGTGTGTGTATATGTGTATATATATGTGTGTGTATATGTGTATATATATATGTGTGTGTATATATATATATCACATGTAACCTAAAAATACGTAGAACTGATATGTATCAATTTAAAAATTAATAAAATATGCTTTTGGTTAAAAAAAGGTTGGCTGTGGGGATAGAGTCTAAAGAAACCCTCCCTCCCTCCTTCATGGAGCAAGGGAGCAGCTGCCACTGCAGGAAAGGCATGAAGCCACATCCAGACCATTCTCGCTTACGGAGCAAAGCCTTAAGCCACTGTGGAAGCGAAGTAAATCCTGTTGACCCCTCCGTCCCTGCTCTAGGCAAAGGTGAAGACCCATTACAGCTAGTGGGGATGGAAAGGAAAAGGAACACTACCTTGGCAGAGGGGCAGGAAACTATCTTGGACTCAGATTGTAAGAGGTCGCCTACCACTGGGGGAGGGACAGGATCACTGAGAAAACCCCACTTAAAAACTGGGGCTGCGTCAGGACAACAGAGAAGCACTGCTCATCCCCCACCACCAGGGGAGCAAGCACTGTTCAATTAGGAGCAGTGGACTGCTTCTGAGGCAGGAAACAGCATACAGAGACTGACTGAGGCACAGGCATATGAGGAAAGCCTACAGCTGAGGGAGGGGAAGGAACATTGAGGAACGACCCTCCAACAAGCAGCTGTCCCTAAACCTAACTCTAGAAGACTTGGAAAATGGTGGTGCACTGAAGGTAACCTTAACAAAAATCTCAATCCCAGCTCAGCTTCTGACCAAATTAACTCAACTGTCCCTACCGATGGCCTGGAAGAACAAACAGTGTGCCCATTTCTAAACAGATACTTTTACCTCTGTCTCTCCTGTCTTAACATATGTCTGGCATTCAATAAGAAATTATGAGGCATCCACAAGAGCAAGAGAAAAACGAAGCCACTGTGAAGAGCGAAAGCAGTCAACAGAATCAAACTCATATATGACAAGGATGTCGAAACCATCAGACAAGGAATTTAAAGTAACTGATTCATATGTTAAAGGCTGTAGTGAAAATGTTGATAACATGCACATACAGGTGAGGAAGACTCAACTACTGTTTATAGGAAACCCACTATAAATATAATGATATAAATGGATTTAAAAGTAAAAAGATGGATAAAGATATACCATGGAAACACTAATCAAAAGGAAGTGTGGTTATATTAGTATCTGATAAAGTATACTTGAGAACAAGGAATCATTCCAGGTATAAAGATGATACATAATAATAAAAAGGTCAATTCACCGAGAAGACATAATAATCCTAAATGTGTGTATACCCAATAACAGCTTTGAAATACCTGAAGCAGCCCAGGCACTGTGGCTCATGCCTGTAATCCCAGCATTTTGGGAGGCTGAGACAGGAGGATCACTTGTGCCCAGAAGTTTGAGACAAGCCTGGGCAACATGGTGAGACCCTGACTCAACAAAAAAATAAAAAAAATTAGCCAGGTGTGGTGGCATATGCCTGAAGTCCTAGCTACTTGGGAGGCTGAGGCAGGAGGATCACTTGAGTCTGGGAGTTGGAGGCTGCAGTGAGCTGTGATCACACCACTGCACTCCAGTCTGGGCAGCTGGGTGACAGACAGAGTGAGACACTGTCCTCTCCCGTCCCCCCCTCAAAAAATACATGAAACAAAAACTGAAAGGAGAAATAGATAAATCTAGTTACAATTGGAGGCTTTAATATTTCTTCTTTGCAGTAATCAGTAGAAGTAGTGTACAGAACATCAATAAGAATATAGAAAACCTGGGCCGGGTGTGGTGGCTTATGACTATAATCCCAGCACTTTGGGAGGCCAAGGCGGGCAGATTACTTGAGGTCAGGAGGACAGTGGGTGTAGCCCACGGAGGGTGAACCAAAGCAGGGCAGGGCGTCGCCTCACCCAGGAAGCGCAAGGCGTTGGGAGATTTCCCTTTCCTAGACAAAGGAAGCCCTGACAGACTGTACCTGGAAAAAACGGAACACTCCTCCCCCAAATACTGCGCGTTTTCAACAGTCTTAGCAAATGCAGACCAGGAGCTACTATCCAGTGCCTGGCTCGGTGGTTCCCACACCCACAGAGCCTTGCTCACAGCTAGTGCAGCAGTCAGAGATTGAACTGCGAGGCAACAGCCTGGCAGGGGGAGGGGCACCTGCCATTGCTGAGGCTTGAGTAGGTAAACAAAGCTGCCTGGAAGCTCAAACTGGGCGGAGCCCACCACAGCTCAGCTAGGCCTGCTGATTCTGTAGCCCCCACCTCTGGGAGCAGGGCATAGCTGAACAAAAGGCAGCAGAAACTTCTGCATACTTAAACGTCCCTGTCTGACAGCTCTGAAGAGAGCAGTGGTTCTACCAGCATGGCGTTTGAGCTCTGAGAACGGACAGACTGCCTCCTCAAGTGGGTCCCTGACCCCTGTGTAGCCTAACTGGGAGACACCTCCCAGTAGGGGATGACTTACATCTCATACAGGCAAGTGCCCCTCTGGGACAAAGCTTACAGAGGAAGGATCAGGCAATATTTGCTGTTCTGCAATATTTGCTGTTCTGCAGCCTCCACTGGTGATACCCAGGCAAACAGGGTCTGGAGTGGACCTCCAGCAAACTCCAACAGACCTGCAGCTGAGGGACCTGACTGTTAGAAGGAAAACTAACGAACAGAAAGGAATAGCATCAGCATCCACAAAAAGGACATCCACACCAAAACCTCATCTCTAGGTCACCAACATCAAAGACCAAAGGTAGATAAAACCACAAAGATGGGGAGAAACCAGAGCAGAAAAGCTGAAGATTCTAAAAACGAGAGTACCTCTTCTCCTCCAAAGGATCGCAGCTCCTCACCAGCAAGGGAACAAAGTTGGACGGAGAATGACTTTGATGAGTTGACAGAAGTCGGCTTCAGAAGGTCGGTAATAAACTTCTCCGAGCTAGAGGAGGATGTTTGAACCCATTGCAAGGAAGCTAGAAACCTTGAAAAAAGATTAGATGAATGGCTAACTAGAATAAACAGTGTAGAGAAGACCTTAAATGACCTGATGGAGCTGAAAACCATGGCATGAGAACTTTGTGATGCACGCACAAGCTTCAATAGCCAATGCGATCAAGTGGAAGAAAGGGTATCAGTGATTGAAGATCAAATTAATGAAATAAAGTGAGAAGAGAAGTTTAGAGAGAAAAGAGTAAAAAGCAACGAACAAAGCCTCCAAGAAACATGGGACTATGTGAAAAGACCAAATCTACGTTTGATTGGTGTACCTGAAAGTGACAGGGAGAATGGAACCAAGTTGGAAAACACTGTTCAGGATATTATCCAGGAATACTTACCCAATCTAGCAAGGCAGGCCAACATCCAAATCTAGGAAATACAGAGAACACCACAAAGATACTCCTCAAGAAGAGCAACCCCAAGACACATAATTATCAGATTCACCAAGGTGGAAATGAAGGAAAAAATGTTAAGGGCAGCCAGAGAGAAAGGTCAGGTTACCCACAAAGGGAAACCCATCAGACTAACAGCGGATCTCTCGACAGAAACTCTACAAGCCAGAAGAGAGTGGGGGCCAATATTCAACATTCTTAAAGAAAAGAGTTTTCAACGCAAAATTTCATATCCAGCCAAACTAAGCTTCATAAGTGAAGGAGAAATAAAATCCTTAACAGACAAGCAAATGCTAAGAGATTCTGTCACCACCAGGACTGCCTTACAAGAGCTCCTGAAGGAAGCACTAAACATGGAAAGGAACAACCGGTACCAGCCACTGCAAAAACATGCCA
Organism: Homo sapiens; assembly: GCF_000001405.40. NCBI lineage: Eukaryota > Metazoa > Chordata > Mammalia > Primates > Hominidae > Homo > Homo sapiens. Next base: position 112,007,859 of record NC_000011.10, read on the forward strand.
AATTGTCAAGACCATCGATGCTATGATGAAACTTGCATCAATTAATGGGCAAAATAAGCAGCTAACATCATAATGACAGGATCAAATTCACACATAACAATATTAACCTTAAATGTAAATGGGCTAAATGCCCCAATGAAAAGTGACAGACTGGCAAATTGGATAGAGTCAAACCCATCGGTGTGCTGTACTCAGGAGACCCATATCACGTGCAGAGACACACATAGGCTCAAATAAAGGGATGGAGCAAGATCTACCAAGCAAATGCAAAGCAAAAAAAAAAAAAAAAGAAAAGCAGGGATTGAAATCCTACTCTCTGATAAAACAGACTTTAAACCAACAAAGATCAAAAGAGACAAGGCCATTACATAATGGTAAAGGGATCAATTCAACAAGAAGAGCTAACTATCCTAAATTTATATGCACCCAATACAGGAGCACCAAGATTCATAAACCAAGTCCTTAGAGACCTACAAAGAGACTTAGACTCCCACACAATAATAATGGGAGACTTTTACACCCCACTGTCAATATTAGATCAACGAGACAGATTAACAAGGATATCCATGACTTGAACTCAGCTCTGCACCAAGCAGACCTAATAGACATCTACAGAACTCTCCACCCCAAATCAACAGAATATACATTCTTCTTAGCACCACATCACACTTATTCTAAAATTGATCATACAGTTGGAAGTAAAGCACTCTTCAGCAAATGTAAAAAACAGAAATCACAACAAACTGTCTCTCAGACCACAGCACAATCAAATTAGAACTCAGGATTAAGAAACTCACTCAAAACTGCACAACTACATGGAAACTGAACAACCTGCTCCTGAATGACTACTGGCTAAATAACGAAATGAAGGGAGAAATAAAGATGTTCTTTGAAACCAATGAGAACAAAGACACAACGTACCAGAATACCTGAGACACATTTAAAGCAGTGTGTAGAGGGAAATTTTTAGCACTAAATGCCCACAGGAGAAAGCAGGAAAGATCTAAAATCGACACCTTAACATCACAATTAAAAGAAATCGAGAATCAAGAGCAAAGAAATTCAAACGCTAGCAAAAGGCAAGAAATAACTAAGATTGGAGCAGAACTGAAGGAGATAGAGACACAAGAAACCTTTAAAAAAATCAATGAATCCAGGAGCTGGTTTTTTGAAGGGATCAACAAAACTGATAGACCGCTAGCAAGACTAATAAAGAAGAAAAGAGAGAGGCATCAAATTGACACAATAAAAAATGATAAAGGGGATATTACCACCGATCCCACAGAAATACAAACTACCATCAGAGAATACTATAAACACCTCTACGCAAATAAACTAGAAAATCTAGAAGAAATGGATAAATTCCTGGACACATACACCCTCCCAAGACTAAACCAGGAAGAAGTTGAATCTCTGAATAGACCAATAACAGGTTCTGAAATTGAGGCAATAATTAATAGCCTACCAACCAAAAAAAGTCCAGGACCAGATGGATTTACAGCCAAATTCTACCACAGGTAGAAAAGAGGAGCTAGTACCATTCCTTCTGAAACTATTCCAATCAACAGAAAAGGAGGGACTCCTCCCTAACTCATTTTATGAGGCCAACATCATCCTGATACCAAAACCTGGCAGAGACATAACAAAAAAAAGAGAATTTTAGACCAATATCCCTGATGAACATCAATGCGAAAATCTTCAATAAAATACTGGCAAACCGAATCCAGCAGCACATCAAAAAGCTTATCCACCACAATCAAGTCAGCTTCATCCCTGGGATGCAAGGCTGGTTCAACATACTCAAATCAATAAATGTAATCCATCACATAAACAGAACCAAAGAGAAAAACCACATGATTATCTCAATAGATGCAGAAAAGGCCTTCAACAAAATTCAACAGCCCTTCATGCTAAAATCTCTCAATAAACTGGGTATTGATGGAACGTATCTCAAAATAATAAGAGCTATTTACAACAAACCCACAGCCAATATCATATTGAATGGGCAAAAACTGGAAGCATTTCTTTTGAAAACTGGCACAAGACAGGGATGCCCTCTCTCACCACTCCTATTCAACATAGTGTTGGAAGTTCTGGCCAGGGCAATCAGGCAAGAGAAAGAAATAAAGGGTATTCAATTTGGAAAAGAGGAAGTAAAATTGTCTATGTTTGCAGATGACATGACTATATATTTAGAAAACCCCATCATCTCAGCCCAAAATCTCAAGCTGATAAGCAACTTCAGCAAAGTCTCAGGATACAAAGTCAATGTGCAAAAATCACAAGCATTCCTGTACACCAATAACAGACAAACAGCCAAATCATGAGTGAACTCCCAATCACAATTGCTACGAAGAGAATAAAATACCTAGGAATCCAACTTACAAGGGATGTGAAGGACCTCTTCATGGAGAACTACAAACCACTGCCCAGGGAAATAAAAGAGGACACAAACAAATGGAAGAACATTCCATGCTCATGGATAGGAAGAATAAATATCATGAAAATGGCCACACTGCCCAAGGTAATTTATAGATTCAATGCCATTCCCATCAAGCTACCAATGTCTTCTTCACAGAATTGGAAAAAACTACTTTAAAGTTCATATGGAACCAAAAAAGAGCCCACATTGCCAAGGCAATCCTAAGCAAAGGAACAAAACTGGAGGCATCATGCTACCTGACTTCAAACTATCCTACAAGGCTACAGTAACCAAAACAGCATGGTACTGGTACTAAAACAGATATATAGACCAATGAATCAGAACAGAGGCCTCAGAAATAACACCACACATTTACAACCATCTGATCTTTGACAAACCTGACAAAAACAAGAAATGGGGAAAGGATTCCCTGTTTAATAAATGGTGCTGGGAAAACTGGCTAGCCATATGTAGAAAGTTGAAACTGGATCCCTTCCTTACACCTTATACAAAAATTAATTCAAGATGGATTAAAGACTTAAACGTTAGACCTAAAACCATAAAAACCCTAGAAGAAAACCGAGGCAATACCATTCAGGACATAGGCATGGACAAGGACTTCATGACTAAAACACCAAAAGCAATGACAACAAAAGCCAAAATAGACAAGTGGGATCTAATTAAACTAAAGAGCTTCTGCACAGCAAAAGAAACTATCATCAGAGTGAACAGGCAACCTACAGAATGGGAGAAAATTTTTGCAATCTGCCCATCTGACAAAGGGCTAATATCTAGAGTCTACAAAGAACTTAAACAAATTTACAAGAAAAAAATCAAACAACCCCATCAAAAAGTGGGCAAAGGATATGAATAGACACTTCTCAAAAGAAGACATTTCTGCAGCCAACAGACACATGAAAAAATGCTCATCATCACTGGTCATCAGAGAAATGCAAATCAGAACCACAATGAGATACCATCTCACACCAGTTAGAGTGGCGATCATTAAAAAGTCAGGAAACCACAGATGCTGGAGAGGATGTGGAGAAATAGGAATGCTTTTACACTGTTGATGGAAGTGTAAATTAGTTCAACCATTGTGGAAGACAGTGTGGCGATTCCTCAAGGATCTAGACTAGAAATACCATTTGACCCAGAGATCCTATTACTGGATATATACCCAAAGGATTATAAATCATGCTACTATAAAGACACATGCACACGCATGTTTATTGCAGCACTATTCACAATTGCAAAGACTTGGAACCAACCCAAATGTCCATCAATGATAGACTGGATTAAGAAAATGTGGCACATATACACCATGGAATACTATGCAGCCATAAAAAAGGATGAGTTCATGTCCTTTGCAGGGACATGGATGAAACTGGAGTTCATCATTCTCAGCAAACTATCACAAGGACCAAAAACCAAACACCGCATGTCCTCACTCATAGGTGGGAATTGAACAATGAGAACACATGGACACAGGGCGGGGAACATCACACACTGGAGCCTGTCGTGGAGGGGGGGACGGGGGGAGGGATAGCATTAGGAGAAATACCTAATGTAAATGACAAGTTGATGGGTGCAGCAAACCCACATGGCACATGTATACCTATGTAACAAACCTGCACGTTGTGCACATGCACCCTAGAACTTAAAGTATAGTAAAAAAGGAAAAAGGAAAAGAAAAACCCTCATGAAAATCTTAGGTATAAACTTCATAAAATATGTGCAATGACTATACTGACAAGTATAAAATAAGGATGAAATAAAGATTTAAATAAACGGAGAGATATACTGTTTATGGATTGGAGTACTCAACATTGTTAAGATGGCCTATTCTTCCACAAATGATCTATAGCTTCAATGCAGTTCCAGTGAAAATCCTACCAGGCTTTTGTAGATATAAACAAGCCAATTCTAAAATTTATAGGAAAGAATAAGGGGACTAGAATTAACTGCCCTCCCAACCCAAATGGTGAAAAAGATGAACAGTGCAGTTGGTGGACCATACTGTCTGATATCAAAATTAACTGTAAAGTTAGGGTAATCAAGACAGTGTAGTATTGGTGAATTGGTAGATACATAGATGAGTGGAACAGCATAGAGTTAAAAATAGACACATTTTACCAGTTGATTTTCTACAATAGTGCAAAGACAATTGAATGATAAAGGGATAGGCTTTTCAAAAACGGTGCTAGAAAAGTTAAAGATCTATTTTTTTAAGTGAGTTTGACCTATACTTCATACCATATGCAAAAATCAACTCCAAATGGATAAGCCTAAACTTATAAGCTATAACTATTAATCACCTGTTTTGTGGTACTTTTCAAAATCATGTATTAAATTTGTAGATATACACAAGGATATGTTTCTGAGCCACTTATCCTGCATGAGTTTTTTTGTACGTGTTTTTTATAGTAATGCCATAATACTGTAATAACTATCATTTTGTCATACGGCTTTATGTTGGGTGAGACAAGTTCTCCCTCATTACTCTTATTTTGCTTTTTTACTTGAAAAGTCTATGCAATCCAACTCATTCTTCATTAGTCATCTGAATCGACTTTTCACTAGTATCATCAATGATATTTTTACCAAAGCAGTCTTTGCCTATTAGACCCCTGTGTAGCATTTGACATCATGATTACTCTCTCTTTGACATTCTCCCCAAATGTGTACATAACATTTGTATTAGTCAGCTTGGGCTGCCATTGCAAAATACCTTCAACTCTCTTAAACGACGTAAATTAATTTTCTCACAGTTCTGGAGGCTAGAAGTACAAGATCAGGTTGCCAGCATGGCCAGGTTTTGGTGAGGGCTCCTTGCCTGGCTTGTAGAAGGCACGTTGTCTCTGTGTCCTCACATGGGGGAGAGAAAGCTCTGGTATCTCTTATAAGGACTAGTTCTGTTGGATCAGGGCTCCACCCGTATGACCTCATTTAATCTTAATTACCTCCTTAAAGGCCCTATCTCCAAAACAGTCAAATAGCAGATAAGGGCTTCAACATATGAAGTTGACGGGTCGGGGGGTGGGGGTGGGGTGGGGGGGGGGAACAAATTCAGTCCATAGCAATATTATTTTCATATTTATTTTATTGTATGGTAACTGTTTTGCTATTTCACTCCACTAGACTTTTGAGCTCCTTAAGGGTGGGGATTATATCTAATTTATTTGTGTATCTCTAATACTTGATACATAATAAGGCACCCTATAAACATTTAAAATGAATAATGAGATGACGTAATTCATCTTGTGTTCCCCTGTCTTAGGTAATGGTATTACCATGTATCTGTCTTCCCAGGTTGTAAATCTCAGTCATTGTTTACTTTTCCCTTTTATATACCCTATGTTCAACTATATCCCTAGTACTAAGACTTTGACTTTCTAAAGGTCTTTCAAATTCATCCCTTCTCTGGCTCCAGGGCTACATCTTTCCTATCATCATGTGTCAGATTGTTTTTATTGCCTCTTAACAGGATGTCTTAGTCAGTTGAGTGTTGCCATAAAGGAATACCTGAGGCTAGGTAACTTAGGAGGAAAAGAGGTTTGTTTGGCTCACAATTCGGCTGGCTGGAAAGTTGGGCATCTGGTGAAAGCCTCAATCGGCTTTCACTCACGGCAGAAGGCAAATGGGAGTTGGCATGTGCTGAGATTACATGGAGAGAGGAAGCAAGAGAGTGGAGGGAGGTGCCAGGCTCTTTTTAACAAGCAGTTTTGTGGGAACTAATGGGTGAGTACTCACTCCTCCTCCCCAAGGAGGGCATTAATCTAGTCTTGAGGAATCTGCCTCCATGACCCAAACACTTCCCATTAGGCCCCACCTCCAACATTGGGGATCAACTTTCAACATGAGGTGTTGGGGGACAAACACCCAAACTACTGCACAGGATTTCTGGCTTCCAGTTTGTCCCATCCAATCCATACTTTGCTGCGAGATCAACTTTTCTAAAATGCCAGTCTAATCATATCACTACCTTTTAGTAACTTTCCATAGCTTAAGACTAACATCTTGAACTCTTACCCTGTCAGAGTCTTTTGTGATCTGGCTGCTGCCTACTTAATTACCTCACAACTTCCCAATGTATTCATTATGCTCCAGCCTTACTAATTCACCTACAGTTTTGTAAATATATGATCCCATTTCATGCTTCTGCACCTGTCCTTCCCTCTTCTTGGAATACTCTTTTCAACTTTAGTATCTCGTGATTTTTAAAAGGTGCTTTTAAAAAGGACTCTCCAACCATGGGCCCTTCCTGACCTGTTCCAGGTGGAATTAACCTCGCCATCTTCAGTCTTCCAATACAGCTTGTAGAAATCTGATTTTAGTGTATTGTAATTATTTGTAATTGTATCCATCATCCATACTAAATGATAAACTCTTGGGAGGTTGGAGACCACATATAGTTTATTTTTATATTCTCAAATCGAACACACAGTAGGTAATAAATGTTTGTTGAATGAATGAATAAATTAAATATATAGCTTTAATGTTAAAAGTGAGTATTTTATTTATTCAACAACCACTGTGTGCTGGGCACTGTGCTAGATGCTGGGGCAAAGGAGAATTATGGCATGTAGGTTACAATAATTGGCATTCTTTTTTTTTTTTTGGAGACAGAGTTTCACTTTGTCACCAAGGCTGGAGTGCAGTGGCTCGATCTCGGCTCACTGCAACCTCTGCCTCCCAGGTTCAAGCGATTCTCCTGCCTCAGCCTCCCAGGTAGCTGGGACTACAGGCACATGCCACCACGCCTGGCTAATTTTCTGTATTTTAGTAGAGACGGGGTTTCACCATGTTGCCCAGGCTGGTCTCAAACTCCTGAGCTCAGGCAATCCGCCCACCTCGGCCTCCCAAAGTGCTAGGATTACAGGCATGAGCCACCGCGCCTGGCCAATTAGCATTCTTTGAAGAAAAACTCTGAAAACAGACTGAATGCCATTTGTGTTCAAAGAGGGGACGTTCCTTTGTCTTTTTCCCCTCTATTAATTCATCCTTCATATTCCTTATTTTAAACCCCCTCCCAGAACTACTGTTCTGTGGCTGCCAATATGAATGCCTAGAATAAGTTAAGAGGAAGATCAGTACAGGTGGAATAGCAGGAGATATTTTAGTAACAGTTTAATTATTAATTTTTGATAAAAGGTTCTGATTGGTCATTTCTCCTACGAAAGTCATAATTACAAGGACTTATACTTTTCCAAAAGTACCTTTTTAAAAGGTAGAGACAGTCCAGGTGCAGTGGCCCATGCCTGTAATCCCAACAGTTTGAGAGGCCAAGGTGGGTGGATTACTTGAGGCAGGGAGTTCAAGACCAGCCTGGCCAACATGGCAAAACCTTGTCTCTACTAAAAATACAAAAATTAGCTGGGCGTGGTGGCACACACCTGTTATCCCAGCTACTCGGGAGGCTGAGGCACGAGAATGACTTAAACCTGGGAGGTGGAGGTTGCAGTGAGCTGAGATTGCACCACTGCACTCCAGCCTGGGCGACAGAGCGAGACCCTGTCTTTTTTTTTTTTTTTTTTTTTTTGCGGCAGGGACAGAGTCTCACTCTGTCACCCAGGCTGGAGTGCAGTGTCACGATCTCGGCTCACTGCAACCTCCACCTCCCGGGTTCAAGCAGTTCTTTGCCTCAGCCTCCCCAAGTAACTGGGATTACAGGCATGTGCCACCACGCCCAGCTAATTTTTGTATTTTTAGTAGAGATGGGGTTTCACCATGTTGGCCAGGCTGTTCTTGAACTCCTGACCTCGTGATCCACCCCCCTCGGCCTCCCAAAGTGTTGGGAAATACAGGCGTGAGCCACCGCGCCCGGCGAGACCCTGTCTTAAAAAAAAAAAAAAGTTTATCAACAAACCTGTGTTAAAGACCATGGCATCAACACTATAGATCTTAAGTTGCTAAGGTTCTGTACCTTTTAGACTGGGAGCATAAGCCCCTTGGGATCTGAGTTTCTAAGGTTGCTTTGCTTCTGTGGTTCTTGTTCCTATCGGTTTTTCTTTCTATGAGTCACATGAGTATTCTCTACTACGGACCTCCAAAACCTAAATATTGGCAGAGTCTACAGCTTCTGCTGTGTGTCTACCCTGCCTGGCTGAAATCTTCCCATGCTTCTCTGTCCTTTTTTGATCTTTAACAATGATACCTGTCATATCAGTTGCTGTTCCCCTACTATGAGTGAGGAGTGATGAGTCCTCGCGATCGTGTCCATGTCTGAAGCAAGTCTTGTCCTCGTGGTCCTAGGCAACCATAGCATATGGACATTGTGTTTGGCAAGGGTGTGAGAGCTGTGGGCTGTGACCTCAGGCAGCTTTGTTCTCCCGGGACACTTTGAATAACTGCAGATGGCTGGTTTAGAGCAAATGAATGTTCTAACCACAGTCTCTTTCTGATTGTAGAGTTGCCTCACTCACAGAGCTCTCCAACTGTCAGCAGCACCTGTACTAAAGTGCTCTATTTCACTGACCGGTCACTTACGCCCTTCATGGTCAATATACCAAAGAGGTGAGATTCTGGGATCATTGTATTTCACTGTAAAGAAGGAAAGGAAGGCAGAACCTCATTAGTTACTGCCCACATGAGCAGCTGAAAGGTGTTTGAGAAGCAGTATAGTGAGATCTCACTATAGTGAGATAAGCCAGAGAGACAGATTCTAGTTTCAGCTTTGCCACTATTCAGTGGTATTATAAAGGACAAGTCATGATCTACTACTAGATACAGGTACAATAATAGTACTTCCAATCCTGATAACTATGCAAATATGGCTCTGCATTTGGGAAAATCTTTTTTTTTTTTTTTAAGTGTTCAAAATAGCTCCTGCTGATACAATGGATTGCAGCCTGGCACTCACTCCAGGACTATGACTAATTGATCTTTGTTACTATTCAATGACTGCAGCTAATCCCTATTGAGAAATTATGTCAAAAACCTTCCAGAAAGTTAATGTGCTTCCTTTTAAGGGAAATGGTTTTGAAATAGAAATATTTAAACTCTGCAACCAACTATTGAGAGAGGTTATAGGATTTTTCTTACTTAGTCTGCTTATTTAGTCTGGGTTAGAAGCCAGCTTCCTAAAGATAGAGGGATAAAGATCATGATACTTGATTTGATTCTACCATCCTAGAGAATTGGGATATTGTAGCAAAGAAGAAAATCAAGAGAACTTTGATATATTTATGGTTATTCAACAAATTTTATTTCAGGGACTTTATATCTTATTTCCAGAGAAAAGTGATTTGGCTTCTGAAGCAATAAGTCAATTTTAAATTCTCACATCACCCCATATTTAATACTGTTTTCATTCCCTAGTGATGACTGGTTCTCCAGCCTCTGCTGTTTTAGTCATCTGGGTTATCGGGGCAGTGACCTAACAAGGGGCTATTTCTGCTTATTGACTTTGGCAGGGGGCTGTGTTTAAAGTTAACATCTTATCTTTCCAGCTATTGATCAACAGTCTATTTTAGTGCTCTCTCCTTGTGTTGCAGGTTGGAGGAGGTGACGTTAAAGGATTTTAAAGCAGCTATTGATCGGGAAGGAAATCACCGGTATCACTTCAAAGCACTGGATCCTGAGTTTGGCACTGTCAAAGAGGAGGTAAAGAATCTGTGGGGAGTCTGTATGGTATTATTGGTCCTTTCTGAACCCTGAAGCCTCCTGTTCAAGCACTAGTGTCCAGAAGTACATGAGTTCCCTGACTAGGTCAGAAGAATTTGCCAGAGCCTCAGACCATGGTCTGATTACTCTAGACAAGTGGTCATAGAATAGTCCAAGATGCTGATAGGTTCTTTAGTTGTAGGACTTCATCATTTGACTGAGAACTTGGATATAATTTTTATTTTAAATTATTTTGTTAGGGAAAATAAAGAACCTAAGACAATAAATAATTTTCCATCTGCAGCCAAATCTTAGAAAACTTCTTGCTTCCTATGTAGAGCAAAATAAACACGCATGGATATATGGAACTGTGTATTTCTCATAATGAAATCAAGGAACTTCTAGGGAGTTATGTATGCTTATGCCCAACTCCTTGAGTAAGTATTTTCTTAGCCTACGCGTCTCTTTATAATCCATTTGTCAAAGATAGACTTTTGGGGGAATACAGTTCTGGGTTATATAGTATTACAAGTGGATTCACTGCAGTTACAGAATGAAAAAAGTTATTATAGAGAAAGTAAAATTTTATTTTGTAAACATTTCCTCAGTGAAATGTTTTAGTAACCCTGTTTTATTAGTGGCTTAGGAAATGAGTTGAATGAATTAATGAAAATAACTGCATCTGAGAAATGTGTTAAAATGAGTCTTTTTTCCCCACCCTTTCTTTACATTGCCTGGTAACTAAATTTTCCACTTTCTCATTTTTAAAATACTTAACACTACATCTTTCCTCTAAGAAGCCCAAAGTACTTTGTGATTGGTAATTTATTAATTCTTACAAATCTCTATGAGCAAAGTAGTATCAGGCATTTTTTAAAACCATTTCATAGATGTGGATCTAAGAAAAAAATAAAATATCAGTTGCAGTTCTAGGGACAAGACCAAAAGGACATAGACTCTTAACTCAAGGCTTTCTTCTACATGGTTGAGGTCTTATTTTTATTAGCAGCAATTGTTTAGTGAATCAGATTCCCTGTTTTTTCACTGTGGCTTTTTGTTTTTTTCTCTAGATTTTCCATGATGATGATGCCATCCCTGGATGGGAAGGGAAAATTGTAGCTTGGGTGGAAGAAGACCATGGAGAGAATTAATGCCAAGTATCAGATTGAGGGCTTATGGAACCTGGTCACTCCCTGGCTGCTTCACTCAGGAAAGGGAACTAAAACCAGAATACACTAAGAAGTTTCTAGTTTGTGTGCCAAAACAGAAGCTTCTCCAAGCATGATGGCCACAGGTCAGTCCTCTTTCTGTGCCTGGCATATCTGGTACTTAAAATTCTGTCCAAATGTAGACCATGGGTTCATCTGGAGTTCCTTGTCCGTGGGAACACAGTGTTCTATTCTACTCTGAGGACAACAAACCGAAGGCCTTAAACGATGGGGATGGATGATCCCGCCTCTGTAGGGGCATGGCTGCTATTATCTGGAAATTAGGAATTGGATGCATCATTCCTGTGTGTTACAGTATTATTTTAATTGGCCTCAATGGTTGCAGCAATCAGAGTCCCAGCGTTTGTACTCACAGACAAGGCAAAGGTACCAGCTTTTCTGTTTCTTTGAACCTACTGCAAACCAAGAATAACTCATGAGGTGGTACCAAAGATGAAAGCCCAGACTTCAGTAATCTTTTGAACCAGACGTGGATGGTGCTGAATTGTTGCTTGGATGGAAAAAGGGCTGCCCATGTTGTGCTACACTATGCTAAAACTGTAATTTAGTAAGACCTTGGGCTGCCTCTTCTGTCTTAACTGGTTCTGCAGCTTGTCCTTTTGCCCACATAGGGCCTATTTCATGTACTGTTAGTTTTCTCTGGGGACTCTTTAACTTTAGAGCCATTTCTTTTTCTTCAAACTGATGAACTTTTGTTTGAAAGGCATAAGGAGTGAAAAGCTCCTTGAAAATCCAGGCGGGTATGGAAAGGTGCTGCTACCCATATCTTTTTGACTTTCTTTGTTTCATGACTTTAACTCATGGCATCTCCTTTGTAGTAAAAGGAGACAGACCATTAATTTCAGCATTTCTTTGTGATTTATAAGTACTGAGCATGAAGTACTTGTCTGCCCCTCATTTCAAGGCCAGAGTTATTTTCTATTTATGTATTAGTCTAGGCTGATCTTTTAGGGCACAATAGAAACCATGGGGCGTGGAGCATGAGTTGTGAATGGCAGGGATCATTCTGGGTAAAAAAAACCTAGAATCATTTCTGATGTGCAACATTGTCAAGTGAAGAAGCTAACAGTTCAACTACCGAGATTATTTGATAACCTGGGTTTTCTCATTCATCCATCAAGCACCATCAACCAGTCAGCCATTATTATTTATATATGTATTACCAAAAGCAGTCTATCTGCCTGTGACCTCCAATGTACACTGCCAAACACAAGAGTAGGACACATCTGTTCTGGGTTCTTGACCTATCTGTCTCCAATTCATCTCCCCTTTTCAGCCATTTCAACAAACTACTCTTTGGAGCTCTGAGATGACATCTTGTTGTTTTATATAGATGTATCTTTTAAAAATAGTTCACGTTTGGAGAATTCTTTTGTACTCATTTGCTTTTTGTCTGAGAACCATGTCTATTTTTATAACTGGAGTGTGAGTTCTGTATCTTCTCACATTCTGTATACTGTATCCATTTTCTAGAGAACCCAGTAGCTTTTATACAGTCTCTTCTTACCACCCCTTGTGGTTTCAGAACAAGCTTTATTTTATTACGAGTATATTAATGACAACTAATTCCTGTTCCAATTCTACCTGTTTTAGTTGTGAAGGTAGTTTTGTGTAATCCAGTTGATTGCTCCTCTGGCAGAGAGAAGGAGCTCAAAAGATACTTGATGTCTTTCATGTAAGTTTACCTGGTCTTTTCCTATTGAAGAATTTTTCATCAGAAACGACTGGGAAAGTTTGGGAAAGTCAGCAAAAGAAAGAATGCATTTCGAAAGCAAACAGAAGAAAAAAGTATATT